>NC_000011.10:123536060-123839091 GCF_000001405.40 Homo sapiens | reverse complement strand
TTTTGTCATTCACAAATATATGTATATACTCAATTACAGATATATATTCAATATATAAGGGTATAGATATTGAATGTATTTGAATGTATTGATATGTATTAAATTTAAGTGGATACATATTTAAAATGATCTGAGTTCAAAATCCAAATTTCTGGGAGGAGGATATGGTTGGTCCAACTAGAGAGAGATTTCCACTTCTGATTCACTTATTTGTAAGAAGAATGAGTCAGCAAGGTATCAAATCACCGTGTCCACAATGCCAATAAGTAGGTGCTGTGGGAGTAAGCTCTCTAAAAAGAGTGTAGGAATGGGAAAAAGACAGACTCTCTAGCTGAGTGGACAAAGATAGGGGCCTTAAGAATTGGCATGGAATCTCTCAGCAAAGAGCAGGTAAAGAAAGAGCTGTCTTAGGAATGAATTCAGAGTATTATAAGAGAGCACAGTCCATCATAAGATAACGAAGTGGACAAATGTTTAAAGACAAAAAGAAGGTAGACCAAAGTCAGCAAGAGTGAAGGAGTCCCGTAACTTTCTGCTCTGTGCTTATAATCAGAGCCTAATTAAGACAAGGTATCAAAAGTTACCATATTAGGTGATTATTGCTGCCATAACAAATTCCCACCAATTTGGCAGCTTAAAACAACACAGATTTGTTATCTCATACTTCTGTAGGTCAGAAGCCCAACACAGATCTTACCGGGCTAAAATGTCAGCAGGCTGCATTCTTTCCTGGGAGCCCTAGCAGATAATCCATTTCCTACACCTTTGGGTTGTTAACAGAATTCATTTTCTTGAAAGCTATACTATGGTTTCAACCTGGAAATTTGTTTCACTCGAGGAGGAAATTTATTCCACTAAATCTAAGAAATTGTTTGTTTTGCTATGGTTATGACATTGAATTAAGTGGTAGTGACAAAATGCTAAAAAAGACCTTTAACATTGAAACACTGTATACATTTTAATCATGAGCAGTAATACCTTTAAGAGCTTCTTAAAATCTTAAAGCCAAATCACCTATTTTGAAAAGTCATTTTAAAGCTGGAAGAAAATCCACTATACAGAATGTTTAAATAACTTTGTTTGAAGAGTGGGATTATAATTATATCTCTTTTTCCCACATTTTGGAGCTTTTAAAACTTGGGAAGCATATGTCAATTTTAATATTGGAAAAATTAACAAACATAATTTTCATAAACAATAAAATATATATTAGAAGGAGAGTTAAGTTCAGATGTTTCCTCAAGTAGGAGATATGATTTAAAACTTTTCTTTTTATTTTACAGTTAAAGAGAAAAAACTGTCATGAGTTCACTTGAGTAATAGACTTATAAAGAATACGTTCTTACTAGCGCAGAGACTGAAGTTAAAAAAATTTTTTTAAATTTTTTAAAGGAATACATTCTTAAATTGAGATTCCTCCTCCATAAAGATAAATGCAAATCCTTGAAAATGTCTACATCTTAAGAACCCGGTTATTTTTAAAATATTAATATAATTAAATACTCCAAAGATTTTTGTAAACCCTTGGATTTATGAAATTGAAAGTATAAACTGAGGGAGGTGTCCTGAGAAAAACTGAATGGAGTATTCTTTTAATGGTCACATTCCCACTCCACATTCCCATTCCCATCTGCCACACAGAAACTGATCCCCTTCCTCAAACCTTATACAAAAATTAACTCAAGATAGAGTAAAGACCTAAATGTAAAACCCAAAACCATAAAAACCCTAGAAGAAAACCTAGAAAATACCATTCAGGACATAGACATGGGCAAAGACTTCATGACTAAAACACTAAAAGCAATTTCAAGAAAAGCCAAAATTGACAAATGGTATCTAATTAAACTAAAGGGCTTCTGCACAGCAAAAGAAACTAGCATCAGAGTGAACAGCCAACCTACAGAATGGGAGAAAATTTTTGCAATCTACCCATCTGACAAAGGTCTAATATCCAGAATCTACAAGGAACTTAACTAAATTTACAACAACAACAACAAAAAAAAAACCCATCAAAAAATGGGCAAAGGATATGAACAGATGCTTCTCAAAAAGGACATTTATGTGGCCAACAAACATAGGAAAGAAAAATCATCATCACTGGTCATTAAAGAAACGCAAATCAAAACCAAAATGAGATACCATCTCACGCCAGTCAGAAAGGTGATTATTAAAATCTCAGGAAACAATATATGCTGGTGAGGCTGTGGAGAAATAGGAACACTTTTACACTGTTGGTGGGAGTTTAAATTAGTTCAACCACTGTGGAAGACATTGTGGCAATTCTTCAAGGATCTAGAACCAGAAATACCATTTGACCCAGCAATCCCATTACCCAAAGGATTACAAATCATTCTACTATAAAGACACATGCACATGTATGTTTATTGCAGCACTATTTACAATAGCAAAGACTTGGAACCAACCCAAATGCCCATCAATGATAGACTGGATAAAGAAAATGTGGCAAATATACACCATGGAATACTATGCAGCCATAAAAAAGAATGAGTTCATGTCCTTTGCAGGAACATGGATGAAGCTGGAAACCATCATTCTTAGCAAACTAACACAGGAACAAAAAACCAAACACCACATGTTCTCACTCATAAGTGGGAGTTGTGCAATGAGAACACATGGACACAGAGAGGGGAACATCACACACCAGGGCCTGTCAGGGGGTAGGGGTGAGGGGAGGGAGAGCATTAGGACAAATACCTAATGCATGCAGGGCTTAAAACCTAGATGATGAGTTGATAGGTGCAGCAAACCACCATGGCACGTGTATAACTATGTAACAAATCTTCATATTCTGCACATGTATCCCAGAACTTAAAGTAAAATAAAAATGTCAAAAACAGAAAACATACGGCAAACTTATGAAGTGTTGATATATTTTTTTAATTCCAAAAGTAATATAGGGCTCTATTTCCAATAAGCAGCCTGAAAGAATTGCACCTTTGAAAAGAAATCACCCTCACAAATAAAAAAAAGGCTAAAATTAGACAGTCATCAAAAAAGAACTGCTTAAAGCCTGGCTAATTAAAAATGGCATAACAAAGCAGAGATAGATGGAATATTTACTAATTCTTTTTCTTTTTTTTATTTCTTCTAAAATAAATGGGATACATGTGCAGAATGTGTAGGCTTGTTACATAGGTATACATGTGCCATGGTGGTTTTCTGTACCTATTGACCCATCCTCTAAGTTTCCTCCCCTCACCTCCCACCCCGCAACAGGCCCTGGTGTGTGTTGTTCCCCTCTCTGTGTCCATGTGTTCTCAATGTTTAACTCCCACTTATGAGTGAGAACATGCGGTGTTTGGTTTTCTGTTCCTGTGTTAGTTTCCTGAGAATGATGGTTTCCAGCTTCATCCATGTCCCTGCAAAGGACATGATCTCATTCCTTCTTATGGCTGCATAGTATTCCATGGTCTACTAAAATTTTAATGAATCATTATAAAAGATGAGTGGTCCTGATGTTTCACCAACTCTTCAACCTGTAAAAGGACCGCAAGAGATTCGCTCAATTTATACTAGCTTTGATATTTTTTTAAAACTGATTATTTTTTTTAGGGTGGTTCACATCTGTAATCCCAGAACAGGGAGGCCAAGATAGGAGGATTGCTTGAGTCCAGGAGCTCAAGATCATCCTGGGCAACATAATGAGACTCTGTCTCTACAAAGAAAATCAAAAAAGTGGCCAGGCACGATGGCTCATGCCTGTAATCCCAGCACTTTTGGAGGCTGAGGCAGGCAGATCACGAGGTCAGGAGTTCGAGACCAGCCTGGCCAATATGGCATAACCCCGTCTCCACTAAAAATACAAAAATTAGCTGGGCATGGTGGTGCATGCCTGTAGTCCCACCTACTCAAGGGGCTGAGGCAGAAGAATCGCTTGAATCGGGAGGTGGAGGTTGAAATGAGCCGAGATCACACCACTGCATTCCAGCCTGGGCTACAGAGCAAGACCTGTCTCAGAAAAAAAAAAAAAAAAAAAAAGAAAGAAAGAAAGAAGGAAAAAAAAAGAAAGAAAGAAGGAAAAAAAAGAAAAGAAAAGAAAGAAAATTTTAAAAGTTAGCTAGGCATGGTGGTGCATGCCTGTAGTCCTAGTTGCTCCAGAGGCTGAGGCGGGAGGATGCTTGAGCCCAGGAGTTCAAGGCTGCAGTGAGCCATGATCATGCTACTACAGTCCAGCCTAGAAGACAGAATAAGACACTGTCTCAATAAAATATAAAATAGAATAAAATAAAATAAAAAGAATCCATAATCCCTGCAGATATAGTGCTGACCAAAATGGTGTATGGCAAAAAGCAGGGTTATGAATCTGAGAGATGAGAGAGGCTAAATATCCTAGCACAAAACCCAACAGGCGAACAGAGCCAGTTTGTATGGGCATAGGTAAACTGGCCTGGGAACGGTAAAGTAAGTTTACTGGGGCTGCTGGACACTTGTGCACAACACGCTGTCATACACAAATGTAATATTGAAAAGTTAAAAGACAATTGATTAAATTAGGGGATATGGTGATGCACACCCAAAAATAAGGATTTAAAGTAAAAATCTTTTCTATAGTTTCCTTATTGTTTTTTCCAGCCTTATTGTGGTGTAATTGACAATTAAAAATTGTATCTATTCTAAGGTGTACAATGTTATATTTGATATATATTAAATATCTGCTGCAAATGTCATCATTTCATTCCTTCTTATGGCTGAGTAGTATTCCGTGGTATATATATGCCACATTTTTCTTTATCTACACATTGACCGATGGGCATTTGGGCTTGTTCTATATTTTTGCAATGTGAATTGTGCTGCTATAAACATGCATGCTCAAGTATCTTTTTCATATACTGGCTTCTTTTCCTCTGGGTAAATACCCAGGAGTGGGATTGCTGGATCAAATGGTAGGCCGACTTTTAGTTCTTTACGAAAACTCCACACTGTTTTCGTAATGGTTGAAACACTGTACACATAGACTGTGGTTGAAACACTAATACATAGACTGTGAAATGATCACCACAATCAAGCTAATTAACATATGCATCACATCACGTTACCATTTGTTTGTTGGTGTGTGATAAGAACACTGAAGATCTACTCTCTCAGCAAATTTCAAGTATACAGTGCAGTATTATGAACTATAGTCACCATGCTGTACGTTAGATCTCCAGAGCTTATTCATCATGCATAACTGAAACTTTGTACCCTTTGACCAACAACTCTTCCTCATGCCCAACCACCAGCCCCTGGCAACTACCATTCTACTCTCTGCTTTTGTGAGTTTGACCTTTTTAGATTCCATATGTGTAAGTAAGATCATTTAATATTGGCCTTTTCTATGGTCATTTATCCCACTTAGCATAATACTCTCCCACCTCCTACAGGTTCATTCACGCTTTTGCAAAATCAGAGGTTTTTTTTTTTCTTTTTTAAGGCTGAAAAGTATTCCATTATATTTACATACCATGTTCTTTTATCCATTTACCCATTGGTGGACACTTAGTTTGTTTCCATACCTTGAGTATTGTGAATAATGATAAAACAAACATGAAAGTACAGCTGTTTCTTTGAGATCTAATTTCAAGTCTTTGGACATATACCCAGAAATGAGCATGCCAGATCATCTGGTAATTCTATTTTTAATTTTTTGAGGAATCTCCATATTATTCTCCATAATGGTTATACCAATTTATATTTCTACCAACAGGCTACAAGATTTCTCTTTTCCACCCGTACTCACCAACATCTGTCATCCCTTCTCTTTTTGATAATAGCCATTCTAACAGGCATGAGATGATCTCATTGTGGTTTTGACTCATATTTCTCTGATGATTAGTGATGTTGAGAACCTTTTTCATATACCTATTAGTTACCTGTATCTCTTCTTGGGAAAAATGTCTATCCAGATTCTTTGCCCATTTTTAATTGGGTTATTTGGTTTTTTGCTATTGAATGTTTGAATTCCGGATATTAACTCATTTTTTTATTTCAATAGGTTTTTGGGGAACAGGTGGTGTTTGGTTACATTAATAAGTTATTTGGTGGTGGTTTCTGAGATTTTAGTGAACCTATCACCCAAGCAGTGTACACTATACCCGATCTGAATTTTTTTTCATCCCTTACCCTCTTCCGACACTTTCCTCTGAATCTTCAAAGTCCACGGTATCACTCTTATGCCTTAGTCCTCATAGCTTAGCTCCCACTTACGAGTGAGAACATGCAATGTTTGCTTTTCCATTCCTGAGTTACCTCAATTAGAATGATGGTCTGCAATTCCATCCACATTGCGGCAAATGCCATTATTTTATTCCTTTTAATTACTGAGTAGTATTCCATGGCATATATATGCCACATTTTCTTTATCCACTCGTTGATTGGTGAGTTTTTGGGCTGGTTCCATATTTTTGCAATTGCGAATTGTGCTGCTGTAAACATACATATGCAAGTTATCTTTTTTGTATAATGACTTCTTTTTCTCTGGGTAGATACCCAGGAGTGGGATTGCTGGATCAAATGGTAGATCTACTTTTAGTTCTTTAAGGAGTCTACTTTTAGTTCTTTAAGGAATCAGCATTTTCCATAATGGTTGTACTAGTTTAGATTTCCACCAACAGTGTAAAAGTGTTCCCTTTTCACCACATCCAGGCAAAAATCTATTTTTTTAAATTTTTTGATTATGGCCATTCTTACAGGAGTAAGGTGGCATCACATTGTGGTTTTCATTTGCATTCCCCCGATAATTAGTGATGCTGAGCATTTTTTCATGTTTGCTGAACATTTGTATATCTTCTTTCGAGAATTATCTATTCATAGCCCACTTTTTTATGGGATTTTTTGTTTTTCTCTTGCTGATTTGTTTGAGTTCCTTGTAGATTCTGGATATTAGTCCTTGTCAGATGTATAGATTGTGAAGATTTTCTCCCTCTCTGAGGGTTGTCTGTTTACTCTGCTGATTATTTCTTTTGCTGTGCAGAAGCTTTTTAGTTTAATTAAGTTTCATCTATTTACCTTTGTTTTTGTTGCATTTGCTTTTGTGTTCTTGGTCATGAAGTCTTTGCCTAAGCCAATGTCTAGAAGGGTTTTTCTGATGTTATCTTCCAGACTTTTTATAGTTTCAGGTCTTAGATTTAAATCTTTGATCCATCTCGAGTTGATTTTTGTGTAAGGTGAGAAATGAGGATCCAGTTTCATTCTTCTACATTTGGCTTGCCAATTATTCCAGCACCATTTGTTGAGTGAAGTCCTTGCCCACTTTCTGTTCTTGTTTGCTTTGTCGAAGATCAGTTGACTGTAAGTGTTTGGCTTTATTTCTGGGTTCTCTATTCTGTTCTATCGGTCGATATTCCTGTTTTTATAACAGTATCATCCTGTTTTAATGGCTATGGCCTTATGGTATAGTTTGAAGCCAGGTAATGTAATGCCTCCAGATTTATCCTTTTTGCTTAGTCTTGCTTTGGCTATGTGGGTTCCTTTTTGGTTCCATATGAATTTTAGGATTGTTTTTTCTAGTTCCATGAAGAATGATGGTAGTATTTTTTATGGGAATTGCATTGAATTTGTAGATTGCTTTGGGCAGTATGGTCATTTTCACAATATTGATTCTACCCATCCATGAGCATGGATGTGGCAACCCACCTCCTTCAAAGAATCTGTGGATTCTCTCAGCTTTTCTAGTATGTTCCTGCAGTAGTTCTTAGAGCAAAAGTCACAATGTGGGTCTCCACATGCTGCTTTGCCCGTCCAAGTGGGAGCTGCAAGTTAGTCCTGCCTCCTATCTGCCACTTTCCCTTGGTTATTAAGTCTTTGTCAGATATATGGTTTACAAATATTTTCACCCAAGCCATAAGTTATCTCTTCCCTCTGTTGATTGTTTCATGGTTAGGCAGAAGCTTTTTAGTTTCATGAATTGCCCTTGTCTAACTGAGCTTTTGTTGCCCATGTGTTTGGTGTCAACTAAAAAATCATTGCTTACACCAAATTGAAAATGCTTTTCCCCTATGTTTGTGTCCAGGAGGTTTACACTTTCAGATCATACATTTAGGTCTTTAATCACATTTGAGTTGATTTTTGATAGGAGGCAGTACTAACTTGCAGCTCCCACTCGGACAGGCAAAGCAGCATGGGGAGAGCCACACTGTGACTTTTGTATATGGGTCCAATTTAATTCTTCTGTGTGTGGATATCCAATTTTCTCAATATAATTTATTTAAGAGACATTCTTTCCCCACTGTGTGTTCTTGGCATCTTTTTAAAAATCAATTGACCATAAATGATAAATTTAATTATGGGGTCTCTGTTCTGCTTCATTGGACTGTAAGTTAGATTTTATGCCAGTATCATGCTATTTTGATTACTATAGGATTGTAGCATTTTTTGAAGTAGGGAGTGTGATGCCTCCAGTTTTGTTCCTTTTGATCAAGATTTCTTTCATTCTTTGGGGTCTTCTGTGGTTCCTTACAAATTTTAGGATTTTTTTCTATCTCTTTGAAAAATGTCATTATAACTTTGATAGGGATTCCATGGAATCTGCAGATTGCTTTCAGTAGTATGAACATTATAAGAATATTTATTCTTGGGTACTTTCCATTTCTTTCTCTTGTATAATTGCATAATTGTTCTGACTAGGATTTCCAAGACCATATTGACTAGAAGTGGCAAGAGTGGACATCCTTGCTTTGTTCCTGATTTACAAGAAATGATTTCACCTTTTCACCATTAAGCATGATGTTAGCAGGAGATCCAAGATGGCCAAATAGGAGCAGCTCTGGTCTGTAGCTCCCAGCATGATTGACACAGAAGACAGGTGATTTCTGCATTTCCAACGGAGGTACCTGGTTCATCTCATTGGGACTGGTTGGACAGTGGGTGCAGCCCACACAGGGCGAGCCAAAGCAGGGCGGGGCGTCGCCTCACCCAGGAAGCGCAAGGGGTCGGGGGATTTCCCTTTACTAGCCAAGAGAAGCGATGACAGCCTGTACCTGGAAATTCAGGACACTCCCACCAAAATACTATGCTTTTCCCAAGGACTTATCAACCAGCAGACAAACAGATTCTCTCCTGGGCCTGGCTCTGCAGGTCCCATGCCCACGGGGCCTTGCTTACTGCTAGTGCAGCAGCCTGAGATTGAACGGCGAAGGGACAGCCAGGCTGGGGGAGGGGTGTCCGCCATTGCTGAGGCTTGAGTATATAAACAAAGTGGCTGGGAAGCTCAAACTGGGCAGAGCCCATCGCAGCTCAGCAAGGCCTATGGGCCTCTATAGATTCCGCCTCTGTGAGCAGGGCATAGCTGAACAAAAGGCAGCAGACAACTTCTGCAGACTCAAGTGTCCCTGTCTGACAGCTCTGAAGAGAGCAGTGGTTCTCCTAGCATGGTGTTTGAGATCTGAGAACAGACAGACTGCCTCCTCAAGTGTGTCCCTGACCCCTGTGTAGCCTAACTAGGAGACGCCTCCCAGTAGGGGCCAACAGACACCTCATATAGCCAGCTGCTCCTCTGGGATGAAGCTTCCAGAGGAAGGATCAGACAGCAATATTTTCTATTTTGCAATATTTGCTGTTCTGCAGCCTCTGCTGGTGATACCCAGGAAAACAGGGTCTGGAGTGGACCTCCAGAAAACTCCAACAGACCTGCAGCTGAGGGACCTGACTGTTAGAAGGAAAACTAACAAGCAGAAAGGAATAGGATCAATGTCAACAAAAGGGACATCTACACCAAAACCCCATCTGTAGGTCACCAACATCAAAGACCAAAGGTAGATAAAACCACAAAGATGGGGAGAAACCAGAGCAGAAAAGCTGAAAATTCTAAAAACCAGAGCACTTCTTCTCCTCCAAAGGATCACAGCTCCTTGCCAGCAATGGAACAAAGCTGGAAGGAGAATGACTCTGACAAGTTGACAGAAGTAGGCTTCAGAAGGTCGGTAATAACAAACTTCTCTGAGCTAAAGGAGGATGTTTGAACCCATCACAAGGAAGCTAAAAACCTTGAAAAAAGGTTAGATGAATAGCTAACTAGAATAAACAGTGTAGGGAAGACCTTAAATGACCTGACGGAGTTGAAAACCATGGCACGAGAACTTCGTGACGCATGCACAAGCTTCAATAGCCGATGCAATCAAGTGGAAGAAAAGGTATCAGTGATTGAACATCAAATTAATGAAATAAAGCAAGAAGATAAAGTTAGAGAAAAAAGAGTAAAAAGAAATGAACAAAGCCTCCAAGAAATATGGGACTGTGTGAAAAGACCAAATCTATGTTTGATTGGTGTACCTGAAAGTGATGGGGAGAATGGAACCAAGTTGGAAAACACTCTTCAGGATATTATCCAGGAGAACTTCCCCAACCTAGCAAGGCAGGCCAACATTCAAATTCAGGAAATACAGAGAACACCACAAAGATACTCCTCGAGAAGAGAAATCCCAAGACACATAACTGTCAGATTCACCAAGGTTGAAATCAAGGAAAAAATGTTAAGGGCAGCCAGAGAGAAAGGTTGGGTTACCCACAAAGGGAAGCCCATCAGACTAACAGCGGATCTCTTGGCAGAAACACTACAAGGCAGAAGAGAGTGGAGACCACTATTCAACATTCTTAAAGAAAAGAATTTTCAACCCAGAATTTCATATCTAGCCAAACTAGCTTCATAAGTGAAGGAGAAATAAAATCCTTTACAGACAAGCAAATGCTGAGTGATTTTGTCACCACCAGGCCTGCCTTACAAGAACTCGTGAAGGAAGCACTAAACATGGAAAGAAACAACTGGTATCAGCCTCTGCAAAAACATGCCAAATTGTAAAGACCATCCATGCTATGAAGAAACTGCATCAATTAATGGGCAAAATAACCAGTGAACATCATAACGACAGGATCAAATTCACACATAACAATATTAACCTTAAATGTAAATCGGCTAAATGCTCCAATTAAAAACACAGACTGGCAAATTGGATAAAGAGTCAAGGCCCATCAGAGTGCTGTATTCAGGAGACCCATCTCACGTGCAGAGACACACATAGGCCCAAAATAAAGGGATGGAAGATCTACCAAGCAAATGGAAAAGCAAAAAAAAAAAAAAAAAAAAAAAAAAGCAGGGATTGCAGTTCTAGTCTCTGATAAAACAGACTTTAAACCAACAAAGATCAAAAGAGACAAAGAAGGCCATTACATAATGGTAAAGGGATCAATTCAACAAGAAGAGCTAACTATCCTAAATACATATGCACCCAATACAGGAGCACCCAGATTCATAAAGCAAGTCCTTAGAGACCTACAAAGAGATTTAGACTCTCAAATAATCATAGCGGGAGACTTTAACACCCTGCTGTCAATATTAGACAGATCGATGAGACAGAAGGTTAATAAGGATATCCAGGACTTGAACTCAGCTCTGCACCAAGCAGACCTAATAGACATCTATAGAACTCTCCACCCCAAATCATCAGAATATACATTCTTCTCAGCACCACATTGCACCTATTCTAAAATTGGCCACATAATTGGAAGTGAAGCACTCCTCAGCAAATGTAAAAGAACAGAAATCACAACAAACCGTCTCTCAGACCACAGTGCAATCATATTAGAACTCAGGACTAAGAAACTCACTCAAAACCGCACAACTACATGGAAACTGAACAACCTGCTCCTGAATGACTACTGGGTGAATAATGAAATGAAGGCAGGAATAAAGATTTTCTTTGAAACCAATGAAAACAAAGACACAACATACCAGAATCTCTGGGACACATTTAAAGCAGTGTGTAGAGGGAAACTTATATACTAAATGCCCACAAGAGAAAGTAGGAAAGGTCTAAAATCAACACCCTAACATCACAATTAAAAGAACTAGAGAAGCAAGAGCAAACAAATTCAAAAGCTAGCAGAAGGCAAGAAATAACCAAGATCAGGGAAGAACTGAAAGAGATAGAGACACAAAAAAAACCCTTCAAAAAATCAATTAATCCAGAAGCTGGTTTTTTGAAAAGATTAACAAAATTGATAGACCGCTAGCAAGACTAATAAAGAAGAAAAGAGAGAAGAATCAAATAGACGCAATAAAAAATGATAAAGAGGATATCACCACCGATCCTACAGAAATGCAAACTACCATCAGAGAATACTACAAACACCTCGACGCAAATAGACTAGAAAATCTAGAGGAAATGGATAAAGTCCTAGACACATACATCCTCCCAAGACTAAACCAGGAAGAAGCTGAATTTCTAAATAGACCAATAACAGGCTCTGAAATTGAGGCAATAATTAATAGCCCACCAACCAAAAAAAATCCAGAACCAGACGGATTCACAACTGAATTCTACCAGAGATACAAAGAGGAGCTGGTACCATTCCTTCTGAAACTATTCCAATCAATAGAAAAAGAGGGAATCCTCCCTAACTCATAAGGCCAGAATCATCCTGGTATCAAAGCCTGGCTGAGACACAACAACAAAAAAAAGAATTTTAGAACAATGTCCCTGATGAACATCAATGCAAAAATCCTCAATAAAATACTGGCACACTGAATCCAGCAGCACTTCATCAAAAAGCTTACCCACCATGATCAAGTCAGCTTCATCCCTGGGATGCAAGGCTGGTTCAACATTAGCAAATCAATAAACGTAATCCATCACATAAACAAAACCAACGACAAAAACCACACGATTATCTCAATAGATGCAAAAAAAGGCATTCAACAAAATTCAACAGCGCTTCATGCTAAAAACTGTCAATAAACTAGGTATTGATGGAACGTATCTCAAAATAATAAGAGCTATTTATGACAAACCCACAGCCAATATCATACTGAATGGGCAAAAACTGGAAGCATTCCCTTTGAAAACCAGCACAAGACAGGGATGCCCTCTCTCACCACTCCTATCCAACATAGTGTTGGAGTTTTTGGCCAGGACAATCAGGCAAGAGAAAGAAATAAAGGATATTCAATTGGGAAAAGAGGAGGTCAAATTGTCTCTGTTTGCAGATGACATGACTGTATATTTAGAAAACCCCATCGTCTCAGCCCAAAATCTCCTTAAGCTGATAAGCAACTTCAGCAAAGTCTCAGGATGCAAAATCAATGTGCAAAAATCACAGGCATTCCTATACACAAATAACAGACAAACAGTGACCTGAATCATGAGTGAACTCCCATTCACAATTGCTACAAAAGAGAATAAAATACCTAGGAATCCAACTTACAAGGCATGTGAAGGACCTCTTTTAGGAGAACTACAAACCACTGCTCAAGGAAATAAAAGAGGACACAAACAAATGGAAGAACATTCCATGCTCATGGACAGGAATAATCAATATCATGAAAATCGCCATACTGCCCAAGGTGATTTACAGATTCAATGCCATCCCCATCAAGCTACCAATCACTTTCCTCACAGAACTGGAAAAAAAAAACTACTTTAAAGTTCATATGGAACCAAAAAAAGAGCCTGCATTGCCAAGACAATCCTAAGTAAAAAGAACAAAACTGGAGGCATCATGCTACCTGACTTCAAACTACACTACAAGGCTAGTGTAGTGTAGTTTGGTTACTACAAGTAACCAAAACAGCATGGTATTGGTACAAAAACAGATATATAGACCAATGGAACAGAACAGAGGGCTCAGAAATAACATCACACATCTACAACCATCTGATCTTTGACAAACCTGACAGAAACAAGAAATGGGGAAAGGATTCCCTATTTCATAAATGGTGCTGGAAAAACTGGCTAGCCATATGTAGAAAGCTGAAACTGGATCCCTTCTTTACTTTATACAAAAATTAATTCAAGATGGATTAAATACTTAAATGTTAGACCTAAACCATAAAAACCCTAGAAGAAAACCTAGGCAATACCATTCAGGACATAGGCATGGGCAAGGACTTCATGACTAAAACACCAAAAGCAATGGCAACAAAAGCTAAAATAGACAAATGGGATCTAATTAAACTAAAGAGCTTCTGCATGGCAAACAAAACTACCATCAGAGTGAACAGGCAACCTACAGAATGGCAGAAAAGTTTTGCAATCTACCCATCTGACAAAGGGCTAATATCCAGAATCTACAAAGAACTCAAACAAATTTACAAGAAAAAAAACCAAACAACCCCATCAAAAAATGGGCTAAGTATATGAACAGACACTTCTCAAAAGAAGACATTTAGGCAGCCAACAGACACATGAAAAAATGCTCATCATCACTGGTCATCAGGGAAATGCAAATCAAAACCATCTCATGCCAGTTAGAATGGTGATCATTGAATAGTCAGGAAACAGATACTGGAGAGGATGTGGAGAAATAGTAACACTTTTACACTGTTGGTGGGAGTGTAAATTAGTTCAACCATTGTGGAAGACACTGTGGCAATTCCTCAAGGATCTAGAACTAGAAATACCATTTGACCCATCCATCCCATTACTGGGTATATACCCAAAGGAGTATAAATCATGCTACTATAAAGACACAGGCATACGTATGTTTATTGTGGCACTATTCACAATAGCAAAGACTTGGAACCAACCCAAATGTCCATCAATGATAGATTGGATTAAGAAAATGTGGCACATATACACCATGGAGTACTATGCAGCCATAAAAAAGGATGAGTTCACGTCCTTTGGAGGGACATGAATGAAGCTGGAAACTGTCATTCCCAGCAAACTATCACAAGGACAGAAAACCAAACACCGCATGTTCTCATTCATAGGTGGGAATTGAACAATGAGAACACTAGGACACAGGGCAGGGGACATAACACACTGGGGCCTGTCGGGGGTTGGGGGCTGGGGGAGGGATAGCATTAGGAGAAATAACTAATGTAAATGACGAGTTGATGGGTGCAGCAAGCCAACATGGCACATGTATACCTACGTATCAAACCAGCACTATGTGCACATGTACCCTACAACTTAAAGTATAATAATAATAAAAAAAACAGGAGGCATAGTTAGCTAGATAAATCACATCTTTTTAATAAATATGTTGGCTTGTGTTAAAAAACAAAAGGATGATGTTAGCTGTGGCCTTGTTATATATGACCTTCATTATGTTGAGGTATAATTTTTTCTATGCCTAATTTATTGAGAGTTTTATCATAAAAGTGTATTGGATTTTGTCCAATACTTTTTCTTCATCTATTGAGATGATCATATGATTTTTGCCCTTCATTTTGTTAATGTGATGTATCACATTTATGAATTTGCATATGCTGAATTATCCTTTCCTCTCAGGGATAAATCCTACTAGATGGTGAATGATCCTTGTAATTGTGCTGTTTGAATTCACTTTGCTAGTATTTTGTTAAGAATTTTGTATCTATGTTTATTAGAGATATTGGTCTATAATTTTATTTTCTTGTAGTGTCCTTGTTTGGCTTTGGTATCAGGGTAATGCTGGCTTTATAAAATGAGTTTATAAGTGTTCCCTCTTCTTCAATTTTCTGGAAAAGTTTGAGAATGGCTGATATTCGTTCTTCTTTAAGTATTTGGTAGAATTCAGCAATGAAGCCATCAGGTCCAGGGCATTTCTTTAATTGGAGACTTTATTACTATTTCAATCTCTTTACTCATTTTAAGTATGCTCAGATTTTCTCTTTCTTCATGAATCAGTTTTGGTAGGTTGTGTATGTCTAGAATTTATTAGTTTCTTCCACATGTTCTAACACTTCCCTAACCCAGTGTGCCGGGTCCCATTCTTTCCCAATCACTGCCCTCACATTTAATGTAGACACTCTATGAGGCTGGGAGTTCAACCTGCATTGTAACTCAGCTAGCAGCAGGATAAGATTCTGCATTTGATTTTAGCAACCTTAACCCTGTAGTTGGGAAGGGTTATGGGGATTCATTGTATTATTTTTTATACCTTTTTATACATGTCTTAAGCATTTAAAATTTCTTTTTAAGAAAGAAAAAAAGGAAGAAGTAGGGTTGAAAAAGTAGATTAAATTTCAAGCAAATGTTCAATTCTTGATATGCAGTAGAGACTAATATTATGCAGCGTAAACTAAAAATAAAATTCTAAGCTCCCAACCCACTGAATGGACTCCCTCTTGGCCAAGGAGACCCCAGAAAAATCTTAAAAACTGAACTTTTGGCCATGACAGGAAGGAAGGTTGGATGCACCTCATTATACCTCCACCCTTTTGGAGTTTAGGTACAATAACTGATCAGCATTAATGTTAAAATAGAGATCTTAAGGCTGACAAAACAGACTCTGTGGCAATAACATGTCAACTCTTACACAAGATCTACAGCCACACAAGGCAAGGATTAAGTCACACCTGCAGGCCATCAATCTTACTACACAGCATCCTTATCTTAAGACATTCCTTTCTGCTGAGTTCAAGTTTTAGAAACAGCCTTACTCCTTTAACCAACTGCAAAAATTAAAGACTCTCCGAATCCACCAATAACCTGTAAGCCTCCCTCAACCCCCACCCCCACACCTTCACCCCTGCTTCCAGATATTCCACCGTTTTGGGTAGAAACCTTCCGTGTATTGATTTATGTCTTTGCCTGTAAGTCCTGTCTCCCTGAAATGTATAAAACCAAGCTGTAACCCTACAACCTTTTTCAGGACCTCTTGAGACTGTGTTTTCCCAGGCCCTGGTCACTCATATTTACTCAGAATAAACCTCTTTGAAACATTTAGAGTTTGTTTTTTCTATTAACAACAGATTTAGGGAATTTTAAAAAGTATTATGGGATATGCACTTCCCTCCAAGATGTAGAAAGCTGAAAGGTAATAGCTCCCAACCTGATAATGAGAAAAAGCTAAACTACAAAATCACAACTTCCTTGAAACCAGCAGTGTGATCTGAGATCACAGGGAAAACAAACAGTCAGAAATCCAACGACAGACAGGTCGTCCAAAGAGAAACAGAAACTGTGGGCCAGCTCAGCTGTGGCAGAGCATGAGAGGAAGACAGAGCCACCATAAAACCAGTTAGAAAATACAATTACTTAAAAAAAAAAAAAAGCAACCAATGCAAAGGAAGGCAGAAAAACATGGAAAAGAAATAATTAATAAACATATAAAACAAATAGAAAACAGCTAATTAGAGAGCACATTCAAATAAAGCCAAGTCAATAATTACTTTAAAAAGTAATGGTCTTAACACCACAATTAAAAGACAAAAATTATAAGAATGGATTAAAATCTTTTAATAAAGGAAAATCTGGCTGAATGCTGCCTACAAGAAATCCCCTTTACATATAAAAACTTAGCTAGATCATTAACAGCATATTTTATGTTACTGTATTTTACCACAATTAAAAAAGTTAAATGGAAAATATGTACCATACAAAGATTAGTCAACAGAAAGATGGAGTAGTACTATTAATATTACAAAGTAGATTTCAAAACAAGGGATATTATAAGAGATAAAAATGAATATTATATAATGACGAAGTCAACACGCTAATATAGAACAATGTGTACATGCCCAACAAAAGAGCATCAAAATGAATAAAGCAAGGAGAAATAGTTAAATGCACAATTATTATTAGAAACTTTACCACTCCTTTCTCAATAACAAGTTGACAGAACAAAGAAGCGAAAAAAAATCAGTAAGAGTATAGAGAACTGAAGAACCCTGTAGCCAATTCAATTACAATAATTAAAGCTATTTGTACAACACTCCACCCAACAAAACAGAAGTCATACTGTGTTCAGTGGTACAGGGAAGATTCACCAAGACAGACCATATACTATGCCATAAAACAAGCCTCCACAAATTTAAAAGAGTTGAAATTACTCAAAGTCTATTTGCTGACCAAAAGAGAATTCAGAATTAAATTAATCAATGAAAAGGTGTATATGACATTCCAAAATATTAGGAAATTAGAAATAAACAAACTCTTTAAATAATCTATTGGTCCAAGAGGAAGTCAATTGGGAAATTAGAAAATATTTTAAATTGAGTGAAAATAAAAACACAACATAGTAAATACAACAAAATCAGTTAGACACAACTAAGGTAAAGTTTTAAAAGAAAAGTGGGCTGGGCGCAGTGGCTCACGCCCTGTAATCCCAGCACTTTGGGAGGTCGAGGCGGGCGGATCACAAGGTCAGGAGATCGAGACCATCCTGGCTAACATGGTGAAACCCTGTCTCTACTAAAAATACAAAAAATTAGCCGGGCGTGGTGGTGGGTGCCTGTAGTCCCTGCTACTCGGGAGGCTGAGGCAGGAGAATGGCTTGAACCCGGGAGGTGGAGCTGGCAGTGAGCCGAGATCACGCCACTGCACTCCAGCCTGGGTGACAGAGCGAGACTCTGTCTCAAAAAAAAAAAAAATAAAATAAAAAAATAAAAGTGTACCATTGAAAGCTCATATTAGAAAAGTCTCATATCAATGTTCTAAACTTTCATCTTAAGAATTTAGTAAAAGAAGAACAAATGAATCCTAAAAGAAGGAAATAGGAAAGATGAGAAATCAATAGAGAAAAGTCACAAAGAAAATTAACAAAACTATTTCTAGTTTTGGTGGCCTGACAGAGGAAAAAAAACAATGCCCTTTTCTGGATACATATTATCTACTTTGATCTTTTAAACATAATGGCCAGGAACAGTGGCTCACACCTGTAATCCCAGCACCTTGGGAGCCAAGGTAGGTGGATTGCTTGAGCACAGGAATCTGAGACCTACCTGGGCAACACAGAGAAACCTTGACTCTACAAAAATAAAACAATTAGCTGGGCATGGTGGTGCACATCTGTAGTCCCAGCTACTCAGGAGGCTGAGGTGAGAGGATTACTTGAACCCTGGAGGTTGAGGCTACAGAGAGCCAAGATCATGCCACTGTACTCCAGTCTGGGCAACAGAGCAAAATCCTGTCTCAGAAAAAAAAAAAAAAAAGGTTAAACATAAAATTAAAAAGTATGAGACATTCGAATAAAGAGAAAATAACACCAAATTAAGAGAAAATCAGCCAATAGGTGCATTGTCGCAGATGTTGGAATTTGTAGACAAGAGCTTCAAACTAACTCTGATGTTGAATGATCTAATGAAGAAGATGGAAAACATTTATAAAAAGAGGTAAAATTTTCTCAAAGACATACAATATTAAAATAAATCTAACAAAATACTGGAAACAAATACACAGTATTGAAAATTCAATAGCCTTATCAAAAGAAAAAAGAATGAATAAACTGAAAGACAAAGTAGAAATTATTCAAACTGAAACACAAAGAAAAATAATAATTTATAAATGTGTCTAAGATCTGTGAGACAATGTCAAATTGTCTAATACACAGGTAACTGGAGTTCCAGAAGATAATGAGAAACAATAGGGCAGAGAGCTATTGGAAGAGATTATTTGCTAAAAGTTGTTGTAGAATTTGAGGGCTAAACAAGCAAATAGTAGATAGCAAACAGTGTGAGTGGAAAAAATTATGAGATAACTTTAATTAAATGTATCTTTCAAAAAAAGAAACAACTGTAATACCCTTCCTGGATCAACAGTGAACAATATTGGCATAACATAATATTATAAAAATTCATAGTTTATTCAATTAAAAATTGTGGTATCTCTGTACAGCAGATATGAGAGAAAGAAAGTGAACAAATAAGTTAAAAGTCCTCTTTTAGCACAATAATAGATAATGTGTAAATTTGATAAGAAAGAACAGCATAAGCATTTATTTAGAAATATGAAGCTAGCACTAGAAGAAACAACCAACGTGTTTAAAATAATTTCCAATAAACCTGCACATCCTGCACATCCTGCGCACGTATCCCGGAACTTAAAATTAAATTACATTTAAAAAAATAATAATTTCCAATGAGAAAAAAGGACTGAGAAGTAGAGAGAAGAAACAGAAACCTTTTTTTTCTGTACAAAAATGTTAGCATTTATTCACTTTTAACTATGTGTTTGTATTAGTTTAAAAAATAAAAATTAATTTTCAAACATAGAAAGAAAACATGTTGAGAGTGAAAAATGAGACTAGAGGAAAGACCAACTTAACTCACAAACAGGAGAGATGAAGTGAAGATACTTCTAAAAATAGTCAGTACACAGTTTTAAAGCATAAGCTATATGAGAGGGTCAAGAGTTTGTTTTCAGGGTAGAAACTGGGAAGAGACATTTAGACATTTGGGTAATAGCTATGGTTTAAATGTGTCTCACAGATTTCATATGTTGAGATTTAATCCCCAAACCCAGTTGATGGTATTTGGAAATGAGGCCTTTGGGAGGTTATTAGGATTAGATAAAGTCATCAGGATTGGGTCCTCATGATGAGACTGGTGGCTTTATAAGAAGAGGAAGAAAGACTTGAGCTGACACACTCTTGCCCTCTTACTATGTGATGGCTTCCTCCATGTTATGACACAGCAGAAAGGCCCTTACCAGATGCCAATCCCATGCTCTTGGACTTCCTAGTCTTCAGAACCATGAACTAAAGAAGTTTCTATTTTGTTATAAATTTTCCAGTCTATGCTATTCTTTTATAGCAATAGAAAACAGACTACGACAGTGGTTGGCCTCTACCCTTGAGATAAGCAGCAGGGACATTGGCTTTTGGCTAAAACAGTGAGTGTGATGACTGTTGTTGAAGAATCGAGGCAATATCTTTCAAGTACTTAGTGATGCCCAGGAAGAATAAGAATCCCGACCATCAAAACACAAGCTATTTATTCATATAGTGTATTCCTCCATCATGGGAACTGAATTCTATAGCAATACCCAAATTGTAAGTATTAACAAGTAGGCAAAAGAAGCATCAGTCTGCAGACAATGACCCATCTGAAGAAACTTAAAGCTGAGTGCCAATTCTCCCAAAAAGAAGTAGATAGAGGAGAGAAAGAAGAGACTTTAACCATTATGTTAACATTGGTGATCACGATAAGGGGATTAGGATTGATTATATTTCTCCATGTTTATTTTCAGATTTATCATCATGTATTTATTAGCATGTCTGCTAATCAATGTTTTGTAAAATGTTTGCATTTCTCAGAAGAGTCACTGTTGTTTCAAGTGAGTAATTGCCGATCTGGTCTAGGGCAAGATGCATCCTAAATCAGACATGATCTTTGCCTATAACTCAAGAAAGAGTTGTGAGACTGTCCCTAAAATTTTATATATTATTCAAACATTGTTTAATTAGGAGGTTGATGAGCCTTCTGATAGAAGTTTTATCTATCATCTATCTATCTATCTATCTATCTATCTATCTATCTATCTATTTACCTACCTACCTATGCAGTCCATCTCACGAAGCCAGAAGAAAAATTATACTTAAGGATAGTTGTGTATTTAAACTAAAGAGACATAGAAGTCAAATGTCTGTAGGAAGAAGATACCAGAGAAAAAGTCCTTAAAACATCTGGCATGGAAAAGGAATTCAATGAATGAATGAAAGAATAAATGAAGAAACAAACAATAAGTGGATAAATACAAAAAATGAACTATGTCAAAGCAGCACATAAAATTTCAGGCTTCCCTGGAATTCTTAATGTAACTAAAAAATAAAGTTATTTTGTATATTGAAACTTATTAAGTTATAATAAGGCTGGCAGCACATTCACAGATAAAACAGCATGACATAAGCTGCAAAGTTCCTCAGAAGTCATATTATTTCCTGACCATTCATAATTTGTATAGCAGTACTATGTGTAATTACCTCTATAGACTCTAATCTTCTGGATTCTATTTCACTTTTGCTCTTTTTACCTTCTTCCCAAAGTACCTATTTCTATATTCACCGTCCTCTGGCTTTCCTGAGTCTATAAATGGCAATGTGATAAAATGAGGCTAGAAAATTTAAGTATTCAAAATGCAGTGCCTGGGTTTTTTAATTAAAGAGTTAGCACACAGCCAGTTGTTGTAGCTCACGCCTGTAGTCCCAGCAGTGTAGGAGGCCGAGGTGAAAGCACTGCTTGAGCCCAGGAGTTTGAGGCCAGCTTGGGCAACATAGTGAGAAGCCCCCCGACCCCGATCTCCACAAAAAAAATTTAAAAACTACCTGGGCATGGTGGTGCACACCTGTAGTCCCAGCTACTCAGGAAGCTGAGTTGGGAGGATTGCTCGAGCCTGGGAGGTCAAGGCTGCAGTGAGCCATAATCACACCACTGCACTCCAGTTTAGGTGACAGAGCAAGACCCTGTCTCAAGAAACAAAACATGAAGAGTTAGAACACAAAATATGAGCAAGATAAATAAAACAATAGCAGTATCAGAAACAAAATTACATAAGCCCCATTGAGAGAAATTATCCTCTAGAAAAAAACCACAAATATTCATAAATTCAAATTTTTTCATGCAAGTACAAGTTCACAGACTCCTTTAATATGTATGAGAGATCTATAAACACAAATTAAGAACTTTAATTCTAGACAGAAATTTATTTCTCCATAAATCTATAGAGATAAAGGCCTACTATAACTCCAATTACAAACCCATCAGCAGTCTATCCTAGACAAGTGTTTCAGAAGCAAAGCATTCCTATTTATGAGAATACATTAAACATTGTCTGTCTTTCAAGCACTAATGCTTAGAAAGTGGATGACCTTTATTCAGCCCCAGTCATCGGTAACTCAGATACTTAGCACTTACCATGTGTCAGGAAACCTGCCAAAGGCCTCACATGCTTCATCTTATTTCACTTTTAGGATAATTCTATGGCGTTCATATTATCCCCATTTGATGGATGAAACAACTGAGGAGTTGAGACGTTAACTGTCCCAAAGTCACTCAGGTGTTAAGTGGAGTCAAACCAAGAACTATCTGACTTCAAAACCCATGCTCTTAATTACTATACAATACTGTTTCCCTTCGTTGTAAAAATCGCAGTAAAGGTAATTTTGGGACTATCCCTCATAGACAAAGACATAAAATCAAAGATCTGAAGCAGAAGGGGCTTTACAGAGTATCTTACTTAAACATTTTCATTTTACAGATGAGAAAACTGAGGCCCATGTGAAGCAGAATTTTTTAAAATCTAGGTAGTAAGAGAGTCAGCACTGGAACCTGTCATTCTGTCTGAGAATTTAATATCATTTCCCCTATGGTGTCTAGCTTTCCATTCAGCCAACAGTCATTAAACACATATTCAATGTTGGAAGAGAGTATCTATAAATATAACATAGAGAATAACAGATTATAATACACTTCATATAAGACACCAAGATTATTTGTGGAGGTGAGAGAGGAAAGATTAGGAAAATACTAGTGAAAATGTTTGTTAAAGTCAAATGTATTCATTATAAAATAACATCCTTGGCTTGCCAATGGATGAAAAAGGTTTGCGCTGAACCCCAGACTAACCTTCTCACATTTTATCTCCATTATATGGGGCTCCCTAAAAGTAAAGTGTCTTGTGGTCATAAATAGTTAAAAATGAGGAATTGGTCTGGGTTTTGGCAGCGAGGATATCTAAAATAGAAAGTATGGAGAAGACAAAGTGTTTAAATGGCAATTATTACTTATAGGCAGTCACTTGATGCCATCCTATCTAATTTACCACTATTCTAATTCAGTATTTCTTAGGTATTTTCTTATCAGAATTCCTCTAAACTGCTCCTCAACTTAGACTACTTCTGGGTACCCCATACACATACACACACACAATTGAAATGTGGCACTACCTTCACCCCATTGGTGAGGGAGGTTGTTCTACCCCATGATTCTAGAGATGGCCAAATACATGATACTCAATGACGGACAGATAAAGTTGAGAGTAGTTTATTAGTTACATATATTCACAGCTGAGAGAGGAGGACACTGCATGCCAAGCAGGGTGACACGGCGGTGGCACTCGGGGCAGAGTGAACAGCTGCTGGGCTGGCAGGAGATGGAAGCCTGTTAGGTTGAATACTGAGTGGGGTGCAGTTGGCCTGACTGATAGGAAAAATGGCCAAGTAGGGGAGGCTTTCCTGCTGCCGGGTGGAGGCATATCTAGTGAAAGCAGGGGAACTCACTTAGGCCCTGTGGAGCTTAGAGATGTCAATGTAGCACCTAAAATCTTAAGGCTTACAATGTCCCCTTAATGTCATTGTACAATGTCGCTTGAAGTGACATTAGGGGGATGTATATTTCCCATAGGCTCTCATTTTTGTGTCAGCTTCCACTTGTGGAAGTGCTCATTCCGCAACAAAAATCTGTGTGTGTGTCTTTCTCTGCTCATTCTTATTAGGTGCTTGTGATGTGATAGTCTTCTAAGAGTACTTTAACTTATTCAAAGACTGAAAACAAGATCCAAAATAATCAAACTGTCTCCAAGCAACTGAACTACACCCCAGAAAAAAGCTTCAGAATGTTTTTAGGAGTACAAAAATATCCTGCACCCAAGAAGGCAAATTTCACAGCATTTCGTATCCAATCAAAAAATTAACAGATATATAAAGAAGCAGGAAAACAAACTCACAAGTCAATCAACTGAAATTGATCCGGAAATGGCAGAGACAATAGAATTATCAAAGACATTGAGACTGTTACTATGTCTACATTCCACTTGTTGTTAAGTAGAGATGAAAAGTACAATGTCTGAGATGAAAAATTACACAGGATAAAATTATCGACAGATTGGGCATTGTAGGAGAAAAATGTAATGAACTTGAACACATACCAATAAAAACAATACCTAAAGGAGAAAAGATAAAACAAAAAAAAAACCCCAGAATATCAGTGAAATGTGGTACAACTTCAAGCAAATCCCACTTAGAGTCACTGAAGTAAAATGAGAATGGAAAAAATCTGAAAAAATAGTGACCAAAAATTTTCCAAATTTGATAAAAATTATAATCTCAAAGGTTCAAGAAGCTCAACAAACCCCCAAGCAAAAGAGATACGGATAAAACTACACCAAACCACATGATAATCAAATTTCTTAAAACCATTGATAAAGAGAAGATCTTAAAGCAGAAAAAAACCCAAAATGGATATATTACATACTAAGAAACAAAGATAGATTAACAGCAGATTTCCTGTGAGAAGCAGTGCAAACCAGAAGATAGTGAAGTAACATCTTTAAAATACTGAAAGAAAAATTTGTTTCACATGTATATATATATATGTAGTTTTCTAAAATATCGCTCTATCTATATGTATATGTGTGTGTGTGTATATATATAAATATATATATATATGCAGAAAGGTTGCTAGAAAATGGAGGAATTTATCAGCTGGAGATCTGGACTTCTATCTATATGTATATGTGTGTGTGTGTACATATATAAATATATATATATGCAGAAAGGTTGCTAGAAAATGGAGGAATTTATCAGCTGGAGATCTGGACCAAGCCATGAAATAAGTGCATAGAAACAGTTGTTTAATTAGAGGAATATAGTTCAAAATTGGTACCCTAGAATTTGACATTTCAGAGATTATTTATATGTAATGGCAAGATCTAATTTACAAAAATGGAGTTGATGACTTAAGAGGAAATAATCATTGGAAATAAGATTAAGATATTCAAATTTTTTAAAGATTTAAATGTAAGAACTCAAACTATAAAATTCCTCAAAGAAAACCTATGAAATGCCCTTCTTGACAACAGCCTTGACAAAGAATTTGTGATTAAGTCCTCAAAAGAAATAGCAACAAAACAAAAATTGACAAGTGGGACCTAATTAAACTAAAGAGCTTCTGCACAGCAAAAGAAACTATCAACAGAGTAAACAGACATCCTACAGAATGGGAGAAAATATTTGCAAACTATGCATCCAACAAAGATCTAATATGTACAATCAATAAGGAACCTAAACAAATTTACAAGCAAAAGACAAACAACCCATTAAAAAAATAATTAAAAGACATGAACCGGCACTTTGCAAAAGAAAACACACAAGTGACCAACAAACATGAAAAAATGCTCAACATTACTAACCATTAGATAAATGCAAATCAAAACCATAAGAAGATACCATCTCATATCAGTCAGAATGGCTATTACTAAAAAGGCAAGAAATAACAGAGGCTGGAGAGGTTGTTGAGAAAAGGGAATGATTATACACCTCTGGTGGGAGTATACATTAGTTCAACCATTGTGGAAAGCAGTTTGGAGATTTCCCAAAGAACTTAAAACAGAATTGCCATTTAATCCAGCAATCCCATTACGGGGTATATACCCAAAGGAATGTAAATCATTCTACCATAAAGACACATGAACAAGTATGTTCACTGCAGCACTATTCACAATAGCAAAGACATGGAATCAACCTAAATGCCCATTAACTGTAGACTGGATTAAAACATGTGGTACATATACCTAATAGAATACTATGCAACTTTAAAAAAGGATGAGACCATGTCGTTTTCAGCAACGTGAATGCAGCTGGAGGCCATTATCCTAAGTGAGTTAATACAGGAACAGAAAACCAAATATTGCCTATTCTCACTTACGAGTGGGAGCTAAACTTTGAGTATATATGGCCACAAAGAAGGGAGCAACAGACACAGAGGCCTACTTGAGATTGGAGGGTGGGAGGGGGGTGAGGATGGAAACACTACTTATTGTGTACTATTTATAATACCTGGGTGACAAAATGATCTGTACACCAAATCCCCATAACATACAATTTACCTACACAACAAGCCTACACATGTACCCATGAACCTAAAATAAAAGTTAAAATAATAAAAAATAACAGATGCCAGTAAGGCTGCAGAGAAAAGGAAATGCTTATATACTGTTGGTGAGATGTAAATTAGTTCAGCCATTGTGGAAAGCAGTTTGGAGATTTCTAAAAGAACTTAAAACGACCATATGACTCTCAAAGAACTTAAAACTACCATATGACCCAGCAATCTCATTACTGAATATATACCTAGAGGAATATAAAATTGTTCTATCAGAAAGACACATGCACACATATGTTCATTGCAGCACTATTCACAATAGCAAAAGACATAGAATCAACCTAGGTGCCCGTCAATGGTGGAATAAAGAAAATGTGGTACATATACACCATGGACTACTACATGGCCATGAGAAAGAATGAAATCATATCCTTTGCAGCAACATGGCTGTAGCCAGAGGCCATTATCCTAAGTGAATTAGCATGGGAACAGAAAACCAAATACCACATGTGTTCACTTATAAGTGGGAGCTAAACATTGGGTACATGTGGACATAAAGATAGGAATAATAGACACTGAGAACTACTAGGGGGGAAAGGAGGGAGGGGTGTGTGGGCTGGAAAACTACCTATTGGGTACTATGCCCATTACCCAAGTGACGGAATCATCCATACCCCAAACCTCAGCATCGTGCAACATACCCATGTAACAAACCTGTATATGTACCCTGAAATCTAAAATAAAAGTTGAGATTATTTTTGAAAAAAAGACATTCAAGTTTTAGGTTGAATATCAACAAAAGCAAATCAAAACAGCTGAGAAAAGCTGTTCACATGAACCACTGAAAGAGTCAATTAAAAAATGACTTCCATAATGGTCTTACTTGAAGGCTCTATAGCAGTTATTTGCTTATTTCTTGAAACTCAGGCAATAAATGGCGGAATCAAAGAAAATTTATAAGATGGTATACTAGAAAAATAAAAAAGATTGTATGCTATGAGCCTCGGAGGAGTTTTATCAGAAACCAGAGAAATAATTTCTTATTGAAAGCAGAAATTGGGAGCAAAATAACAAAAACAACAAATTATTATATTATCATAAAATTAATAATATAGTATAAATATACTATATACTTATATAACAAATTTATATATAAAAGTATAAACACATTGTACACTTATGTAATGTATGTCATATAGCATATCACATAATATATAATTGATAGAATATAAATATAAAACTACATAATATTTTTATATTGTTATAATGTCCCTGCAGCTATGTAACTCTATCGCTCTTGTACATGGAAAGAAGGATGTGCGTTCAACTCAGTGGAACCAGTGTCCTCAAGTGAAAGTCAGGTTACTGTTAAGGTTTAAAAAAAAAAAAGAGGGTTTTTTAGTTAAGTAAAAAATGTTTGAAAGAATTTTCATTAAAAAAAATCAAAGAATACAGTGGAAACTTATGGAAAGTTTGTAGCCATAAGAGATAGGTCAAGAGCATGGAAGAACAGAGTTGTACAAGGCTGACTTCTGTACAAGAGCCCATCTTTTTACAATTTTTCTATTTTTAATTTTCGTGGGTACATAGTAGGTGTATATATTTATGGGGTACATGAGGTGTTTTGATAATGGCACGATGTGATTATTACACAACGGCTCATCTTTTTCAACAGGGAAAGGACAGGGAGGAAAAACATTGTGGAATTTACTATGACCCTATTTTCAACTGGAACTTTTTAAAAAATTATGCTAACGTAGACAGAGAGAGGTAGTACATAGTATCTGAAACTCTAGAATATTTACTGTTGTAGAATATTTCTGATTATATCAATAAACTTAAGAAGGATGAAAAGTGTTCCATGCTTTTAGCTTCCTTATAGATTATTTTTAAGGTATTCTTTTCTCTTTAAATGGAAGAAGCAAAATGTCTGGGAAAATCCCCAAGGAATCCCTAACTGCTCTACTTGTAGACAGTCTAAAACTTTCTGATTAGGAAGTTCAGAACCAACATTCTTTTATAACAATATTAATTAACTTCTTTTGACCCATATCCCCAAGAGCTGTTCTCATCTAAATCTCTAAGGCAAATAAACCCATGAAAAAAACATAATTCATCCACTTACTTAACAAAAACTGACAGAAGAAAGGAAGGGAAGCTTTACTCTATTGAGAAAAGGAAAGAAGTAGTTAAAAAAAATTAAAGTCACCTTTAATCTGGTGAAACATTTATAACATTCAAGATCATTGAGTAAAAGCTTCAATGGAAGGATAGTCTAATAGTCATGAAGGTAAAATGAAACACCAAAAACTTTACTGAGTTCCCTTCACTGAGCCATCCCTTGGTAAGTATGCTTAAGAAGAAATCCATTTAGCCACATCTAGATGAGTTGCTTGTATGAAATTCTATATTCAAAAAACTCAGTTACTGAATAATTGAAATAATTGAAAATTAAGCAAAAAGACAAAATATAGTCACTCTGAATGGGGAAAATACCTGAGAATTAAGACTTAATAGTTTTTGATTGATTAATCGATTGATTTTAGAGACAAGGTCTCGCTCTGTTGCCCAAGCTGGAGTGCAACGCCATGGTCATAGCTCACTGCAACCTGGAACTGCTGGGCTCAAGCAATCCTGCCACCTCCATCTCCAGAGTAACTAGGACCACAGATGCTCACCACCATACCTGGCTAGTTTTTTCAAAATATTGGTAGAGATGGGGTCTTGCTATACTGCCCAGGCTGATATCAAACTCCTGGCCTCAAGCAATCCTCCTGCTTCAGCCTCCATAAATGGAAGTTGAGGAAGATCTATCTACTCTAAGTTTTTAAGGCCACTTACTTACCACAGGTATTACCTTCTTTATCTGCAAAAACAGACTCTAGAATTTGTGTTGTGCTGAATTCACTGGAATGTAGGGCAAGGAGGATATCTAGAACATAAAGGTGTTTGAAGGGCTGTCATGGTGAAAAGGTTAGTATTTGATCCATAAAATCAGTACGTGAACATGTATTTGGAAGTTACATAACAGAGTTTTCCACTCAAGATAAGAGTTTTTCATCCAGCCAGTGGTAAAGCAAGATAGTAATTTACTAATCACTGAAGTCATCCAAGCAATGGCTGGATGCATATGCGGTGAGAGTGCTAATGAGAAGGATTCATTATGGGGTTGGATGGTCAGTGGCCTAGTAAGGGTTATTTCATCTTTGAGAGATATTTCTATGAGTTAGAAATAGAATTAGCAAAAATAATAATAAATTCAAAGTACAAAATACAATGCTATGAATTAATTCATACATTTATATATGATAAAGTTTGAGCCTCTACCTATGTCTCACATACAAAACAGGAAAAGTTTACATTATATAATTGATGCAATGTAAGTATACTTTTTTGCATATGTTTATTTACTAATATGATATAACTTTTGTTAAATTTACTTTTCTGTGTATAGTCGCTCTAATCTTTCAATATTCTTAATGAATGGAGTCAGAAGCCAATCTGGAATGATTCAGGTTAAGTATGCATTAGAAATATTCCTCAGTTAAAAATTAATCTTTTCATGACTTATTGTTATTAATTCAGATAAGAAACAATTAGTGTTAATTGTTCATCTCCTTTCTTAAAAGAATCAATTTTTTAGCAAGAATCTATTAGGTATTGTCACATATATGATTTAATTTAAACCTCATGGCAGGTCATTTTGAACATTAGAATTATCTTTATTTCTCTGATAAAGAAGCTATGACTCAGAGGTGACGAATTTAATTCAATAAAAAAGAGCTGCAAGTGGTAAAAACCAGGATTGGAACCCAATTCTTCAAACTATCTCACATTAATCTAATTAATACTTGAGTCTTAAAATGTAAAATATACTTAAAGTAAAATAAAAAAATAAGAATAAAGGTAGTGCTTATCTCATAGGTTATAATGAAAATTAAAAGAGTAAACTGCTTTCGATCATGTCTGGCAACTACTAAAAACTCAATAAAGATCTATTTTTATTGAAAACCGAAAAAAATTGTAAAATATAATTTGCCTGCTGAAAAACCCCATGGAAATAATAATACAAGACACACAAAAAACAGGTAACAAAATGCCTTGTATAGAAAGTTCATATGTAATTTCCCATGCTATTATATTAGTATATGTATTCATGATTAGCCACTTTTATGCAGTAACTTAGCAAATAATTTAGGAGTTTATTTACTGGAGAATAAAAGAAGTTACAATCTTTGGGGTGGGTCAGGGAGTCAAAAAGTACTGATAGTAGGACCCTAAGACTTTAATGGACCTTTTAAATGTGCAGCCCAGCATTCTAAGATGAGAAAACTGAAGTTCAGAGCATAAAATAAGATTTATTTAAAAAAAAAAAGAGCACAGTATTTCTATGCCATTGAGGCATCAGCTACCCCAGCCCAGCTATGATATAGAACTATTCCCTCAGACTAAGAACCCATGAAAGAGATCTGTAAGTGATTTTACATTATCAACTGCTCTAGTAAAGTAAAATCTAATATTATAAGAATAAATCTTTCTTGGGTTTTTGTACTGAGTAACAAATAGTGAGGGCAAACACCCTATTGGAAAAGATTCTCGGGAATTAATAAGACAAGTGCACAAAAAATTTATGTGGAAGAATATTTATTTGATCATTATTTATACAAGCAAGAAATGTAAACCATCTAAATTTTCAGCATTAAGCAACTGGCTAAATATATCACAGTCCCACTGATAGAATCAAACACTATACAATTCTCAAAAATGATTGTGAAGACTTCTAGGAGTTGACATGGAAAGATGCTAAATTGTTTTAAGAAAAAGGAAGAAAGAAAGAAAAGAGAAAGAAAGGAAAAGGAAAAAAGCTAATTACAAAATAGTCTCCTAGTATGATTTATTTTAGATACACAAGTATGTACTTTGAACTTTAAAATAGCCTAAAACTATATACACCAAAAGGTCACTGTATCTCTAAGAAGTTCGATTACAGATTATAATTTTCTTTTCTGCACTTGCATTTTTTAATTCTTTGCACTAAAAATGTCTTTCTTGTATAATAAAAAGAAAAATAAAATAAGAGGGTAAATTTTTTATCTTGGAGGAAAGTGCAGGGGGAGTTTGGAAAAAGAAAAAGAGGTGGCCACGATCAGTAGCAAAGAGTGGAGGAGATGCTAACTTATCTATTAAGGATTTATTAAGGAGGTGCTAAGTGATATCTAGATAAATAAAGCACCAAGGTCAGAGTTAAAGCATGGGCTGGTTTTTACCTAAAATGGGGAGGTCTCTGCAAAATAATCATTTCTCACATTGTGGGACAAAGAACAAACTAGATGATCTTGAAGTACAGTTTCACAATGTCGGCTGACAAAGTAAATGAAGTGAGGTGAATTACCTCTATGTTGCCTTCCTGTATATAATTTGTGCCTCTCTGATGTTATCACACTATATACGGTGCTCTCAAATGATCAGCCAGATATATGATACATATTAGATACTGCACAGAACTTGTAGAAGGTAGGTTTTAGACACAAAAGCATAATCTAAGGGCGAGACACTCATTATTTCTTTTTGAGGTGTCATCTAAAATGATTAATAGGAACCGTCAGCTGTTGTTCCTTTTAATAATCTCTGGACAGTTTTCACAGATCTATACATGCTAGGGAAAGATGTTAAGAATTCGGAGACTCTGGATATCTACAAATGTAGAAAAAACTAAATCAACCTTTATTAAATGACAACCACCAAAGTGAAAGAAAGTTTGTTATAGAAAAGACTTTACGTTTCTAAAGGATTTGCCACTCAGGAACTGTAAACCAGAATAATAGAAGGGCATTCTGATTAAGTATACATCAGTACATTAGCACATTTTTAGCTGAGAAAATGAAGCCAAAAGAATAGAAAAGATTAGAAATTTCATCAATGAAAAGGAATAGAATTTTATAACTAGAAGGAAGTTGAGTTTTTTTTATCCAGCCTTATTCCGTCATTTTACAGGAAAAACAAACAAACAAACAAAAAAAAACCATGTACCTAAATAGTATCTTGACTTTCCCAGTGTGGCACAATAATTAACTTGCAGATAGAGGACTACATACCAGGTCTACATCTCCCAATATAAGCCACTCTCCGCAATACATTCTCAGCAGATATTTACAAAATTACCTAAGCTGATTTTCCTTTTCTTGTTTCTTCAGGGAAACCCTGCCCACCATATAGTAGTTGTCATGGGAAACTGGAGCACTGTGACTGAAATCACCCTAATTGCCTTCCCAGCTCTCCTGGAGATTCGAATATCTCTCTTCGTGGTTCTTGTGGTAACTTACACATTAACAGCAACAGGAAACATCACCATCATCTCCCTGATATGGATTGATCATCGCCTGCAAACTCCAATGTACTTCTTCCTCAGTAATTTGTCCTTTCTGGATATCTTATACACCACTGTCATTACCCCAAAGTTGTTGGCCTGCCTCCTAGGAGAAGAGAAAACCATATCTTTTGCTGGTTGCATGATCCAAACATATTTCTACTTCTTTCTGGGGACGGTGGAGTTTATCCTCTTGGCGGTGATGTCCTTTGACCGCTACATGGCTATCTGCGACCCACTGCACTACACGGTCATCATGAACAGCAGGGCCTGCCTTCTGCTGGTTCTGGGATGCTGGGTGGGAGCCTTCCTGTCTGTGTTGTTTCCAACCATTGTAGTGACAAGGCTACCTTACTGTAGGAAAGAAATTAATCATTTCTTCTGTGACATTGCCCCTCTTCTTCAGGTGGCCTGTATAAATACTCACCTCATTGAGAAGATAAACTTTCTCCTCTCTGCCCTTGTCATCCTGAGCTCCCTGGCATTCACTACTGGGTCCTACGTGTACATAATTTCTACCATCCTGCGTATCCCCTCCACCCAGGGCCGTCAGAAAGCTTTTTCTACCTGTGCTTCTCACATCACTGTTGTCTCCATTGCCCACGGGAGCAACATCTTTGTGTATGTGAGACCCAATCAGAACTCCTCACTGGATTATGACAAGGTGGCCGCTGTCCTCATCACAGTGGTGACCCCTCTCCTGAACCCTTTTATCTACAGCTTGAGGAATGAGAAGGTACAGGAAGTGTTGAGAGAGACAGTGAACAGAATCATGACCTTGATACAAAGGAAAACTTGACACTGGTATACACTACATTAAATACATTTCTTTTTTTATTATTTTTTTTAAGTTCCAGGGTACATGTGCAGGATGTGCAGGTTTGTTACATAGTTAAACGTGTGCCATGGTGGTTTGCTGCACCTATCAATCCATCACCCATGTACTAAGCCCAGCATGCATTAGTTCTTTTTCCTAATGCTCTCCCCAACCCCCAGCCCTCCCCCAATGGCACACATTTCTTATCTTCAACACATTCTTTCTGCACGACTATGGTGGTGTTTGGTGTGCCAGAAACTGAGATGGTGCCCCAGGATGAGCAATGATCATGCCAAACTGAAGGAAAACTCTGATCATGTCTGGGAGAAAATTCAATCCATGAAGTATCTTGCATATACCACGAAGGGAGGCTGGGTGCAGTGGCTCACACCTGTAATCCCAACATTTTGGAAGGCCAAGATTGGAGGATTCATTGAGCCCTGGAAGTTGAGGCTGCAATGAGCTGTGATTGCACCACTACACTCCATCCTGGGTGGCAGAGTGAGACCTCGCTTTTCTGTTGTTTTGTTTTGTTTTTGTTTTTGTTTTTAAATACCATGAAAGAAACCTAACAGGGATTCAGAGATCTCCAATTCTAGTCCTGGCTAAGTTCACTTATTTTCCACAGATTTTGACCATGCTACAACTTATCCGGTCCTCAATGTCTCTCTCCATTTTTAAATAAAATAATAGATAATAAAATATCACTACTTTTAGTAAGGCATGTAAAGTTAAAAAATATTTTCTTATTAGGCACTCTTGAATATTTCTAGAGACTTGGTTTTAACCTCTATTGGCCAGATCAAGTAAAGATGATGTGAGAAGTGAGAGAAAAAGAGGTATGACTCAGGAAGGTACCAAGCCTCTAGCTATACAGAGTGAAAAAGAAAGATATTTGATGAGAAAAGGAACACAGGGCCAGGCGCGGTGGCTCACACCTGTAATACCAGCACTTTGGGAGGCTGACGCAGGCAGATCACTTGAGGTCAGGAGTTCAAGACTAGTCTGGCCAACATGGTGAAACCCCGTCTCTACTAAAAATACAAAAATTAGCTGTGTGTGGTGGTGCATGCCTGTAGTCTCAGCTGCTCAACAGGCTGAGGCATGAGAATTGCTTGAACCTGGGAGGCAGAGGTTGCTGTGAGCCAAGATCAAGCCACTGCACTCCAGCCTGGGTGACAGAGTGAGACTTCGTCTAAAAAAAAAAAAAAACAGAAGAAGAAAAAAAAAAGAAAGGAAAATAGGAGGGGTTTCTTAGGGGTGGACCTATTGAACTGGAGGTTTTTGAGGGTCATCCAGTTATAAGTTGTTCTATTTTGCTGAAGCACTAGAAATAGCTCCCTTGGTATCTTTTTATGGGCATTTGGCAATAAAATAAAGACTTGCTAGACAATGAGTTCCCAACAGTTGTATTAAAGGCCAGATTTGTTGGTCCTTTTCTCGGTCACCTAAATCTTTTGTGATTTAAATCTCTCTGGCTCTTTCTGGCTCTAAAAATAAATAAATAAATAAAAAAGTTTTAGTTTAACTGTATGGTTTAATTACCATTGTATATATTATGGTCATTTTTCCCCAGAACTCATTAGGCAGTCAGGCATTTATTCATAGAAGATGTGCTGAGCACACCTGAATTATGATCCTGGGCAAGTTATCGAAACTTTCTGTATCTCAGTTTCTTACTTATCTACAAAATGAGAATTTCAACGGTGCGGGGCTAAAGTAGGATTAACCTAAAAGCACTTATACCAATTGTATGATACAGAAATGCTGAATGAATATTATTTATCTTTTTTAGGGCCCTGTGTAAAATTCAATGGGAGATGCTGATGATACAAAGAGAAACAGGACATGATCTCCACTCCTAAGTTATTCACATTTTAGCTTGACAGAAAAGAATATACTAGAAAATTTTATGAATGATAAATTGTAAAAATAAATGAATTAATACTTCTGATATTGGCCATGGTGGAGTAACAGATATTTGATTTTATCTTTTGACTTAGGCAACTAGAAAATGACAAAAATACATAAAGCAAACCATTTCACACATTGTCTAACAAGCAATACAAGATTGCAATTATTGAGAGAAGAAAAACAAAACAAGGTGAGCCTTAAAAGTGCTCCAGTTTGCAACCTGGGTGCGGTCTCCTCCCCTGCAGTCTATGGGGAGTATTCAAACAGAGGCTGGAAGTTTCTATGAGTAAGAAAATAGAGATCAGTTTGGGGAGGCCAGGGCAACTTGAAGTTACAGGCAAGACGACCAGAAATGAAAGAGTTGCATAGAAATAGAACTCTGGAGATAGGCAGAAGGATCCCCTGAAGACTTTGGCTGAATATAGAGCTAAGCAGTCATGAAAAGAAATTACCTGAAGATCTGAAAGGATCCACGAGAAATCAACAGGCCAAATAATTTCTGGTGTTCACATAGGGATAGAAATAGTTTGTGTTTCTTTCAGCCAGAGTAAAAAGACCTTTTAATATTAGGGTATTAGGTAGAGTAAGGGGGATAAATTATCTCTAGTGCAAAGACAGACCTAGCTTTTTCCTAAAAGGCTTTCAAAACAAGACTGAAAAGATCAAACTAGTCCACAAGTAATTGCCTAGGAGAACCAAGTCTAACACAACTTAAAAGAATACAACAAAATATATAATTTAATAATTTAATATCACAATATCCAGCATCCAAACAAAAATTTCTAAGTATATAAAGAAGCAGGATATTGTGATACATAACCAGAAAGAAAATCATCAAAAGAAGCCAATCTGGAAATGATGGGAATTCACAGGAAAAGAATATTTAAATAGCTATGTGCCCAAGAATTTAGACTGTAAAGTGATTTAACAATTAAATTATAAAAATTATTAATATTTAAAATAATTTAAAGCGTTTCTTATATAAATATTCTCATATAGTAGATATCATCATAATTATTTGTCCTGCACACTTTTATAACTTTAGATGTCTTTCTTGTATTATTTTATTTTTTGCTAGCATCCATTATTCTTACAGAGTTGGCCATGATGATCCCATATCTTTAAGTTATTAGATGAAGAGCTTTGTAGGAAATGTTATTTGGCTCAATACAATGCACATGATCTATTTTTTAAATGGCTATAAAAGATAGTTTTCATTCATTCTTCTTTCCTTTGCGCACAGGATAACAGGTAGGAGATGTGACCGAATTTCTTCTTGGCCACACCAATCTGTGCAAAGGCCAAAATAAAATTTCAAATGTCACTGGCCCTTGTTCACCTCACCTAGGTGCATACCATAAGCTCTTGCTCTCCTGTGCAATTACTAGCAAGTAATTTCTACCAAGTGTTTCTTGGAATCCCCAAGAGATGTTTCTTATGTACTTATGAACTCTCAATATTATCTGGCTCTGGCTACCCTTCATTGATTTACACTCTTTGAAGCCACCTGAGGGCAGAGCTTCCTCACTATTACTGCAGTCTATTCCCCCTTTAAGAAACTGATGTCAGTGACGAAGGAGCTGTCTTTCAATTACCTCAAAACACCAAACCACTGAGATGGTAGGTATGCCACTATATCTGCTGTTATTCCTGCTATAGGCAGAGACACTAAGCTGTATTCAAAGAAGAAATTAGGAGAATCCCCATTATGCCTACTTATTTACTGAGGCACAGATATAAGGTGGCTTAGGCACTATTTTTCAGTGGGTCCTTCATTTTCTTCACACACTTCTTTTATTTATAATTTTAGAAATAAATCCTTGCCTTGGTTAGATAATCAATATCTGAAACAGATACCAGATGATCCTCCCCACCCTGGTGCTTCTCACAGGTGCTCAACTTTTCCAGCCAAAATTCTCACATAAAATAAGTTTGGATTCCTTTGTCCACCAGTGTGTCACATATTTTTAGCCTCTATCTGGGACCCCTAATACACATAAGTAAGACAGAAGTCAGGTAGCATTAGATAATTCAGTAGAGTATACTTGAATATCTATGATGAATTTGCTGCTCTTAGGAACTCTCACATACCTTCCAGCTCATGCAACTGTTCTTTGAGTAAAATAAAAAAACATCTGAGACAGTGTTGCACATACTTGGTACTGTCCCACGTAATACAGAGACAAAGAAGAGTAAGATTACATTAAAATACATGGAAATCGAGTATTCAAGAATGCCTTACAAGTTTGAAAGTGGTAAACATATATTAGAAAAATTCTCTAGGTATTTAACTCCTGGTTTTTCAATATCAAACACAAGTAAAAAAAAAAAAACAGAGAAAAAAGATTTGATAATACAATGATGCTTCCATTTCAAGGGCAAACTGAAAATCCATTCTCTTAATCCTGGAACTTATCAGGATTTCCACTTTACAGCTAGAAATTCCTGTCTTACTGCTAGAAATTTCATGCTGTGCCTTTTAAACATCTAGTTACTTGTTTGTTTTCATAGTTAAATACCATAAAGAAATTCTAGTTCCTCTCAGGGTTAAATTTAAGTTTCATTATAACATTCTCCAAGAGGGAGTGCAAAACACACACACACACACACACACACACACACACACACCCCCACACCACCCATCCAACTCACCTCCTTTTCCAATCAGAGGAGAAGCAATTAGCAAGTTCACTGTGTTGCACAACTATGGAGAAAGGTGCGGTGAGGGTCACCACTCATATTATAGTCTATGACACATTTCAAATCAAAATATATTAGGGTTCAGGTGCTTTGGATATAAGTGAACCAGTTAAAACCGTTTAAGAATCTTTGGATTCTCTTTTTTGCACATATATGGCTTATGCAGTAAGACAGGTCTGGGCTCTCCTACTACTAAAGACAGATGCCCTTCCTCTGTTACGATTTCCACATTAAGACATTAATGATATAGCCAAGAGAGGCATGAAGTCCTTGTAGGCCTGTGGCTCTGGGTTTTAGGAACAAATACTCCTATTGTCCCTGAGTTGCTCTCCTTGGATTCCTTCCATGCTTCTTTATGCCACTGGGGAAGTCAATACAGGGTGAACCTGAGCTACTTTCAGTCATGGATCTACCTTCTCTAACATGCAATCAAAGTCTTGGTATGTTTCGCATCATTCAACTCAGCCCATCAAGGGCACACATTGAGGTTGTCCTCCAAGGCCAGTAACAAAGAGCACGCCTTTTCTTGCTCTTATCCTCAAGGGATTTGTGGGAGCGGCTACAGCTGCTGTAGACAGCTGGTCACAATATTGAGAATGTAGTATCACTGGTCTCAGCCATCTGTCTTTCTGTTGATTTCCACCTTAGAGACAAACCTTAAACTTTTGAGAGAAGTGTATTCAGCAAACTTGAGCAATTATACTTTCTATTATTTACAAACTGTCCCTGGATAATAAGAATTTAGTGTTGAATACTTTAGAGATAGAGTGTAATATGGTTGACATTTGCAAAATTCAATAACTCACATAGCAATTTCTTTCCAACTTCCAACCTAGAAGGGTCCTGATTACAGACAGTCGGTTTCGCAGACTCAAAAGACTAAAATTTCATTTAATGAAGAATAATTTTTAGTAAATTGAAAAACAAAAATTCTCCTATATCAGATGTGACAGGAGGTTATGCATGACACAATTCTCTAAACTTATAAAAGTATTCTCATGTCTGTGAATATTATTGAGGCACAGGCGACACAAATTTGCCACTGGCGCCTGAGTCACGTGATGTATTGACAGACAGTATAACTGTTCATACTATTCTTCATGCATGAGAACATACTGCAACTGCACAGTGCCAGAGAGAGCTCTGGCAGGAGGAGCATACAGCTGTTCCTACATATGGACCATCACAGAGATTGACAGAAATAAGAGCAGCTGACAGAAACAGCTGAGGCTGATGCCAAACTGATGCAGACTAGAGAAGTAAAAATCTGACCAGAGCTTAATCCTGGGAAGCCTGGAAATGACAAGCTGCGCTGTGGTTTAGAGAGCAAGCCTTTGAATGGGAATCAGGTGTTCTGGGTTCCAATCACGGTCTACCCACAAATTAAAACAATAGCTTCATGGAAGTCAAAAAATTTCTTTTTCTCAGTTGCCTCAATTATACAATGAGGTGACTGTTGTTGTCTATGACATCAGGGCCTCATCTAATCCTAGGACAATGCTTCTTGAACTTTAATAGGCAAATAAGTTACCTAGAGAGTTGATTTAAAATGCAGATTCTCCACCCTGGGCAACAAAGTAGGATCGTGTCTCTACAAAAAATTTTTTAAAAAATTAGTCAGGTGTGGTGGCTTATGCCTGTAGTTGCAGCTACTTGGGAGGCTGAGGTGAGAGGACTTCTTGAGCCCAGGAGGTCGAAGACTGCAGTGACCTGTGATTGTGCCACTGCTCTCCAGCCTGGGCAACAAAGTGAGATCCGGTCTCAAAAAAAAAAAAAAAAAAAAAAGAAAAGAAAAAGAAAATTAATGCAGATTATAATTCACTAGCTCTTGAGTGAGACCCAATATTTTGCATTTCCAATAGGCTTCCACAAGATTCAATGCTATTTGTTTACATATTACATTTTTTTTTTGTAGTGACACATTAGATTTTGCTGGTTCAAATCCATATTCCTAGACAGGATTGAGCAATACGAGAACAGCTAGGTATCTGATTGCCCTTTGAAATGAGGGAGTGAGTGAGGCAAGTGAATAGAACAGAAATTAGGCAAGGAAATTTGGCAGGGTCCCAGCCAAAACCCTCAACTATAAAGAACTGAAACCAAGATGTATTGAGAAAGTAAATGTTCAATAGGTATGAGAAATGTCAAAAGGTATGAACATTGGTAAGAACGTTTGAGTCAGCAAAGAGCAGCAGCTCCAGGAGAGACAGACCAGGTACCCCTCTTAGAGGGCTGCAGGCCACCCCAAACATGGAAATAAAAGGAAATCTTCAGTTCCTCCAAGGGAAATTCCAGGCACCTAGCTAGCCTTGAGAAGTAAATGAGCAACTAGATAAGCAAGAAGGTAATAATAACTTAAAACAATAGCCAAAGAAGTTATAGGCAGGAGATGTTTTGTTCCCTAAAGAAACTAAAAATAACATTTTGACGTATGTCCCTGACTTGTTTTTCAGAAACCCAGATTCCCACCAAATCATCTGCTGGCACATAGACCTCAGATAAGGAGAACTGAGGACAGACTGCTGTTCTTTGTTCTAAATTTCTTCCTGAGGGGCCTGGAGGAAGTCGCAGCCACGAGCCAGAGCAAACATTTTTTCCCCAAATTTTTAGACAAAGCTTTGCCTCCTTAACCAATCGCTAAGCAGAAAATTTTTGAGTCCACCTATATCCCCCTTCTGCTTCAAGATGTCCTGCATCTTTCGGTCAAACCAATGTATAGCCTCCAGGTATTATCCTGTGACTTTGCCTGTAACCTCTGCCTCCCCACCTTTAAAACTGCTTACCTGTAAGCCATCAGGGAGTGCAGGCCTGAAGCATGAGCTGCCTGAATGTCCTTGCTTGGTGCCCTTCAAAAATTTCCTCATTTTCTCTCGCTGCTAGCCCCATGTCAGTGTTTGGCTTTGCTGTGCTGGGTGGGGGACTCCAGTTCGCTTCAATAACGCAGGGATATTTCACTTGTAAAGCGGGTTCCCGCTAACTGTGGCGTCCTAATTAGGGAAAGGAAGTTAGGCTGGCGAAACAAGGGGAAGCAAAAAGAGAACGCAGATAAGCTCTAAGTCTGTCTTTCTTCATGGTCCAGGACACATAGCCCTACTGCAGAAATAACTCACCGTCTTCCTGTGCCTATCACCAGACATGCGCTGAGGTGGGAAATTAAAGAAAGAAAGAAAAAGAAAATTTAAAAAAAAGAAATAAGTTTTCCTGTATTAGGCTGACTTGTCCCAGAAGCAGCAACAGGCACAGCCCAGACCCAGGGAAAGTCTTGATAATGCTATCTAATGTGGCCTGAAGTCTATCCTAGCACTCCCTCAACATAGGGAGGAGAAAAACAAATTTTCCTTTCTCTTATGGTATGAGTTTATAGATTCCTGTTCTCTGCAAGTAGTGACTTCAAGTATTCTGCTTATCTAAGCAGTGGAGCGAAGGTCATAAACCATCTGAGCAGGCCTGAGATACAACCACCTGGGCACCATAGTGAAGGTTATGGGATAAGCCCGTGCTAGGCACTAGAGTAAACCTAAATAATGGACATCTGGGCTGCATAGCAACGGTCATGTGTAATCCTGAGTTATGAGCCTGTCACAATTTGCTTAACTGCCTTTGTTCTGCCTCTGTATCCTTGCTTTCGTGCCACTGTAAGCCTGCTTCAAGCTAGCCCACCCCCTTTTTGAAGTGGCTATGAAAGTCAAGTGCTGTCTTGGTTCTGGGCCCAGTTTTTGGATGTTAAGTCTGCTGGGTCTGAGTGCACTCAATAAAGATCTCCCTGTATTTATCCTGAGGTGTCTCTGGTCCTCCTGATTCCCGCAACAGTACAAGTTAGCTCCCTACAACCTTGGCATTATCACTACTGCACGTGACACTCTGCAGCCTAAGAATCATCATATAAAATCTCCAGCAAGCCTTTGTTTCGTCGAAATCAACTCTTCTTTTGCTGATTCTGCCCGTTGCTCCCTTGCAACATATTTTAATGCTTTCTTGAATAAATCTGCCTTTCTTTACCTACAACTGTCTTGGTAAATTCTTTGATCCCTGTGCCACCAGCCCAGACAGTTGCTGCTGAACCACAACACTAATGATTAAGGAACTGGAAAATGAATTTATCATGGATAACTCTTGGTTTCTTTCTTTTTTTTTCTTTTCCTCTTTTTTTTTTTTTTTTCCACCTCAGGAGGAAAGAGTTTAGTTAATCATGCATCTCAGGCCAATCTATCTTATTTCCTTGTTATCTCTATTCCCCACTGAGGCAGGAGAATAGGGTCTGGAGGCAGGGAGCCTAAGGCTGATTCACACAGACTTCCTAGAACTGAATCAAAAGAAAAACCCCACCTCTCCATGCCCAAGTAACAAAACCATCAGAGGATTACTCCCTTTGCAACCCACCCCTCTTTCCACTTCTGGCAGAGGAAAACTGGAAATTGTCTCTGATTGGTCCCCTCCCACAACCAATCAGACTGGTCACAGGCTCAGTCTTCATTTGCATAGGGGTGTAACTTTATAACTTCAGCCTGCGATTGGTCCCCTCCTGTGATCAGTCAGACTGGTTGTGGGCCACTACTTCATTAGGTAGGGCGTAAACCAAATAACCAATGGGAAACCTCTAGAGGATATTTAAATCCCAGAAAATTCTGTAAACATCGCTCTTCAGCTGCTTGCTCAAGGTGGCTCCCAGTCTGTGGAGTGTGTTTTCATTGTTTCATTCTTTCATTGCTTTGTTTGTGCATTTTGTCCAATGTCCAATTCTTTGTTCAAAACCCCAAGAACCTGGATGACTCTTAGTCAAGACCCTCCATCGGTAACACCACCATTTTTCCTTGCCTCTCCAGACAGGCAATAATTATTTGTATTTGTATCTAATGTGTTTTGTTGTTAGATGTTGACATCTAACACTCTAAGACAGCTTTAAAATTCCCTTCATCATGACTGAACTTTAGACAGGCTTCTTCCTAACTCTACATCCTTGACCTCCTTTTATTTAGATCATTTACTTCAGAAAACTTATAATTGTACATTTTTTTCTCTACCTCCTGTAAGATGTTAATCTTACCCTCTTGCCAGTTTTACAACCCAGGATCCATCTCTTTGAAATGTAATCAAGGAAGACCGTGCCTTATCTCTCAATCTCTGTGGAAGAGTGGGAGCCTGACTTTAATGGGGGGCAGTTAGCAAGCCCACGTGGCCTAATCACAGAGAAAAACATTTGCAAACTCAGGAACAGCTCAATGTTCTTTAACTACCCCACTGATCAATCTCCCTGCAATGTCCTCCAGTACTTTTATACTATCTAACACTAGTGATTAAAACTTGTCTGCATTTGTTTCAGTGGAGGTGAGTCAGACAGTTTCAGCCTCTCTTCCCTATTGTAATGTTGTGAATAGTCTTTCTTGGCCTATATAACTGTTGCAGCTTTTGCTTTGATGGTATGTATGTTTTTAATGTACAAAAATGGCATTTTATGTATCATATTTTTCTTTTTTTCACTAAGAACTATGTTTCATAGAGATAAGTATGTTTTTATGTGTATATCTACTCCATGCATCCTAATTATGGCTTAATAATCTGTGGTCTGTGTTGGGACTCAGAAAACAATACACCAAAATGAAGGACTCAGGAGCAGGCTCAGAAGTAAAAGTTTAGCTCTGATATTCTCCTGCCCTCCTGTCACTCAGTCCCATTCTCTTTCAAGGCCAGCCATAGAAACTACAATCCCTCTTCCCCAAGGTGGGTCATAGAAACCAGAACCCCTTCTCCCCAAAGGCAGACATAAAACCTAAAAAAGTTACTCTAACTTTCCCTCCACCTTTCGATATAAAAACTAGCCATAAATTATCTGACCTATTTTGTTTGACTGTAGGTCATAAGACTCCCATTCCAGAGAGGGTACTTATCCATACCCAGAAGGAGGGAACACCTGATCAGAAATATCAAGAAGAATCTAGACAGACCTTGCTGTGTTTCCCCATTCTATCACCATTGGATTCATAACTTTTTGTCCAATCATTTCCAAGCAGCTATTCATACTTTGTTGAAGCTAAGCATAAAAATTGACAATTTTCCCTGTATGTTTAGGTCTTCATTCTAAAGGCTTCTGGGAAAGGAAAATATCTTGGGTCCCCCAAATCACTAAGCTAAAGGGAAAAGTGAATCTGGGAACTGCTTACGGCAAACCTGCCTCCCGTTCTATTCAAAGTCACCCCTCTGCTCACAAAGATAAATGCATATCTGACAGCCTCATTTGGAATGGCTAATCAGAAACTCAAAAGAATGCAACCATTTGTCTCTTATCTACCTATGACCTGGAAGCCCCCTCCCCGCTTCATGTTGCCTCACCTTTCCAGACCTAACCAATGTTTATCTGATATATGTTGATTGATGTCTCATGTCTTTCTAAAGTGTATAAAATCAAACTGTGCTCTAACCACCTTAAGCACATGTCGTCAGGACTTCCTGAGGCTATGTCATGGGCATATGTCCACAACCTTGGCAAAATAAACTTTCTAAATTAACTGAGACCTGTCTCTAATATTTGGGGTTCACATTTTAGTAACCACGGAGCAATTCTGAGTGGAAGTGCCCCTGACCTTTGACAAATCTATCAGTGCTTGGTACTAGCTTGTGCTATCTTTATGGCTCAAACCAATAGGACAATTTGCTGAGGCTTGGAAGCAACCCCTCCAGAGAATCCACGATCTCCCAAAATTTGGTTGAGATCTAAAGTTTATTTTGCTGTACAACTCCTTTTGTTGGATTCCAACACACAGAAGGCAAGTTTTTCCTACTTCCATGATGATGGAAGGCAGGAAACTCCTTTATGGAGTTTGAGTTAACTTCCAACAGGGAAGATGAGGGGCTTTTTTTTCCTGCTTCTAGGATGATAGAGAGCAGTCTTTAGCCTGGGACGGATCCCTAGGTAAGTAACTCAACTGGGGTTTGTCTTGGTAAACAACTAGCTGGTCTTAATTTCTCTTATCAGAACGATCAGTAAGTGTATATGTTGTGCAATCATTTGTTTTGCTTAACTGTTTTTTTGTTGTTGCTTGTTTCTGTTTTTGTTGTTGTTTCAGTCTTTTTCCCATTGGATTTGACCAACTCCATCCAACTTGATCAAATTCGAAGGAAAGTTCCAAATTATGGGGAATGAGGCCTCTGAAGTGGCTAAATACACACACACACACACACACACACACACACACACGCACAAGTGATGTGGTGAGGGGAGAAAAATGGCCAGCAAAAGAAAAAAAAAAGAGGAAAGATTTTTTATTTTGACTATTTATTTAACATAGTATTTACACAACAAGGCCACCTTTTGCTAGCCAGGCCAGACTGAAAGAGCAATGGCTGTACTTCCGATAGCAGCAATTGTCCTAGCTGAAATATGGTAATGAGATTTTAAAAGATGTTTTTAAAGGATCTCAATGGTTAAAGTCAGCTTAATTAAAAGCTAACATCCAAGATGTGTTTGTATGTGTGTGTGTGTATGTTTGTATTTAAAAAGCCTTCATATTTTTGTTTTTATTTTTCTCTCCTAAGACCTAGTCCTTTTTTTTTTTGAGCAAAAGTTTTTTTTCTTCTCAGTTGACTGAATTCTCTTTTCTTCACTTACTTCTGCTGTCTCTCCCTTCTCTTGCACCCTCTGCTGCATAAGGAACCTAAAATAGTTTATAATAGCTGGAGTTCCTTAAAGAAAATGGAGAAGGCACGAGACTCCCTTTGGGAGAGAAATCGGTTTTTCCTTATGGAACCCCAAGAGTGTAAACAGACAAGTTTATCTTAGATCTTAAAGATAAACTTGCTTGCTTTTGTATTGCATTACCTGATTTATTGAATAAAATAGTTATTGCAACAGAGGTTATTCTTGGATTTTTAAAGAAGAGTGTAGTCTGGACACTTAGAAATGTCTTTGTTAAAAAAAAATTTTTTTAAGTGCACTGTAAAAACATCATGTGGCCTAGCCTCATAATTCTCCCTTTTTGGAAACCGAGGATTCAGTGTGGGCTCTGCCCAGAGCTCAGAAATCCAGTTAAAAGTTAGGTAGTCCCTAGCTAAATAAAATTGGTCTCCTTATATAATCCTATGATAGATTTTTATAATTTTATGTTTCATTTGGCATCCATCTTTAATCTCCCTCTAGCACACCATGGTTTTTTTCTGCATGCCTTATGATATAAATTTTGCTATTTGATTTTCACCTGAGTTGTTTCCTTTGATATGCAAATTTAAGGTTATTTATCTGACTACTGCCTAGGGTTGTGAAACAGGTTATGAAGAATCTGAGAAAGACAGGAAAAAAAAGTTTTTTATGAATCTATAAGATGTACCTCTATTGGCATGTCTAATACATCTATGTATTTATGTGTTGTGTACACAATGTTTCACTACTGAAACTATATAAAGAACTCTAATTAATCAGCTTAAGAAAATAAAAGCATTTAAAACAAATACTTTATCAAGAAAAAAGCGAAGCCTAGTCAAATTCTTTTTCAAGTTACATAACCCAAATAAAGTCTTTAATAAATAAACTAGCTTTAAAATTATTGATAAATTAATATTAGAAATGGCTTAAGAATTGCCAGCATACCTCTTCGTTTGCATTTATTAATCAAGCAATTTCATACTTATCCATGCCAAATATTATAAGATGCCATAATTTGGCACAGGGGTTTCAAAACTAAACCCAGCCCAAAACAGAATGACCTTTGCTTGTGTAATTTATAATAAATAAGACATTAACATTGGTTTAATGAAAATAACTGCATCGTGAATTTAGTAAAATTACCATAACTTCTAATCCTGTGGCTTTAGGCAGTCTAGTCCACAGGTATTAAGGAGGTTGTTTTGGGAAAGGACTGTTATCATCTTTGTTTCAAAGCTAAACTATAAACTCTGTTCTCCCAAAGTTAGTTAGGCCTACATCCAGGAATGAAGGACAGTTTGGAGGTTAAAAGCACAATGGAGTCAGTTAGGTCACATTATTTTTTCATTGTCTCAGTTATAATTTTGCAATAATGGTTCCATAACTTTAAATGATGAGTATTACAATTTTCATAAATAATCTAGGTAAATGATTAAAATAAATTATGAGTATATCCTTTTTAAAATGGTGAACAATTTTTGTCTAATTCAAAGCTTATTTAAAGATTATGTATAAAATAAGGTAAAAGGAACCAGAAAATAAAAGATATGTAAAGAAAGTTACAGAAATAAAGAAGTATTTTTGGTAAGAAAGCTTAAAGAGAGATAATTTTGTATAAGAAAGAATCTTGTATGGCAAATTTAGACGTATAATAAAATGACTGGTTGTTTAGAAAGAGGGATGTTAAGGACAAACCAGAAAGTCCAAGCATATCATAAATGGTCTAAGTCACAATAAAAGGATTTATTTTTAAAAAATAATTTTTATACAATCAAGTTGCCTATAATTAAAGGGAAATTATAATTGTCTCTCTAGAGATTGGGTCTGATGTAAAAAACACACTTATACACTAAAGAGTTAATTAGAACAATAAAATTTTCTTAAGGGACTGATTTACTCTTAATAAATTATAAGAGATTTTAATTTCTTTTTAAACCCAAAGTTGAACTTTTACTGCATCTTGTCGTTTTCAGTTTTCTCTCCCCTTTTAAAAGGAATGAAATAATAACACTCTCTTTCAACTCATTTTCAGCTTATCTAAGTTTTTTTCCCCCAAGTTCTGTTTGTTGCGGTCTGATGCTAACAATATTTTCTTAAAAGTCTAAAGGAAATGTTTTCTTTCTTTTTCTTCTGCCTTTTGGTAACTGGCCTAACAGATTTTACATTTTATCGAAAAAATTCTTATGCCATTATTATTAAGTTTTGGTTTGCTTAGGAAAAAAACCGAGATTAATTTTTTTTAATTAAGGTTATTACATCCATTTATCTTTCTGTATGTGCTTTTAAAGTACTTGTAACATTAAGTTACAGGGCTTTGAATCCTGGGTCTAAAAAGGAAACCAAGTCCTGCTAAATCTTAAAAACTGACAGCAATTAAATCCTCATCTTCAGGCCCTGTAGAAAATGCTAGTTAAAATAACCTGCATTCCTGAGACACAGGGCCAGAAATTAAAGTCATTCAACTCCTCAAGGCCCAGGGACTGTCACAGGAGAGGTGGGCATATGAAATTGTAAGGGCCAATTTTGAGAGATAAAATAAGCTTAGTTTCACTATAAATTAACCATTAATATCAAAATCACACTGATGCAAGACCAGCATATGGGCCCCTGTGTCAGATTAACAAGGTTTTCTTAAAGCATTAACCAACTCCTTAATAAAGGTTATAAAAGGTCTATGGAAATTATATCATGATCAATATTAAAATTTTGTAGATTGTTTATAAAGTTTTGAAAAACAAATTTAATTGGCTTCATGCTGTTTTGTTAGGGCTTATTGTTTAGAAAATTAAGCCTCCTCTGTCAAAAAATGAATGTTTTTGCCTTTTTTTTTTTAAATCCTTGAGTTATCACTTTGGCTAAATGAATGACTTATTTTACAATGACCTGTAATCCTATTTTGTGATATCAAGTGTTATAAACCTTTGATAATTGATAAATTTCCAAAATCAAATATAAATTTTGTCTTTTTCTGACTTAATCTTTTAAGATATTATTAATAGATTCCCTAAAGTCCAAAAATGATGTATTTGGCTTATTGTTGGTATAAATATTATACAGGAAGCATTGTCAAATATGAAATGGTGTTTGGTTTTCTTTGGGCTGTATTTGTATAAATATGTTATAGGTATGTGTCCCAAAATTAGATAAAACTCCTATAATTCTAATATGACAGCGTACATTATCAATAATAATTATAATTGTTATGTTTAATTAGCATATGCCACAGAGGTAACAAATTTCCTCATCAATTGTGTCTTTAACTATTCCTGCCCTAAAACTTTTTGTCATCCACAAGCAATTGTCTTGTTTTGGTCCTCTTCAGTGGTTTTTATAATCAGCTATAAAACTCTAACAGATGCTCTTGAATGCAGGTTTCTGATAACTTTGGAGACTGTGACATCAGAATAGAGGAAAAAATTTCAGGACTCATGAATAGCTGAAATGTTCATGAATATCAAGCAGAACATGAATTAACTGCATGGACTAAACTAATAGAAGTGTAAAGTAACATTTTTAACTTTTTGCTTAAAACGTTGCTGATCTTTCTTTTGTTTTTCAGGGTCAAGAAAACTTTTCTTTTAAGCTATTTACAGCTTTTAACAATTAAGTAAAGAATAGTCCTCAGAACAAAATTTGGAGCATATTTGTTTCTCTCTACCTGATTTCTACAGAATCTGGAAACTGTTTGTGAGTATTCTTAACTTATGACAATACAGTTATTTGCATAAGTGCAATAAGAATGTGTTTTCATTTGTAACAGGACACAGTTGGAAAAACTGGTTATTTTACCAAGGCTTTGACTGGAATGGTGTGCTTTTCTTTAAGGAATCAAACTTGACTTAAATGGAGCCAATAAAGACCCCTTGGAAAAACTGGCCTCTTACCTTTGTCTACACAGTCATTGTACAGGGTTCCCACCTGTGGTAAGTAAAGAATGTCACTCTTTGACAGGCCCTGGAGCCCCAAGTTTATCTTGGAACCTCAAGAGGAGAGGAATCACCCAACTTACAGGTATTTGATGGTACAAATACATGGATGGGCTCAGCTTTAAAAAAAAGTCTTATCTGAGATTCCTCCTATGGAACAAAGTTCCATCAAAGCTAATTTAAAAGCCTATGTAAAAAAATATTATTATTGATGCCTCATATACAAATAATCAGCCCAAGTAAAATAAAGCAAATCAGTCCTACCATGATTTGTCTTTACTAAAAATGGGAAACTGGAGAGAGAAAAATTATGTTTCAAAAACTATAGTACACCTGTTGTTAGATTCTAGTCTTGCCTAATGTTTTTCTATTTTGATTATTTTCTACATTTTGGACCTAATTCTAATTTTTCTTCGCTACAAGCTTGCAAAATAATGTTTTAAATTTTGTTTCCTTTTTTGTCCATTTTTTATAATTTGGAGTCACTGAAAACTAAGCTGTACTTTTGTAAAGCCCGGCAAACTGAAGCTAAACAACTTAAACTTCACAAGAAAATAACAGCAATGTGTATACATACATATATACATAAGCCACTTTCATACCTGCCTACTGATGTATGGACTTCAGAGTAATGTGGCCTATATTGATTTTCCAGGATTGTTCTTTTGTTTGTTGGTGCTTTTCTCCCTTCCTCCCCCTATTTTCTCGTCATAGGCCATAAGACCTCTCAACCTGCTAAAAAATAATGAGTTTTCCTGACAACTCAGGACCTATCCATCTAGGATAAACCATCCTAGCTATGAGAGACAGACAACACCTGAGACCAGAGACTCATTTTCTTCTAAAATGCTTCTCCAAAAGATTTTAACAAACAAAAGGGGGAAAACCCGAAAGAAAAATGTCTTGGGCTGCTCAAATCACTAAGCTAAAGGAAAAAGTCAACTAGGAAGTGCTTACGGCAAACCTGCCTCCCATTCTATTCAAAGTCACTCCTCTGCTCACTGAGATAAATATCTGATAGCCTCCTTTGGAAGGGCTAATCAGAAACTCAAAAGAATGCCACCATTTCTCTCTTATCTACCTATGACCCAGAAGCTACCTCCCCACTTTGAGTTGTCCCACCTTTCCAGACCAAACCAATGTTCATCTTACATATGCTGATTGATGATCATGTCTCCCTAAAATGTATAAAACCAAATGGTGCTCTAACCACTTTAGGCACATGTTGTCAGGACCTCCTGAGGTTATGTCATAGGTGCATGTCCTCAACCATAGCAAAATAAACTCCCTAAATTAACTGAGACCTGTCTCAAATTTTGGGGGTTCACACTTCCATGTACACATTAATAAATTTATATGCCTTTTCTCCTGTTAATCTATCTCTTGTCAGTGAGTTTCAACAAAACTTCAGAGGACAAAGGGGAAGTTTTCTCTTGGCTCCCAGTATCTGCTTCTCTATCATTTTCCTTTCTATTCTTATTTATTTTACTTTGCATTTCTCTGTTTACTGATCACTTTGAAGTTATAGTTAGATGCACATTGTTCTTTAGGTTTCCTATAAATTACTATCTTTTGCGGATTTGTCTATTGGGGTCTCTGTCTTATTCTTGCTGATATGTAAAGTTTCATAAATTGTCTGGATATTAATCCTTTCTTGTTTGTAAAAATTGCAAATCTCTTCTCCCAATTGGTCAATTTTATGTTTGACTTGTTGATAAGATACATTGTTTAAAGGAAATCGGAAATCCTTAATTTTTAGATAACTAAAATTTATTATTTGCCTTATGATTTATGCTTTTAAATATTAACATCAAAAGTACCCCACCCAGATTACAAAGCTATTCTCTTATATTTTCCTCTATTAGCCTCACAGTTTTTTTTCACATTGAGAACTTTAATCTATCTGAAGTTTCCCTTTACATGGTATGTAGTGTCCCTTTATGTAGTGTCCAAAGTCTCCCTAAAGTCACCCTTTATGTAGTGTCAAAAGACAAAATTACAACAAATTTAGTTATAGATCTAATTGGCTTTCATTTGCAATTCATGAATTGGGACAGCATCCATTCTACAAAATACAATGATAGCTCCCACTGGGCAATGGCAGAATAGTGGGTTTTGTAACGCAGGAACAAAGAAACAACAATAGAAAAAAAGAAACCTAATTAACTAAAATCAGGTTACTGCAGGTTACTTTTTATAAGAAGACTGTTTTTGCAGAGGAGATTTTCTTATTCCACTGACTCAGGTAGACTGCAGTCTACTGTTTTTAGGAAACAGTGACCTGTTAGGGGATCTATCTGCTTCCTTAAAGTTTGATTATGTGACATTGAACTTGGGAAAGGCATTGGGAAATATATCCTGTGCTAATCACACATGAAGAAAGGCAAGACATTCCAAAGTTTAGAAAGAACAAAGAGGTAAACAATGCAGAGAGAGGTTTACATCTTCCATTTACATGTGGGTGTCCTCTTTTCAGCCCTCTCAATATATTGCATAGAAAGAGATAATGTTCCATGAATCATCTTGATTTTTCTCATATCATTTGAATGAAGAGAATATTAATTAATAATGCAAGTTTCTTAAATGTATGACTTGATTGCAGCCTAAGAAAAAGGATTAAAAATTAAACCAGGTGAAATTTTCTTATAAGTCAGCATATAAAGTACCTATATTGCATCATGCTATACCCATTGCCCTTACCAGGTTTCAGTTTATGTGATGGCAGAAAGCAGAAATTGTCCTCTTATAGACAAAGTGGGATGCTGAATGCCTACCTCCACTTGCCATGACCCCAGCTTTCAGGATACTGCTAAGCAGCCCTAAAAAGCAAATACAAGGGAAAAGAGTATCCCTTGCCTCAATGTATTTCACAGAATATCTAAAACAATTCACTGCACATAATTTGTGCATTATAATTATTAGTAAAATTTCAAAATGTGTAAAAAACTGTGAATGTCTCTTTAACTCAATAAATGATTCTGTTTCTGTATATAATTCTTCAGAATCAAGAAACAACTGTTTGATAAAAATAAGTGAAAACTCTACTCTTAAAAATTTGCTGGACTAAGAACATGAAAAACTCTGAATATTTGTGTCTGCATATTTGTACCCAACTAAAAAGGTATAAAATAAATAATAGTGAAAATCTATGGAAGCAAAAGCACAAACCCTTTAATCTGGTGGTGAAGAGTTTTAAACAGGTCCAGTAGATCAAGCATGTTGTTATTCCAGTGTTCTGTACTGGTATAATTTTTGTCTTCTTGATCTATAAGTTATTGAGAAGTATGTTAAAACCTCCCACCAGGCCAGGCGTGGTGGCTCACGCCTATAATCCCAGCACTTTGAGAGGCTGAGGCAGGTGGATCATGAGGTCAGGAGTTCGAGACCAGCCTGGCCAAGATGGTGAAACCCCATTCTCTGCTAAAAATACAAAAATTAGCCAGGCGTGGTGGCGCACGCCTGTAGTCCCAGCTACTTGGGAGGCTGAGGCAGGAGAATCTCTTGAACCCGGGAGGCAGAGGTTGTGGTGAGCCGAGATCATGCCATTGCACTCCAGCCTGAGTGACAAGAGCAAAACTCCATTTAAAAAAAAAACCTCCCACTATAATGACCAATCTGTCAATTCTGTCAATATCTCCTTGCACTCTTCTAGTTTTATTTATGTAGTTAGGAGCTACTTCACTTGGTGGATGAAAGTTTGAATCTTGTTGAATCTATCTCTTGTGAACTAAATGTTATTAATTATTTAGTGACATTATCTATTTACTCTAATACATTTGGCCTTAAATCTATTTTAGCTTATATGAATAAGGTTACGCTTGCTTTCCTTTGTTTTGCATTTGCCTGGTGCACACTTTCGATGCTTTTTTTTGAAAATAGCATATTGTAGGTTTGTTTTTTCAAAGCTAGTCTGGTATTCTATATCACTTAAGTGGATAATTTAATCAACTTACTTTTTTGTGGTAATTGTCATAGTTAGATCTATTTCCATTTATATCTTTTGTTTTCTATTTGTCCCACTATTTCAGTGCTTCCTTTTGCTTTTTTTCTTCTTTGCTTTCTTCTGAATTAAGGTTTTGTTTTGTTTTGTTTTTCATTTTCCCCATCTACAGATCTGAAAGTTGTTAACCTTGTTTTTTATTCTTTCAGTGGGGATCCTGAAATTTTAACATGTGCAATTTAGAATATCTAAATTAACCAATATCCCGCTCCTTCGTCTTAACAACACAGAGATACATGGATGCTTTATCTTTACTATCTCTCTCCTGACTCACCTATTGTTACCATCAAGATGCTTTGGTCTTTTTTAATCCCTCAACTTAGATTTTTGTTGTTGTTGTTGGTTTTTAGAATTTCCTTTAGTGAGAGTCTCTTTGTGGCAAATGCTCTCAATTTTTGTTTATTCGAAAATGTCTGTTTTTTTAGAAGAGTTTGGTGTAAAATTCTAAGATAGCAGTAATTTTCTCTACTATTAAGACTTTTATTGTGCTGTGGAATAGTCAGCAATCTACTTTTTGTTCCTTCATGGATGATAATGTTTTCTCTGGCTCATGTTACATTATATTGTCTTTGGTGTTCTGCAACTTTACTCTGATATATCTATGTGTTAATTTTATTTTATTTATCTTACTTATAATTTATTTAAATTCCTGAATCTGAAAATTAATGTGTAGGGGTTGAACCAACGTGATTGATACCTTTCCTCATCCATCAAAAAGGGTGACAGCTGACACTCCTATAAGACAAGTTAACAAGAGAAAAGCATAACAAATTTATTCAGTCAAAGTTTTATATTATGTGGATGCCTTCAGAAACAAAGATCCAAAGATTCAGGGAAAGCTGTCTATTTTTATGCTTAGGTTTGATGGAGAATAGACAGCCATGCAGAAATGTGGCTGGACAAAATGATATAATCAAATGGTAATAGACCGAGAGTGAAAATCCAGCAAAGCCTGTCTGTTCAGACTCTTTTTGGCCTCTCTATTTAGCATTCCTTCCTCCTGGGTATTAGACAGAATCCCTTTGGAAGGAGGGTCTTCAAGAGAGAAGGGAGAGAGTGACCTTTCTAGGTTTTATGAATTTCTTTGAGGGAAAGAGGCTCTAGTTTCTACAACTTGACTTGGGGAAGAGGAATTCTGATTTTTATGACTCTCTCCCCCTTTCAGGGTAGAAAGAGAGGTGAAAGATAGGAGGGCAGGCAAAGGTCAGAAAGAGACTTTGCTTCTGAGGCTGCATCTGAGGCCTTCCCATCTCTAGTTCAAAGTACTTATCATGCCAAAGCATCATACTTTGGGGTATCATTCTCTGAGCTCCAACAGATATCTTTCATGTTTCTGTGATTTTTTTTAAAATGTTGCTTTTCCCCCAATTCTCTTGATTCTCTCATTTCGTATCTGCAATTAAATGGTTGTTAGAACACTCTAGTCCACAAGTTAGGCAAGCAAACCACAGCCCACTGGGAACCACCTGGTTTTGTAAACATTTGATTGGAACAGTCACACCCATTTAGACATTGTCTCTGGCTGCTTTCAGGCTACAACAATAGAGTTAAGTAATTGTGACAGAAATCATATGGCCCACAAACCTGAATTACTTATAATCCAGCTCTTTAAGAGAAACTTAGCTGACCCTTACTTCTACCTTTTATGTCTTTTACCTACTCTTTTATGTTTTTCTGTTTCCTTTCCTCTGCATTCTGAATCATGTTTTCCTCTCTTTCAATTTACTAATGTATTCAACTCTGTCTAATCTACTGTATAGTGAAACCATTAATTTGCTAAATGTAATTACATTTTTCTATAAATCCCATCTATGTCCTTATCAAATCTACTTGATAATTTTGTCTCTAGTTCTCTACCCATGTTTTTTATTCCTTCTCATTTTTTAAAATATATTAAGCTTACTTTTTCTGGATCCAACAATTCTAATATTTTCATACTGAGGTTTCTGGGGGTCTGTTTCTGCTACCTACTGTTTCTGCTTACTCATATTCATTGTGCCCTGTACCCTCATAAGTTTTGAGCTTTTATTTTATTATGAGGTTATATTTCTTACATCTCTATGGGGATAGTTTCCAGTCCTGCTTTGAGGATGCCTTCCTCTACAGAGGATTTGCATTCACTGCTGCAGTTACCTGGGATCATTGACGACCCAGATCTACTTTACATTAACATTCATTGCTTATAGTTTTTTAACAAAGAAAATTAGGGAAAGATCATCTATTCACAAAAAGATTGCTTTTCCTCCATCCATAGCGAAGGCCGAAATTTAAAAGTGGGATGGATATCTTTTCTAGTTCATCCTTTTCCGGAGACTATATTTCTTTCATGGTCTCACTTGTGTGAGGGGCTGGATCCTGCCTCCACGTCCTACACAGTGCAAGGCCTGGTCTCCTGTACCTGAGGGTGCTTCCATTAAACCACAGGTCCAGACCACCTGCCTCAAGAGAGGCCCCAAGTACAGCTGGCAGCTTCAGACCTACCTGTCCCATCTGGGCTGGTGCTTTTACTTTGTTCTGGCCTCAGAAATTTCCCCTACTGTCTGGCAAGTCCACCTACACAATTTGAAGAGTCGGCTTTTATTTTAATATTATATGTTATCCAGCAAAAAGCTGATTAGAGGCCGTGTAGCAGGTAACTTTCAGCATTTCAAGACTACAATATTGCTAGAAGCAGTAAACCAAGATTGATACGTTTAACAACTTTAAAATTAAAACTTCTATATTACAGATGACCCAATTCAGCAAGTGGAAGTAGAAAAAAAAAAGACTGGGAGATAATATTTTCAACACAAATAAACAACAAAGAATCTATATGCACATTATGTTAAAATCTTTTCTTTTTTGGGGGGAGGGGGACAGAGTCTTGCTGTGTTGCCCAGGCTGAAGTGCAGTGGTTACATCTTGGCTCACTGCAAACTCTGCCTCCCAGGCTCAAGCGATTCTCGTGCCTGAGCCTCCCAAGTAGCTGGAACCACAGGTGCACACCACCACGCCCGGCTAATTTTTGTATTTTTAGTAGAGGTGGGGTTTCACCATGTTGGCCAGGCTGGTCTTGAACTCCTGTCCTCAAGTAATCCACCTGCCTCACCCTCCCAAATTGTTGGGATTACAGGCATGAGCCACCCCACCCGGCTGTTAATAATTAATTTTTTAATGGTCAAATAATCTAATAGAAAATATGCTAATTTTATAGAACAAAATAAAGACAAAAAAATTATGAAAAGATGTGGAACTCAGTAGTAATCAGGGAAAAGTTAATACCCAAGACCAAGCAAGTTTTACCTATAGACACACTCTGCACACATGGACAAGAAAATAAGTATAATAATTTTTTTTATAATGTGAGTTGTAATACTAAAAAATTAAAAACAATTCATCTGTTCATCAGGAATTGAGTGATCCAACTCTAGTTTATACCTACGTGGAATGTTATACAATAGTTAATATAAATGAATTAGGTTTTTAGGTGTCAACCGGAATAAATCATCAAAATATATTGCTGAGTTAAAAAAAGGCAAGATACAAAATAATAGCTATAGTAAAATATTAGTTATTTAAATTTTAAGCACACTGTCAATGAAAAGAGTCAAACTCTGCAAAATATTTGAAGAGATGTATTCTGAGCCAAATATGATTGACCAATGTCCGGTAACACAGCGCAAGAAGAACATGTGCCCAGGATGAACATGTGCCCAATGTGGTTGGGGCACAGCCTAGTTTTATACATTTTAGGGAGACATGAGATATCAATAAAATACATTGGTTCCATCTGGAAAGGCAGGACACCTTGAAGCAGGGGCTTCCAGGTTATAGGTAGACTTAAAACTTTTCTGATTGGCAACTGGTTGAAAGAGTTAAATTATCTAAAGAGCTGGAATCAATAGAAAGGAAAGTGTGGGTTAAGATGAGGAGTTGTGAAGAGCAGAGTTTTATCATGCAAATGAAGCCTCCAGGTAACAGGCTTAGGAGAAAGTAGATCATAAGTATCTCCTACTATGACTTCTCGGCCTTTTGGCTAAGATCAAGTGTAAATATTTCCTAATGCTGACCAGCATTAACACCACTGACCAGCATTACCACCAACGCAGACCTATTAGATTTAAGATCTGTGTTGGTGTTAATGCTGATCAGCTTTTCCTGAATTCCAAAAGGGAGGAGAGTATAATGCGTCATGTCCAACCCCCCTTCCTGTCATGGTCCAAACCAACTTTGGAATGCCCTTAGCAGAGAGTAGGGGTCCATTTAGATGGTTGAGGGGACTTAGAGTTTTATTTTTGGTTTACAACATGAAACAACACTTTATATTTCTCATGGAATCATATGTATCTACGAAAATATAAAATCATACATGGGATAGATATCTTTTAATTTTTGATAAGTTGTCCTTCTAGCTAGGCAGGCAGGAAAAGAAAATAAAGAGTAGGGATTTAGATCAATTTGCAATTTTTTTATTTTTAAGAGAATAAAAATATAAACCAATACAGTAAAAGCAAATATAGTAAAATACTAATAACTTTTAAGTTTAGTGGTAAATATAAATATGTCAGCATTATTTTCTGTGAACTTATTTATTTATTATTTATTTTTGCAATGTAGTCTCACTCTGTTGCCCAGGCTGGAGTGCAGTGGCATGATCTCGGCTCACTGAAACCTCCGTCTCCTGGGTTCAAGCGATTCTCCTGCCTCAACTTCCCGAGTAGCCGGGATTACAGGGGCCCTCCACTACACCCAGGTAATTTATTTTTAGTACACCATGTTGGCCAGGCTGGTCTCGAACTCCTGACCTCAAGTGATGCACCCGCCTCGGCCTCCCAAAGTGCTGGGATGACAGGCGTGAGCCACTATGCCCGGCCTATTTTCTATGAACTTCTAAATGTCTAAAACACTCTACAATTATTTTTTTAAAGAAGAACAAAAGCAATGAAGGTGAAAATGGCCTAATTTTTCTGAAGAGAACACTTGATTTGAAATATATATGTATTTTTAAATAAATATAATATAAATGTATAAATATGTTACTGCCACAAAAAAATTTAATCAGGATTACAGAATACGTAGTAGTCTAGAAACTGGTTCAAGTTTTGATTGAATTGTAAATTTCATAAGAACAGAGTGAATAAATATTCTTAAACTATGTTAGTCTAAGAAATATAGTATTTCAATTCTATGAAAGTGTTCAATGAAGTGTTGACCAAATAGGATTGAAATAATGGGATATCTATCTGACAGAAAAAAAAAGATATTCTTTGTTAAACCCCATATACAATAAAAATCTAAAATGAATAAAGATGTAAAAGTAAAGTGAAACTACGAATGCATTTCTTAACATTGACAAAGACTAATGCTGGCTATATGAGTTAAAAGGGCACAAATTAAAATTACTGGAGTGGCCAGGTGCAGTGGCTCACACCTATAATCCCAGCACTTTGGGAGGCTGAGGTGGACAGATCACCACGTAAAAGCCAATTGACATCTGTGACGCATCCCACAGAAACTGGCCCAATTGTCCCATAGAACTGATGCTTATAATTTCTTTTGAATAAACATAGAAATTGACCCTCCCGGTCTTAAAGCTTGAGAAAGTTCAATTGTCTTATCTGAGTTTCTTTCTCAGAAACCAATCATCAGGCCTCCCAGATAGTATCAAAGACCTGAAACTTATCAAATGACCACACCTGGACAATGAGAGGCCAGACCCCCTTCATCCACCATGATTGCCTAACCTACCACCTGCTTCCTATTGACCAACTCCACTTCCTTACCCCTCCCTAATTCCTGTTTTCCTGTAGGTAGTTACATTTCTTCCCTGCTGTATAAACCCCTGCTATTAGTTGGTCAGGGAGATGGATTTAAGAGTGATCTCCCATCTCCCCAATTAAAGCCTTCTCCCTGGCAATACTCATTGTCTCAGTGATTGGCTTTCTGTGAGGTGAGCCGCAGGACCTAGACTGAACCCCTGGTGTTTTCATAACACTGTCATTGAGGTTCTTCTCTTCATTCCAATTCCCTTGGTTTCTTTTTCTCCTCCATTATATTTCCTCTGAACTTTACTGCAACTTAAAATATTTCTGTGCACACATACACAGTTGAAGGTAAATGTAAGAAACCCTTGGTAAGACAATGTGGTTATTAACATATTTATTCCACACACAATCTTATATTCTACCTTCTACGACCTTCTTAGACCATCACAAGAGCCCTAGTGCACTCTTCACTCCTAATCAGTTGTCTATCATGTACTTTAGAGAAAATATTTAAGTTCTAAATAAAAAATGCTCTCCCAAAGCTATTTGCTTATTCAACCTCTTTTCCTGGGGAATTCTATCCAATCAGGTCTTGTATAGTCTCTCAAGGTAAGACCTGAAGCTGCTTTAAGATCTAGATTTGAAAAAACAAAAATGAGCCCCAGGAACCTCATTACCCACAGAGTCTGCAGCTGCAGGAGAAGCTGGGACCAGCTAGGCTAAGGCAGAGCTACCCGCAGCTGTTAGAGGGCTATTCCCAAGAGTTTCTAGGGTTGAAGTTTCTTGCTGCCAAGTTCTCAGGATGTGACTACTCTACTGCCAGAACACAGATCAACCCAGAACATCCTCTCCCACCAATTTTCACTCCTATCCACTTCCCCCAAACCAGACACACTTTCCTTCTTGTAATTTCTATATTCTTTCTTAATGGTTTCTCCAGTTTTCAAGGTAAGGCTTACTTTTTTCCTTCTTTCAACTTTTTTTCTAAGTATAACATTAATGCTAGGGGCCAGGCACGGTGGCTCACATCTGTAACACCAGCACTTTGGGAGGCCAAGGCAGTTGGATCACCTGAGGTCACGAGTTCCAGACCAGCCTGGCCAACGTGGTGAAACCCCGTCTCTACTAGAAATACAAAAATTAGCTGGGCATGATGGTGGGCACCAGCTATTCGGGAGGCTGAGGCAGGAGAATTGCTTGAACCCGGGAGGTGGATGTTGCAGTAAGCCGAGATCCTGCCATTGCACTCCAGCCTGAGTGACAAGAGCAAAATTCTGTCTCAAAAAAATAAAAAATAAAAATAAAAATAATGCAAGATTGTAATAGAAATAATTGCAAAATTGAAAAGGTATATAAAAGCCCTCTCACCTAGAAACAACTGATTTTAATTTTTTACTGAGTGATTCCTTTTAGGTTCAACTTCACTGGGAAGTCAATACCAATAAGTATGTGACTGAATTGGATGGCCAATAATGACTTTGTATCCTATGAGTATAGCCCTATAGGGAGGCACTGCAACAACAGGTATGACAGACATATTTTAGAGAGAGCTCTGGAAGGCTCCAGGAAACTGGATTTTATCCAGGCTAAGCCCCTAAATCACTGTACAACATTGACTAAAATACTCCCAGTAGTCTCATCTGTATAATGAGGAGGTTAGGCTTGAATAACTTTAGATTTATTTCTACCTCGCATTGTTATTTATTTTTTGTTGCCACATCCCAATTTGCATTTGCATATACCCTACATTTGTGTTTTGTTGTGATTATTTGTATCTGTGCCCCTTTATTAGATTAAGTTAGTAAATTAGTCTTATTTTTTGCATCTGCTCAAACACATTGTATAACATATAATAGGTGCACAATAAAGGGAGAAGGGATGAAGCAAAGGGTGACTTTTGTGATTACTGAAAACAGTTTTTACCCTGTTTTTGTTTTTTATTTAAAACAAAAATTCTTACAGGCAAGAGCTTTTAGAAAATAAAATGTTTTCTAGCAAATTTTACTAGAGTCTAGACCTTTGAATAATTGGCTCACCAGATAAAACTTAATAAAAACAAACAGGCATTTAAAGAAAAAGAATTGACTGTAGTTGTGCAGTTTACAGTTAATATGTTTATAGTGAAAAATGCGCAGTTTTCTCAAGGAATTGTTATACACACAGAAGTCATCACATACCTTTACACATAAGCATTACAAAGGTCAGAAACAAAATTGTTTTTATTAGGGAGTCAGTAATTTATAGGAATCGCTGAGGTTCCATTTATTTTAGAGACTAGAACTAGATGGAACAACCTTGTTTGTTTGAGTGGGGAAGTGTTTATTTATCTCAGGGTACAAGGAGATGGTGGTGTTGTCCTTGTTTTTGCTGCTGCTACTGTTGTTTTGCCTTTGATTTTGACCATGAAAGGCAATGTGCACATTCACCCATAATTTAACAAGAGAAGGTGGCAGTGTCATTCCCACAGCTCTAAAAAAGCATAAAATCAAAAAGGGTTAAATGAGCCAGAACAGGTGTAGAAGTCAGGTTTTCCCCATAAAGTTATAACAGGACCAACTTTTAGTAAAGATAGATTTCCCAGATCATTCTAATTTCATTTTCTATGTAAAAAATGGTTGAAAATATGAGGCAGAAAGAAAACCCTTCTGCCATATCAATCATTTTACTCTCTAATTTGTTTGTTTGAAAATTAGAAATTTTGGTTGTGTGCGGTGGCTAACGCCTATAATTCCAGCACTTTGGGATGCCGAGGCGGGAGGATCACCTGAGGTCAGGAGTTCAAGACCAGCCAGGCCAACATGGTGAAACCTGTCTCTCCTAAAAATACAAAAATTAACCTGGCATTGTGGCATATGCCTGCAATCCCAGCTACTTGGGAAGCTGAGGCAGGAGAATCACTTGAACTCGGGAGGCAGAGGTTGCAGTGAGCTGAGACTGCACCACTGCCCTCCAGCCTGGGTGACAGAGCAAGGCTCCCTCTCAAAAAAAAGAAAAAAACTAGAAATTAAATGTTAGGATAATAATATTAAGTATTCTGTGGAATAATGTAAAAGTTTGCCCCACTGGGAAGGGCATAAGAAAAACTGGGTGTGAGGGAGGAACAGAGAAGTTAGTCATTGCTACAGTAAGATTTTTCCTTACTCATGCACATTTCCACCCCTTCACATCCCCAGATGGTCTTGCCTAGTTTATTTTTTTCTTATTTTATTGACTTTATTTTATTATTTTTAAAGACAACTCCGAATGCTTAACCTGAACTAACTTTGTGTGTCCTGTGGAAATTAGGCTCTTTGGAAATACCTTGAGGCCTGGGAAGGATGGTAGATTCAGATGTTTATTTTCCTGAAAGCTCTCTGGTAGGATTATAAAAGGGGCTTAAGTTCCTGTGCAGCAGATTTTTACTGAACCAAAGAATGATTGCTTTTAGAGCCCATTACCATAGCCCTCTGTTGGTCCAGGGCTGCAACCACGTGGGATACTTGGGTTAAAAGATCTGTGTATCTATGTCTTCAGTCATGAAGACTAATGTGCAAATAGCTTAGCTGGAAAATGTTTGTGAAGAAAATGAATATTGAGTAGACTCTGCAGGGAGGAGTGAAGCATGGCTTGATAAAGAGGAAGAACATTTCAAGCAGGGTGTATATGATGTACCGTAGCTAAACAATGAAGTAAAAATAAATTTTTTATGTGTAGGAAATTTTATATTAATAATGTTTAAACATTGCCCCTGAGGCTAAGAAAAACGAAAGAAGTTTATCTGTATGGAAAACCAAAATATGCCACCCAAAATATGCTTCTTTGGCCTATTCAGAGAAGCTGCAGACATACAAATAGCTCCAAACAGCTGTGCTTTCCTGGGGAAGATTTGCATCTGTAGAGAAAAGCTACATTAGTGACGAAAACAACAGATGCAAATGAGCTTTCTCTGAGACTCCATTATCTGCCTTATCCTGATCTAGAAAAGATTAGCTCATAGGAAAAGGAGACTGAGATCTGATACTTTCAAAAGTCTGACAGAGAAACTTTCACCACAGGCTACCAGCTAATCTTTCTGAGAGCAGTTACCTGTGAGGATTCATCTGCATAACAAGATAGCCTTTGCTCACCATGCATTTCCTCCCCAGGCCCTCATATAGTCTGTCACAACCTCCCACCAGGAGCTTCAAACCTTTATTCCTTTCTGTATGGTATAAAAACTTCTGACATCTGGCCCTTTTTTGAGTCTCATGTTTCGTGTGGCTCCAATGCATACCTGCTTTTTCTCTTGTTGATCTGCCTATTTGTTTTACATACTCAAATTATCAAAACTTCAGAGGAAAAGTTTGAACTTCCCTACACCTGCTTACATCTTGATTCTCTAGCAAGCAAGAGCCAAATCCCAGTTTACTTACATATCTAATAAAATATTGCATCAAAAATAGTGTATCTGGGAGTAGTTCCTCAAAAATTTCCCCCCATTTTTAAAACGATTTGAAGTTTATGTTTCTATCACTTTTGGGTCCATTTTATGTTCCTGGTTTTCTCTCCACTGTCATCAATTCCACTTGCCTATTTTTCTTAGCAAACAGATAATATCCTCATTAATATGTTTGATCAGAACAACTTTAAGTGTTTCCCTACCTACTTGGATGTTTGCATTTCAAAAGTGAACTACAGAAGACTCAGAATAATCCAAGGCCAAACATAATCACTTAAGAATGGTGCATTTTCAAGTACATAACACAGGTGGAAGTGGGATAATTTTGGACAAGAGATGATATGGTTTGGCTGTGAACCCACCCAAATCTCATCTTGAATTCGCATGTGTTGTGGGTTGGACCCAGTGGGAATTAACTGAAGCATGGGAGCAGGTCTTTCCTGTGCTGCTCTCGTGATAGTGAATAAGTCTCATGAGATCTGATGGTTATTATAAAGGAGATTTTTCCTGCACAAGCTTTCTTTGCCTGCTGCCATTCATGTAAGACGTGACATGCTCCTCCTTGCCTTCTACCATGATTGTGAGACTTCCCCAGCCATGTGGAACTGTAAGTTCAGTTAAACCTCTTTTTTTTATAAATTGCCCAGTCTTGGTATCTCTTTATCAGTGGCATGAAAATAGACTAATACAAGTCATTACCTTGCTATTGCTAAATTCCTACCACATATAACATTTCATCATCTGACTTCATGTAAGGCATTCCCTGGATATAATTTTGTAATAAATGGTTCCCTTGGCCATGATAGCCTTGGATTCAGCCTCCTACCATTTACACTGAGACTGACCAAGACTACTCTACTTATACCTAACTTATAGTACAAGCAAACTCAAAACAATAGAAAGTGCTGATTCAGTACAAAAAAAAATGAAGAGATTACTGTGTCTAATATTTACATATTATAGAATTAGAGTAGATTTTGTTGGGACTCAGAAAATAATATTCCAGGCTGGGCATGGTAGCTCACGTCTGTAATCCTAGCACCTTGGGAGGCCATGGCAGGAGGATCATTTGGGCTCAGGAGTTCAAGACCAGCCTGAGAAATAGAGTGAGACTTCATCTATTAAAAAGGAAAGAAAGAAAAGAAAAAGAAAATAATACACTGAAATGAAGGCCTCAGAAGCAAAAGTTTTTTCTCTGAACCTCCTGTTGTGCAGTCCCATTCTTTCCCAAGGCCAGCCACAGAAACTAGAATTGCTCTTCCCTAAGGCAGGTCATAGAAACCAGAACCCCTTCTCTCCAAAGCCAGATATAAAACCTAAAAATATTATTCCAATTCTCTTTCCAGCTTTCTGTGTAAAAACTGGCCATAAAAAAATTATCTGGGCCAGGTGCAGTGGCTCACTCCTGTAATCCCAGCACTTTGGGAGGCCAAGGCAGGTGGAACACTTGAGGCCAGGAGTTTGAGACCAGCCTGACCAACATGGTGGAACCCTGTTTCTACTAAAAATAAAAAAATTTGCCAGGCATGGTGGCACATGCCTGTAATCCCAGCTACTTGGGAGTCTGAAGCATAAGAATCGCTTCAACCTGGGAGGCGGAGGTTGCAGTGAGCTGAGATCGCACCACTGCCCTCTAGCCTGGGTGATAGAGTGAGACTGTGTCTCAAAAAAAAAAAAAAAAAATTATCTGACCTTCTTTGCTTCACTATCAGGTCATAAGACACCATTACAGAGAGTGTCCTGCCCATCCAGAAGGAAGAAGTGCTGCTCAGAGGGACCAAGAAGAATGTAGATGGACAGGCCTTGCTGGATTTCCCCACTCAGTCTATTAGCATTAGATCAGACCATTTTTGTCCAGTCATTTCTACAAAGCTGTGAGTACTTCGTTGAACTTAAGCATAAAAATGGGTGATTTGGTCTGGTAAAAATTTTGGTGATTTTGGGCGGCTTATGCCTATAATTTTAGGAATTTGGGAGGCTGAAGCAAGAGGATTGCTTGAGCCCAGGAGATTGAGGCTGCAGTGAGCTGTGATTGTGCCACTGCACTTCAGCATAGGTGACAGAATGAGACCCTGTCTCAATGAATAAATAAATAATAAATTCTGAAAGCTCTCATGTATACGTTAATAAATGAGTATGCCTTTTCTCCCATTAATTTGCCTCTTGACAGTGACTTTCAGTAAAAGGCAAAGAGAAAGTTTGCCCTTGACCCCTACAATTTCTGTCTTACCAAAATATTCACTTAGGACCTTGTTTACCTCACAAAGTGGTGAAATTAACCAGAGTTATGTAAGGTGGCAAGTGAAGAATCAAAAGCACTGTACAAATGTGGGAACATTTTTTCTAACTGATGTGGATTTACGTGACTTTCCCTTTTTACTATATGTGTGATTGCTCATATTTACCTTATTTACATTCTCTGCCAGGCCCAAGGATATAGAGATGGTTTGTGGTTATTTACAGGAGAAAGGCTAAGAGAAACTCCAATTTGGCAATAAACATAGCTGCAATGGAATAAATGCCTATGTCCAGTCAAAATTCATGTTGAAATCTTAACCTCCAAGATGATGGTATTAGGAGGTGGAGTTTTTGGGAGGTGATTAGGCCATCAGGTTTCCATCCTCAAGATTCCAATTAGTGCCCTTATAAGAGACCTCAGAATATAGTTGACAATAATATATTATAGAGTTTCAAACAGCTAGAAGGAGGATATTGAATGTTCCCAACACAAAGAAATGATAGAAATGCTTGAGATGCTGGATATGCTAATTACTCTGATCTGATCACTATACATTATATGTATTGGAACATCACTATGTACACCATGAATATGTACAATTATTATTGGTCAATAAAAAGTATTTTTTAAAAAGAGAGAACTCAGCTAACTAGCCCCTTCCACCACGTAAGGACATAACGAAATGACAGCGATCTATGAACAAGGAAGCCGGCCCTCACCAGACACTGCTTCTGCCAACTCTTTGATCTTGGAATTCCCAGATGGCAGAACTATGAAAAAGGTATTGTGTAGTTTATAAGCTATCCAGTTTATGGTATTCTGTTATAGTAGCCCAAACTGACTAAGACATTACCTTTTGAAAGAATGACAGATGGAACAACAGAAAACTCCAACCGATAAGAACAGGCCATAATAGAGAATCCAAGGCAGGTGACACGCAGGACTACGGCAATCAGCAATCAGCATCCAGTAGATAATCAACCAGTAGGAAAGACTTCAGCTACCAGGGTGGTGTTGGATCAAACTCCAACTCTGGGAAGGGATCTATGAGAAGCTGAGTTATTACATCTATAAATTTTGGTTGGTGAAAGTTTGGCAAGTGAAGAAAAAAACTGGGCCTCAGGATCCAAGCCAGAAAACAATGTTTAGAACTGACTGAGGCTAGTAATTGGACCACTTGATTTCAGGGGCTGTGTATCTTCTGCTGCAGGGCAGTTTCAGTCATGGGAATGAGAAGGAGAAAGGTGTCTGAACAGGATAACCTATCTAGTCAAAGAAGCATGTGATACATTTTGGCTCTGTGTTCCCATTCAAATCTCATCTCGAATTATAATCCCCACATGTAGAGGGAGGGACCTGATGGGAGGCGATTGGATCATGGGGGCAGTTTCCCCCATGCCGTTCTCACGATAATGAGGGAGTTCTCATGAGATCTGATGGTTTAAAAGTGGCAGTTTCCCTTATGCGCTCTCTTCCTCCTGCCGACTTGTGAAGAAGGTGCCTGCTTCCCCTTCGCCTTCTACCATGATTGTAAGTTTCCTGAGGCCTCCCCAGTCATGTGGAACTGTGAGTAAATTAAATCTCTTTTCTTTATAAATTGCCCAGTCTCAGGTATTTCTTTATAAGAGTGTGAGAATGGACTAATACAGCATGCAAAAGCCAGGAATACATTTGGGCCTGACATTTCCTTTGATGTCATAGTACTACTTTGTGCTTTCTTTTGTACTTCCTCCTATTCTATAAATGCTATTTGCTTAACTCCAAACTCTGCTTTCTGGGTTTAAATATGTCATTTACTAGTTGTATGACTTGGTCAAGTTAATTTACTATTCTATATCTCAGTTTTCTCATCTATAAAATTATAACAATAGTAACAGCTTCACAGTGTAGTCATAAAAATTACAAAGACTTAACATTTGTTAAGGCACTTAGAATAGTATCTGGCATACAGTAAGCACTATGCAAATATTTGTGTTGATTGCTTTATTATTATTACTTTGAGAAAATCATACTTCCTTCTGATTTGTGTCAACCACAAATTTTATACCTGAATTTATAATCTCTGCTGAAACATTGCACTGCAGAAAATTAACACATTGGAATAATGCTCTAAATCTGTAAATGTAGTGATAATCTGACCAGACTTTTCAAAAGATACTGGAAAATTTCCCAACTCAGTTCTGATTCTATATATCATTTCTCTTGTCTGTACCTAATAAGTTTTTTCAGAATTCAGAAAATTCACCAGTTAGTATGAAGCACCTGAGTTCTAAAATAAAAGATGGCATTTCACATTTGGAGTGTCAGGAAGCGCCTATTTTTACTTACCGATGGCTGCCCACTCTGAGAAAATCTAACATGAGTTATTTTTCTGGTAGCCTATGGTTTAATCTTTTTGGTTTGTATGTGGATCCAGACATGTGGTGGCTAAAGCATATATATTTGGGGAGATCATCGTTAGAGAAAATAGAAATAAATTCCAGTACATATTAGGTACAAAAATAAATATGTAATTTAAATGAGGGGGGAAATTACAACAAAATGCAATTTAGAAAGCAAAAATAAGCTATAAACATTGCTTAATAAAGATCACCCTCACAAATGCAGGTGAGCATCATCATCTAATTTGCTGAGAGCCTACATAGAACAAAAAGGCAGAGGAAGAGTTAGTTTGTTGCTGCTTGAGCTGGCATACCCATCCACCTTCTTCTGCCCTTGGACATTGATGCTCCTGCTTCTTGGCACCTACACCATCAGCTTCCCTGTTTCTCAAGCCTTCAGGGTGGAAATGAATTACAAAGCCAGCTTTTCTGGTTCTCCAGCTTGTAGACAGCAGATACTGGGACTTCTAGATCTCCATAATCATCATGTAAGCCACTTCATTCATATATATATATATATATATATATATATATATATATATGAACAGAACCAATATATATATATTTGGTTCTGTTTCTCTGAGAACTCTAATACATCTTCCATTACCCACTGTTGAGGAAATACAATTTAAAATAAAATCTCCCAGCCCAGAAAACATTTCCACAATGGTAGTAGAGAAATAAAGCAATTTTATTATTGAATAAGCAATAAACCAAAATGTGATGTGCATCACAAGCAATCTGCTAAAAGAGTGCAGAGACAGGAAAAAAAATTTACTCTTTTATATAGTCAAGCAGACACAACTCATTACTTACAGGTTTTCCAGATAAAGAATAAGAGGACTTGACAGCACCATCTGTCACACATAGTTCATCCTAGACTCACCTGGTAATTGGGGTGATGATCCGTGTTACCTAATTGGCTTTATACAAAGGAAAAATAGACTTATCTTATGACAGGAAGTAGTTCTACAACCTGAAGAAAGGTACCTCTGAAGTTAGGCTTCTACCTTCCCATAGAAACTGGGAAATAAAGAAACTATCTCCCTTGATGTTTACATTTCCAAGAGACGACTCCTAGGTCCTTGAGAAAGACATTTCTGGGTCATAAAGCTGGCAAAAAAATAAAACAAACTTATCTCACTTCTAAAAAGATTTATACACATTTCAAAGAAAGAAAAAAGTTATAATTATGAATTTCCTGAAGTTAATGTTTTAAGAAGAGAGAGAAGGGAGAAGTCTCTATCTTAATTTTTAACAATTAAGCATTTTACTTTTTATTTTTATTTGTCCGTAGACCACATACTCCAGCATTTACAAGGACATGTTGATATTGCTATATAATCGCCAGTCCTGCTTCTGATCATGATGTCCAGATGAGTCAGCCTGATGAGCTATAAAGGTACTCCTAAAATAATTCCTAGGGCTCTTTGATTCCCTAATGACGAAGTTCTTCCAGTGGTTACCATGGTCTTCTTTCAGTCCCAGAACATACAAATACTTCACAGGAGAATAGGAGGAAGATCCCCGGGTCAGGAGAGTGGACAAGCACAGCCTCACACTGGACCTGGAACATCTCTGTCTCCTCTAAAGTTAAGCCCAGGCTGCTAAACCACACCTACTGTATTAGTGCATTCTGGCACTACTACAAAGAACTATCTGAGACTGGGTAATTTATAAAGAAAAGAGGTTTAGTTGGTTCACGGTTCTGCAGGCAGTACAGGGGAGGCCTCAGGAAACTTACAATCATGGCATAAGGAGAAGAGGAAAGAGGCACATCTTACATGACCAGAGCAGGAGGAAGAGAGAGATGGGGGAGGTGCTACACAAACACGCTTTTTTTTTTTTTTTGAGACAGACTCTCGCTCTGTTACCCTGGCTGGAGTGCAGTGGCATGATCTCAGCTCACTGCAACTTCCGCCTCCCGAGTTCAAGTGATTCTCCTCCCTCAGCCTCCCGAGTAGCTGGGACTACAGGTGTGCACTACCACGCCTGGCGAATTTTTGTGTTTTTAGTAGAGATGGGGTTTCACCATATTGGCCAGGCTGCTCTCAAACTCCTGAGCTCAAGTGATCTGCCTGTCTCGGCTTCCCAAAGTGCTGGGATTACAGGCGTGAGCCACCATGCCTGGCCGGTGCTTCACACTTTTAAACAACCATATCTCATGAGAACTCACTCACTATCACAAGAACAGCACCGGGGAAGTCCACCCCCATGATTCAATCACCTCCCACCAGGCCCCTCCTTCAACACTGGGAATTACAATTCAACATGAGATTTGGGTGGGGACACAAATCCAAACCATATCACCTACCTTACCAGATTTCTCACATATGATTTTTCTCTCAGCTTCCAGAGTGCTTTCCTATAAGTCACTTCATTCAGGGACTACCTCAATTTCCAAATATGTTTATAAACGCTCTAATTATGAATGGGCTGTAAGTTCTTTTCTGTTGAAACTCCTGGACCTGAACTACATCAAGATATATGATCTAGCAACTATATTTAAATATTCAAATATTACAAAATAGGTGAAAGTTAGCTCAATATTATGACAAAAGGATTATCTAATCAAAACATATAAATGAGTTCAGTGGGGTGGTATAATTTTACTCTACCCATTAAACAGGATTCTCATTTAAACAAGATACCTAATTGAGTATATTTTGGTCATTACTGGGGCTGGCTAGCCTTATACAAAAGAAAGAATGAGTTAACAAAAACTGAGATCCCCACCTCCAGGAATAAAAAATAAGGAGAAGGAAGAAGAAGACAAAGGTAATAGAGTGAAATGCTATAAAAGAAAGAGAAAAGAGAGCTCCAAAGAGGGGGTAGTCAGCAGTATGGACTATTATAGGTTTAGAGAAATGAACACAAAAATCCCTTTGATTTTGAAAAACAAGAAGAAAATTTAAGTATGCTCTTAGGCATGTAGATTCAGTAAAATTATGAAATGGGAACCAAATCTCAGGGAACTAAAGATGGTCAAAGAAATAATATAAGAAATACATAAATTACATATTACTTAAGAAATTTTGCTTTAAAATAAATCCAAGACAGCTTGGATCAAAGTTTTGTTTCATTTGTCTTTTTTTTTTTGAGACGGAGTCTTGCTCTGTCGCCCAGGCTGGAGTGCAGTGGCGCTATCTTGGCTCACTGCAAGCTCTGCCTCCCGGGTTCACGCCATTCTCCTGGCTCAGCCTCCCGAGTAGCTAGGACTACAGGCGCCCGCCATCATGCCTGGCTAATTTTTTGTATTTTTAGTAGAGATGGGGTTTCACCGTGTTAGCCAGGATGGTCTCGATTTCCTGACTTCGTGATCCGCCCGCCTCAGCCTTCCAAAGTGCTGGGATTACAGGCGTGAGCCACCGTGCCTGGCCTTCATTTAGTTCTTAAGATAGAGAACCATACCTTCTTCAATAGGAGGAGAAAGGGCCAATTTGGTCAGAAGAAGAAAGTTGCCGTTTACAAAAAAAAAAAAAGACAGAATATTTGATTGAGAGTGTTCCAAGAGATGACAACAAAATAATATCAATAACACTAGCAATAAAACTCACACTAATAACTACACACATAACTAGAATATGTAATTCATCTTTAACTTCTGCTATAGGAAACGTCTCTATATCTTCCTCACTTCTCATGTTGTCTTCCTTGGTTTTAAACTATCTCGAGTCTCTCCAATTCTGAATAAATCATCTTTTGGGGCCTACACTTTCAAATTTTTATTCTAATATTTTGGAAGAATTCACTAACCAGGTATAACAAAGTAATTCTAATGGACTAACCCTCACACTATAAACACTTTTAAAAACTAGACAAAACATATGAAACAGCTGTTTTCATACATTGAACAAGAAGAAGCCAAGGACAGTGATCCCTGAGAGAAGAAAAACAAATTAGTTGAGCTCAAAGATAACCCAACCTCTCTACCTGGAAGTGTCTATTAGACACTAGTTTGGAAAGAGGGCAAACCCAAGCAGGGCACAGCATTGTCACTATGTGGAAGAGACAGGTTTGAGAATTCAAGGAAGCTGAAGCATCTGAAATCTGCAGGGCAGACTACCAAAAATGGGGAATCTTTGAGAAAGAGCTTCAGAAAACTTCATAGGGATGTCTTCTAGTTTATCTCTAAAAGTAATAAACTGTACACGCATACATGTGTTGAAATTTCACAAACCCAGGCAAAGAATCAATATAAAGAAAAACTACTGGAGAGGAGAAAGCTGAACAACTACAGAGCTTGATGAGGGTTAGACATTTGAAATCCAGCCAATCACAGTGGAAGGACTTCACTGAACACTCAGTGCCTTAGAAATTTCATACCTTAGCAGTGAGGAGAAATTAACCCTAAAAATAAAGTCTTATTCTAATATGCCTTAACAAAGCTTAAAAACAAGACTTCAAATAATCAAATAAATCTATAAATAAATTGGCAGGCTAGCAGTACAAACTATAACACTCTTTAAACGAAGAAAACAAACATTCAATAATATTTATTTTACATTTTTTTTTTAGAGATAAGGTCTCACTCTGTCACCCAGGCTGGAGTGCAGTGGTGCAATCATAGCTCAATGCAGGTTAGAACTCTTGGACAGAAGTAATCCTCCCATCTCAGCCTCCCAAGTAGCTGGGATGACAGGCATGTACTGCCATGCCTGGTTAATTTTTTCTATTTTTTGGAGAGATGTTGTCTCACTGTGTTGCACAGGATGGTCTCAAACTCCTGGCCTCAAACAATTCTCTAATCTTGGCCTCCCAAAGTGCTGGAATTACAGGTGTGAGCCACCACACCTGACCTTTGACAACATATATAATACCCAGCATACATTTAAAAATTACCAGAACAAAAATAAAAAGGAAATATGACCCAAAATGAAGAGAAAAATTAGTCAATACACTCAGAAATAATAGATATGATAGAATTCTTAGATAAGGAATTTAAACAGCTATGATAAATATTGCCTAAGATTTTTTAAAAATGTGAACATAAGGAAGAAAATGGAAGATATGAAAAAGAAGCAAATAAAACATATAGAGCTGAAGTGAATTCATTGGATGAGTTTAATAGCTGATTAAACACTTTACAGTAAAAGAATGTGAAGACTGGTATAAAAACAATCCAAACTGCAGGTTAAGGAGTGAGGGAAAGCTAAAAACAAAAGAGAACTTCATCAGCCTTTGAGACAAAATCACGAAACCTAATATATGCATAGTAGGGGGACCAGAAAAGAGGGTGAGGAAGAATATTTAAATTAAAAATTTTTTAAGAAATAATGACAAAATATTTCCAAATAGGATGAAAAGTATAAATTTACATGTTCACAAATCTCAATAAACATCAAGCAATATAAACAAAGAAAACTATACCTACACATGTCATAATTAAATTACTGAAAATCAATGATAAAAAATTAAAGTAATTAAGGGTTAACACAACCACACACAACACTATATATATATATATATACACACACACTCACACACATATACATACACACATACATATGTACACACAGACGTATATAATACTGCTGATGCCTCATTAGAAACCACACAAACCAGAAGGCAATGGAACAATATCTTTAAACTGCTGGGGAGTAGATGAGAAAAGGGAGAATAAACTATCAACTTAGAATTCTATATCCTCTAAAAACATTCTTCAAAAATAAATATTACATAAAAAATCAGAAAAATTTTTGTCATCACACCTTCACTGCTAGTAATGTTAAAGGAATTTCTTGAGGCCAAAAAGTAATCAAAATTCAGATCTACATACACACACACAAAAGGCCACTGGACGTGGTAAGTATGACTGTAAATATAAAACTTCCTTTTTAACCACTTTATTGATGTATGATTGACATACAAAAACTATGTATATTAATGTATACATCTTAATATATACAGTCTTGATTCAAAAACTTCACAGAGGCCCCTTCCCCTCCTCCTGCCCAGATTCATGTTTGAACAGCTAGCTTGCCTTCTTGCAGTTGAAAACCACAAGGTGGGCCTGAAGGGAAGAAAAGCCCCCCTTTATCATTGATTTTCAGTAATTTAATTATGATATGTGTAGGTATAGTTTGCTTTGGTTTATATTGTTTGGTGTTCGTTGAGATTTGTGAACATGCAGATGAGTTTGGAGATAAAGATTCACCAACGAAATCATCACCTCAATCCACACAGTAGGCCTATCCATCATCTCAGAAAGTTTCTTCCAACCTTCTCTATTTATTATTATCATTTTGTTTGTTTATTATAAGAACACTTAACATAAGATCTACTCTTTTAGCAAATTATTAAGTATACAATACAGCTTTTTTTTGTTTGTTTGGTTGGTTTTCTTGAGGGGAAAGCATGAACACAGTCCCCTACTACCACAAATTATGCAGTCAAGTCTACCACATTTGGGGAAATCACAGGAGTCAGCACACCCAGAGTGAATGGATCAGCCTCGCCCTGGGAAAACCACCTTCATGATCATGGTATCACCTCTGCCAGGTAAGGATTAATACAAGATTCTTAACTATAGGCATTATACTATAGAGTCAATTTCTAGGACTTTTTATTCATCTTGTGTAACTGAAATTTTGTACATTTTCACTAATACCTCCCTGTTCTCCTCTCCCTTCCAGTCCCTGGAAACACTATTCCACTTTTGGCTTTTATGTGTTTGACTATTTTAGATTAATTACATAAGTGGTATCATGTAGTATGTGTACTTTATATGATCTATTTCACTTAGCATTATGTCCTCCAGGTTCACCTATGCTGTCACAAATGGCAGGATTTCCTTCTTCATTAAAACTGAATAATATTCTATTGTGTGTATTTTCTTTATCCATTCATCCATTGATGGACATTTAGGTTGCTTTCATGTCTTGGCTATTGTGAATAATGCTGAAATAAACATAGGATGCAGATATATTTTTGAGATACTGATTTCAACTCATTTGGAGATATAGCCAGAAGTGGAATTGCTAGATCATGAGGTCATTGTTTTTTTAATTTGTTAAGGAACCTCCATATTGTTTTCTACAGTGGATGCACCAATTTACATTACCACCAATGGTACATAAAGGTTTACTCTTCTCCACATTCTTGCCAACATTTGTTATTTTTTTATGGTAGTCATCCTAAAAGATATGAAGTGATAGCTCATTATAATTTTGGTTTGCATTTTCCTGATGGTTTGTGATATTAAGCACCTTTTCAGATATCTGTTGTTCCTTCATATGTCTTCTTTGAAGAAATGTTTACTCAAGTCCTTTGCCCATTTTTTAATTAGATTATTGTGGGGTTGTTTTTTGTTTTTTTGCTATTGAGTTGGAGGACGTCCTTATATATTTTGGATAGTAATCCTTGACATAGTTTGGATGTTTGTCCTGTCCAAATCTCATGTTTAAATGTGATCCCCAATGTTGGAAGTGGGGCCTGGTGGGAGGTGTTTGGGTCATGGGGAGGATCCCTTATGAATGGCTTGGTGCTATCCTCATGGTAATGGGTGAGTTCTCCCTCTATCAGTTCACATGAGAGCTGATTGTTTAAAAGAGTATGGTACCCCTTCCTCTCTCTTGCTCCCCCTCTTACCATGTGACACACCTGATCCCCTTTTGCTTTATGTCATGAGTCAAAGCTTCCAGAGACCCACCCCAGAAGCAGATGCTGGTACCATGTTTCCTGCACAGTCTTCAGAACTGTGAGCCAAATAAACCTCTTTTCTTTATGAATTACTCAGTTTCAGGTATTCCTTTAGAACAATGTAAAACAGACTAATACAGAAAATTGGTACCAGGAGTGGGGTTTGCTATGAAGATACCTGAAAGTGGGGAAGCTGCTTTGGAAATGGATAACAGGCAGAAGTTGAAAGAGATTGGATGTTTCTGAAGAAGACTGGAAGATGAGGGAAAAATTAGGATTTCTTAGAGACTTGTTAAGAGGTTGTGACCAAAATGCTGATAGAAACATGGACAGTGAAGGCCAGGCTGATGAGGTCTCAGACTGAAATAAAGAATTTATTGGGAATGGGAATGAAAGTCACCCTTGTTATGCCCTAGCAAAAATCTTGGCAGCATTTTGTCCATGTCCTAGGGATTCGTGGAAGGTTGAACATAAGAATGATGACCCAAGGTATCTGGTGGAGAAATCTTTAAGCAGTAACATATTCAAAATATGGTGTAGCTGCTTCTAACAGCCTACAATCAGATGTGGAAGCAAAGGAATGACTTAAAGTTGGAAATTATAATTAAAAGGGAAGCAGAGGAAAAAAATTGGAAAATCTGCAGCCTGGTCATGTGGTAGAAAAAGAAAAAGCATTTTCAAGACAGAAATACACATAGGCTATAGAGCAGCCACTTGCTAGAGAGATTTTATGACTCAAATAGAGCAAAGCACTAACAACCAAGACCATGAGAAAAGGCTTTCAAGGAATTTTGGAAATCTTCAAAGCAGTCCCTCCCATCACAGGCGAGATCACACAGTGCAATCTCGGCTCACTGCAACCTCCGCCTCCCGGGTTCACGCCATTCTCCTGCGTCAGCCTCCCGAATAGCTGGAAATACAGGTGCCTGCCACCACGCCTGGCTAATTTTTTATATTTTTAGTAGAGATGGGGTTTCACTCTGTTATCCAGGATGGTCTTGATCTCCTGACCTCGTGATCCACTTGCCTCAGCCTCCCAAAGTGCTGGGATTACAGGCATGAGCCATCACTCCAGGCCAAGAACTTTTTTTTAGAGAGAGGTCTCGCTCTGTTGCACAGGCTGAAGTGCAGTGGTACAACCATGGCTCACTGCAGCCTCAAACTTCTGGGCTCAAGCAATCCTCCTGCCTCAGCCTCCTGAGTAGCTAGGATGACAGGTGTGCACTACCATGCCCAGCTACTTTTTAATTTTTTGTAGAGACAGTGTCTCACTATGTTGCCCAGGATGGTCTTGAACTCCTGGCCTCAAGCAATCCTCCACCTAAGCCTCCCAAAATGCTAGGATTACAGGTGCATGCCCTGCTTTAGAATAAAGCAATTGTATGACTCAATAATAAAAAACAAAAATTATCTATTTTTAAGTGGGTAAAATATTTAAACTAACTTCACAAAAATGATACAGAAACTGTTAATAAGCATATGAAAATGTGTTCAACATCACTGGTCATCAGGGAAATGCAAATTAAATTAAGAATGAGAAAATCCAACCCCTACTATCATATCTAATTTTTTTAAACTGACAACAGCAAATGTTGGTGAAAATGTGGAACAACTAGAACTCTCATATAGTTGATGGGCCTGTGAAATGGTGCAACCTCATTGGAAAACAGGTTGGCTGTTTCTCAAAAAGTGGAACATACACAGACCTTATGACTCAGGAATTTCACTTTTAGTCATGTACCTAAAGTAAATAAAAATAGACACCCACAAAAATATTCCTACATGAGTATTCACCATGACTTTATGTATAATAGTAAAAACTAAAACAACCCAAACACTCATTGACTAATATATGAATAAATAAGACGTGTATATTCATACAATGGAAACTCAGCACTTTTTTTTTTTTTTTTTTTTTTTTTTGAGACAGGGTCTCACTCTGTTTCCTAGGCTGAAGAGCACTGTAACGATCATGGATCACTGCGGCTTCAACCTCTTGGGCTTAAGCATTCCTCCCAGCTCGGCCTCCCAAGTAGGTGAGACTACAGGCACATGCCACTGTGCGCAGCTAAATTTTTATTTTTTGTAAAGACTTGGTTTCACCATGTTGCCCAGGCTGGTCTTGAACTTCTGGGCTCAAGCAATCCAACCCCCTAGGACTCACAAAGAACTGGGATTACAGGCATGAGCCATGGCACCCTGAAACTCAGCACTTTAAAGGAATTAGCTTTTTATACTTAACAATGTGGATGAATTTCAAAAACATTTTGCTAAGTGAAAGCACCGTGACACAAAAGAATACACATACCATATGATTCCATTTATATAAAAATCACGCAATAGATGACACTAATCTACAGACATAGAAATCAGACAGCGGTTGTTGGGGTGGGAGAGAGAGTCCTGAGATAGAACTGCAAATGAGCACAAAAGAATTTTTTCAAAGTGCTAGGAAAATTCTGCATCTTAATTGAAGTGGTGATTACATGTGTGCATACATCTGTCAAAACTCTTCAAACTGTATACTTAAAAATGAATGTATTTTATTTCTACTTAAATCATCCTCATTAGCGTTGATTTTCAAGTTACAATTCCAACTCTTATGTTCCTGTTTTGCAGAGAGCCTTCTCCAATAATTAGTTACACATGCAATATCCATGAACTCTCTACATGACCCTCAATACTTTAGGCCCCTGTCTTTTCATTTATCCCCATAAGATAGTTCACAAGAAAACTGAATGCAATTTCTTTTTTTTTTTTTTTTTTTTTGAGACGGAGTCTCGCTCTGTCGCCCAGGCTGGACTGCGGACTGCAGTGGCGGAATCTCGGCTCACTGCAAGCTCCGCTTCCCGGGTTCACGCCATTCTCCTGCCTCAGCCTCCCGAGTAGCTGGGACTACAGGCGCCCGCCACCGCGCCCGGCTAATTTTTTGTATTTTTAGTAGAGACGGGGTTTCACCTTGTTAGCCAGGATGGTCTCGATCTCCTGACCTCATGATCCACCCACCTCGGCCTCCCAAAGTGCTGGGATTACAGGCGTGAGTGAATGCAATTTTTATTCTGTTCAATCTCACATTTCTGAATACATGGCCATTTTTATATTATTGACCAAATTGACTACCTTTGATTCAATTCAGTTCATTAAAGGACCCCATTTATTTATTAAGATGTCAATAATTTTCCTTCTTGGAGAACTGAGAAATCCAAGATCTAAAAACTTACAAAATTAAAAGATTCTCAGACTTTGGTTAATTACCTCAGGAGTGCAGGAATGATTGATACCAATTAGAATTTAGAAAACTACAAATTCCTCAGCTTGACTTGTGAATAAACTTTTAGTGAGAACTTCCCTATCTCCTGGGACTCTCTGGAGCAAATCCATGCAGACTGATGTCTCATAGGAACCTGTGAAAATGTCCCACTAACAAATTGTTATTTTCAGAGAAGGTATCCTGACCTAGCAGGAACAGATGAATTAATTACTCTCAATACAATTCTCCTAAATGCTGAAGAAACCTTGCCATGTCATGAAAGCTTTATGAATACAATTCAGTAATGCATAAGGACACTTGCATTAAAGTATAGAAAAAGAGATTCATTTTCTGTGCAGAAAAAAAAGAAAAATTTTCTGTTCCAATTATACTGCCTTTATAACCCAGCTCTCCTTTTCTGTCAGTCTACTGTGGGCAAGGACACACCTTGCGGCTGGAAGTGTTTTCCTGGAAATCAGTAGTGCTGTAAGTATTGCTTTGTCACCAAGAAAGAGTACTATTTTGGAAAAACCTTTGCTTTTCTCTAGAATGAATTGATACAGCTAGACTTGACCCCTTGAAGTCTTAAAGTAAATCCTAATAAATCAATTTTGGTATCATGTAGAAAAGTCATCACAATGACCTGGACTTGGATCTTCCTCAGAAAAGCAGTCTTTATTCACCACATCTTACCTAGAACCATCAGTCCTTGAAAGGAATTTCAAATTGGTTCTTCATTCAAGTTTCAGCTTAGCACAAGTCCCCTGAGTGATGAATCTTGGTTTATTTCTCTTTGTGAAGCTTATTCTATATGTACTTAATGTTTCTGTTTTAGAGTTCTACACCACTGGGCATATTCAAATTTATTCCATAATCAAAGTCTTGAAAATTGAAATTGGTCTTCATCAGCAATTTAAAAACAAACAAATAAATAAACAAACAAGACTTGGAACATTTTGCTGTTATCCAGAGAAGAAAATATGTTAATACTTTTCTTCTTTTTGTCTTCTTCTAAAACTATAAAAAGTTTTAGAAAATGTGGGATTCTTTATCGCACAACAAAACTCAGAAAAAAATGACTCAATACAATTTCAAGCAATTGAGCATTAAATGAGTTAAGAAAATTATCTGTACTCAGGCAGCCTGAAGAAGCTGGGAAAAGAACCAGAACACAGTAAAAACAAAACAAAACACCAGCATATCCCTGATTAGGGAAAGATGGAGCAGAAAGGTTTTCATGCGGCAAAACTCACATCAGAAAAAGTTGGAAGCAGAAGAAAACTTGGAGACAAATTATTTAGCAAAGAGTCCCTGTTATGATATGACTTGAGCACTTGAAATACAGGAAACGGTGACATGTATAAACATGTGCATGTGTCAGTTTCCATAAACTTCTAGGTAACTGGGGACAGAGTGTCAACAAGCTATCCATTTATATAATCATTTAGAAACTATGTTTTGAGAGCTTATTTTGTGTCAAGCTCTATGCTTCGGCCCTGCAGACACTGTTGCTGCCTGCAAGGGGCTTAGAGTCTATAGCAGACACCAAGCAAACAATAAACACAATTCTGCAAAGTGTTCAGGTATAGATATGCACAGGGCATTAGAAAAGTGTGTAGGAGCAGCACCTTAACTGGACTAGAGGTGGCAAGTTAAGGAAGGCTTCCCATGGAGGTGGCTCCTAAACTTAAATCTAGAATTCAGACAAGACTTAGCCAAATAATGGAGAAAGTCGGGAAGGGTATTTCTGGTGAAGAGAACAGCAGGTGCAATGACTGGGAGGCAAGAAAGAAGATGGCATAATTGGGGAACTAGAGCAGGAGTCAGCCAGCTGTTTCTGTAAAGGGCCAGATAGCAAACCTTTTAGACTTTGGGGGTCATATGGTCTCTGTCACAATTACCAAACTTCACCATGATAGCACAAAAGCAGCCACAGGCAATAGGTAAACAGATGAGTGTGGCTATGTTTTAGTGAAACTTTACAAAAACAGGGCCATAGTTTGCTAACCTCTAAACCTGAGTAATTCAGTAAGTGTGGAGCATAGAAGAAGGCAGAAGGAAAAATGGCAAATGGCAGAAAATCATGCTGGAAAGGTAGGTAAGACCAGATCATCGGTGGTCTTAAATGTCATGCTGAGGAGTCTGGGATGTTAACTTCAAGATTCTGAGGAGTGGCGTAGTCAGAATTCGAATGGTCCCCCTTGCTACAGTTTGAACCATCGGTAGGAAAGAGCACAGCAAGTCAGGAGACAGGGAGTCCTGTTAGGAGGCTGTGTTCGAATCCTGATGGGAGATGACAGCATGATTTACCGGAGCCAGGGAGAGACGGAAAGGACACACACTAGAGAGTGAGTAAGAAGTAAAGTTAACAGGATCTGGTGACTTGGACCCTGGTGGATATGGAGGAATCCATTTGACCCTATACATTGTGACTTTTTAAAAGGAAGAAGAAGTCTAGAGTGTAGGATTGAATTGTAATAGGCATATAGACTGCAGTGTTTAATCCAGCATCTTAGCTCTATAACTTTAGGTTCCTTGGGTTGCTTTCCTGTGTTTCTCTGAACATTGCTTTTACCTGCTAACTTGAGACATCCCCACCTCCCTCTGCATCTCACAAAACTTCTCATGTGCTCAAAACCCAGTCCGTGCAGCTGTCAGGACAGCTACTGCCTGATTCCTCATTTCTGCCACTTCTACTTGCTCAGCATTCCTTCTGCTGTGGACCAGCCCCCTCAGCAGGCACTGCCACTTCTGCTGGTATCATTTCTGCTGCCACTGCTGCTGCTACTCCTGGGCCCTCATGCTACCAAACCAAGCCATGTTCCTGACAAAAGCAGAGAGAGTATGTCTGTCCCCTGTATGTGTCCCACATGGTCACCTGGATACCACGGCAGTACTGTCTGTGACCAGAATCTCAAAAGAGGTCATTCACATACCACCTGCAGCCCCTTCCTCCATGAAGCTTAGATCCACATGTACATGTGTTACAGAGAATGGCTGACACCATACTTCACACACACACACACACACACACACACACACACACACTTGCAAACTCCGTGACTCAAGATTCTGTCCTCCAAAAGCTTCATGAATCTCTCGTGTAAACTGTTCTAACTGTTAATTTACCATAAGTGCCAGGACAAGCCTGACTCCCAGCTCCAGCTCAAGTGAAATTCTCTGCTCTGGTTCTATTTCACAAAAACTGAATCCTTGTCTGGAATGCATTCCCCCTCTCTCCTTACTTCACTTTCATTTCCTTTTGAACTCTAGGACTCAGCTTAGGCCTCTCCTTCTTTAGAAAAACTTCCTTAACCCCTGCTAAAGATGGGCGAAGAGCCCCTTCTAAGTGTTTCTAAAACAATCTGTGCACAGCTCTACACTTTCCCTCACTGAGTCATGTTGCAATTATTATACTATATATAGTATCCACCTATCTATCTATCTATCTATCTATCTATCTATCTATCTATCTATCTATCTATCTATCCACCTATCTATCTATCTATCTGATAAGCTCTTTAATTGCCTGGCAGTACTTGAAGCATAGTAAGCTCTCAACAAATGCTTGTGGAATTCATAGGTCTAATTCTCCAAATGGTAGAATGTGTAGCCCTTGGAAATGTTATATTGAGCTATAGAGATTGCCACTCTTCTCTGCATGGGGAATGAAGATAATTCCATATCTATCCTATATAAAGAGATCACGTTCGTGGCCAGTTATATTGGCCATTAGTGCAAATTCAAATACTTCTCTGTCTCTCATCGTTTTGTGGAAAGGCACTAGAGCTTGTGACATTGTAGACAAAGAATCTTTTCCTGGTCTAGAAAAGAGGTGGGAGAAAATGGAAGTGTTTTTCTTCCCTAAGCAAGCCCTCAGAGAATTACAGTTATCTCACATGAGGGAAGAATGAAACAACCTATCAATGACCTGTAAGTTGCCTCTTTCATGCTAAGCTTCTTATGTACTTTGAAAAATGTGAAATTCATTTCACAGTAATTTGTCTCACCCATTTCAAAGGAAACCCACATGGAAGAATAGCCTCAATAAGAAAGGAAGTAGTTTTACTATTTTCTACTGAATTTTGGTAGAACAGAAAGGATGTTCTCAGCCCATGAATTTGCATATACAAATAGAAATACTTTACTTGGTATAAAAAGACATTTAGTCACAAAAAAAATTTTGACAAAAATGTACTTTTCAGAGTTCCCATTTTGTTATCCTTAGCATTTGCTAACCTTTCACTTTTGTAGATTAGTGTCTGCAGATCTTTATCCCATGTACATTTATTAGGTGCTTCCATATAACAGGCTTTGACTCAGCTTGTTCTGAAATTTTGAATTTGAGTTGAATATTTCTCTACTTCCTAAACAGTTTTATTCATTTAGTTTTAAATGTTATTTTTGATACCTTTAGCAAAGGAGTCTGAACTAGAATGTGGAAGTGGATTCTTCAGAAAAACACCTCTTCTGTTATCTAACTTTATCTCACCACTAATATAATAGCAATGATTTGGGGTTATTTTAAGACACACACTCACACCCACACACAATAATGGCTTCCTTAAACGTATCTGTAATGTAATCAGTAACTTCTTTTTCAGACTCTGAGAATAGGGATTAATTTCTTATGAACTCACAGCCACGTTTACGTACATAAGTTGGTATACACACTATGCATTGAAAATAGTTATATGAATAATTGACAAGAAGCAACCACATTTCACATGATTATTCTCATAGTTGTATAAGGGTGAAAAAACACTTTGCATTCATCAAGTGTTTTTAATACATTCAAAGTCCATTAGAAGCTGGTTTTGCTGACAAAAGAACCAGCCAAATCATCAGTAAAGAAGGGGTGGCCAGTGCGTATTTGTATGTGGGTGAGGGAGGACCTGAAATAGAGTCAGGTCCCGAAGGACCTTACATAGTCAGAATCCTCCTTATTTTTTGTCCCAACTATAATCAACTGTGCTCTAAGATTCTAAGGAGCTTTCTTGCTTGTCTTTCTAGGGTATCAAGGGACATGAGAAATGGCACAGTAATCACAGAATTCATCCTGCTAGGCTTTCCTGTTATCCAAGGCCTACAAACACCTCTCTTTATTGCAATCTTTCTCACCTACATATTAACCCTTGCAGGCAATGGGCTTATTATTGCCACTGTGTGGGCTGAGCCCAGGCTACAAATTCCAATGTACTTCTTCCTTTGTAACTTGTCTTTCTTAGAAATCTGGTACACCACCACAGTCATCCCCAAACTGCTAGGAACCTTTGTAGTGGCAAGAACAGTAATCTGCATGTCCTGCTGCCTGCTGCAGGCCTTCTTCCACTTCTTCGTGGGCACCACCGAGTTCTTGATCCTCACTATCATGTCTTTTGACCGCTACCTCACCATCTGCAATCCCCTTCACCACCCCACCATCATGACCAGCAAACTCTGCCTGCAGCTGGCCCTGAGCTCCTGGGTGGTGGGCTTCACCATTGTCTTTTGTCAGACGATGCTGCTCATCCAGTTGCCATTCTGTGGCAATAATGTTATCAGTCATTTCTACTGTGATGTTGGGCCCAGTTTGAAAGCCGCCTGCATAGACACCAGCATTTTGGAACTCCTGGGCGTCATAGCAACCATCCTTGTGATCCCAGGGTCACTTCTCTTTAATATGATTTCTTATATCTACATTCTGTCCGCAATCCTACGAATTCCTTCAGCCACTGGCCACCAAAAGACTTTCTCTACCTGTGCCTCGCACCTGACAGTTGTCTCCCTGCTCTACGGGGCTGTTCTGTTCATGTACCTAAGACCCACAGCACACTCCTCCTTTAAGATTAATAAGGTGGTGTCTGTGCTAAATACTATCCTCACCCCCCTTCTGAATCCCTTTATTTATACTATTAGAAACAAGGAGGTGAAGGGAGCCTTAAGAAAGGCAATGACTTGCCCAAAGACTGGTCATGCAAAGTAAAACATGCAACACATCAAAGTGAGCTTAATGCAGATAAAAACAATGAAAGTTGAGAGAGGATTTTGGAGAAGTTTGGTAAAACAGGCTCCCCCCAAATCCCAGAAGTTCTGATTCAATGCTATAGTAAGATAAAGATGCAAAAGCAAACCATGATGGTTAAGGTCTCCCATGAGAACTTGTTACATGTAAATGAACTAGGAGTTTTTCTTGAGAAGAAACAATGTAATTCTTCAACAAGGAAGTCCCAGTATATCCTCAGATGCATGAAGTAGAACTCTGGACTTGTCAACTGCAAACTGAAAGTAGAAACCACTAAGGTCAGAGACAAATGTCAACAACTTTAAAAATGTATAAGGAATCCTGTCTCCCTCTTTATTTATGACCACCATCTTTTTTTTTATGACCACCCTCTTTGCCTCATCTTCTTGTCAAAAACATAAAACATTCCACATCTCATTTTCTTAGTTCCTATCATCTTTATCATGAGAGAAGCACGCTACAGACTTCTAATAATTCTAATGGTCCTTCCAAAATATTTGAAATGAATCAGCTTTTTGTTTGATAATATCTCAATAAGGGGACTTCCATCTTGAAATAATACAAATTTTTAGATAAACTTAGAGGTGTTCATCCTCAGATAATACCAAAACTTGAGAACATCTTGTAAAAAATTTCCATTTGCAGTTCATGGATTACAGCAGTTTCTGGGCTCCAATATAAGTAGACCATGTACCTAGGAAGCTAGGAAAAGTCTCAGAGCCAATATATCTAGAAACACTTTCCTACTGGAAAATGCAGCCCCAAGGTTACATGAAGTTCAGGGCTCACATGTAGGATTGTCACCAAAACCCCCAGGGTTCAGTCAGGTCCTGGTGTTTGCTGCACAGAACATCAATCACTGAGTCACTGAGCATTGCCAGGGAAGAAGGCTTTAACTGAATGCTGCAGCCAAGAAAAATGGGAGGTAGAGTCTCAAATCCATCTCCCCAACCAACTAAATTTGGGAGGTTTATATATAGTGGAAGGGAGGGAGAATAGGAGTTAGAGAGGGGTAAGGAAGAAGAGCTGGTAAGGTGAGAAAATAGGAATTAGGGAGGGGTAAGGAAGCCATCATGATGAATGAGGGGCCTGGCATCTTGTTGTCCGGATTGGTGATCTAGTGGGTTTCAGTCTCTTGCCTGAGGGTCAGTTTCCTGAGGAAGGAACTCAGTTAAGACAAATGTAAGTTTCAGGTTTTAAGACAGAGTGTCAATTTCTGTGTTCATTTAAAAATCCATAAATATCTTTTGTGTGGAACAATTGGGCTGGTTTCAGGGTTAGTGTGCAAAGTCCCTCAAAGTAGGCTACAAACCTACTGATCTGACCCTTGTCTTCAGGCAAGATATCTTTTTAGGGAATGATGATGCAGGTGATTCAGTTTGTGATAATGAGTATTAGATATGTCTCTTCCCAACAGTAAAGAAAAACTAGCATTAAAAGACCATTAAAACTATGACTAAAAAAAAAAATTACTGCTGTAAACCAAATTCTAAGGGCCTCTCAACCATCTGAATGGACTCCTCCTCTTGGCCAGGGCACTCCAAAGTTAACCTGAAAGACTGGTTTGGGTCATGACGGGAAGAAGGGGTCAGACACACCTCATTATGCCCTCCTCCCTTTTGGAATTCAGGAAAAGCCAACCAGCATTTAACATCAACACAGACCTGAAGTGTGATAAGAAACATTTACAAATGTACAATCTATTCTCTCTGAAGCTTACTACCTGGAAGCTTCATTTGCATGATAAAACTTTGGTCTCCACAACCCCTTATCATAACCCAGACATTCCTTTCTATTGATAGTAACTCTTTCAACCAATTGCCAATCAGAACATTTTTAAATCTACCTATAACCTGGAAGCCCCCCACTCCCCACTTCAAGTTGTCCTGCCTTTCTGGACAGAACCAATGTATACCTTAAATGTATCTGACTGATGTCTCATGTCTCTCTAAAGTGTATAAATCCAAGCTGTGCCCCAACCACCTTAGGCACATGTTCTCAGGATCTCCTGAGGGCTGTGCCACAGGCCATGGTCACTCATATTGGGCTCAGAATAAATCTCTTCCAATATTTTGCAGAGTTTGACTCCTTTCATCAACACTGCACACATTCCTTTTAATATTGAATTGAAAATTCAAAACAAAATGTAATGAGGCAAAAATATTATTATCTCAACTGCTGTACCTGATTTTCTCTTAGAGAGGGAACTGTCTTGGAGCTGTGCAGGAGAAATAGATCATTTGGAGATAAAGGAAGAGAGAGAACCTAAGGACATCAATATTATCATGAGCTCTGTCATCAAAGAATGGTTTAGAGTGCCCTGAATGAGGAAAAAAAGGTAATAGTTAATATTTCTCAAAAAAGAAAATGACAGAGAAAGGAAGAAAAAAGGAACCCCAAAATGGAGCAAAGCAGAGGAGTCTGTGGGAAGAAGTCAGTGGAAATTCCCCAGCGTCAGGGCACCTAGAAAGCAGTTTAAGAATGGGGATGCCTAATGCTCAGTTTGAAGTCACATTTCTACAATGTTAATCTGTCTCCCCCTCAAACCTTCAGTAAAGTCTTCTATATTACCAAATGCATGTATGAACAGAACATGCATGTCACATGCATTCATATATGTGTGCGTTGTGTGTGAGTCAAGGAGGAATAACGTTTCATGTCTGGAATGACATAATTTGGATTAGAAACAGCCCATAGAGAATCTCACAGAGATGGCCACAGAATACGCAGAAATTTTAGGAAGCACTTCACATTTGCAGGGGCTTGGGCAAGTACTCAAGGTAACCTAAATCTAGAGGTGTTGGAACATCTGGGTTATATTATTATTTTAAAAAAGTTTTTAAAAATTTGCCTTCAAATCTCATAAATATTAGTTTCTCTGGGCCTAGCCTATGACCTTAAGGGTTTCATGTCTAATGGCAGACAGAGGGTAGGATAAAAACATTTTGGCAGATCCAAGAAAAGGAGGAAGGGGGGAAGAACAGGTATGAGAATACCACCAGGCTTCAATTCATGAAACTTCAAATAGACAACATTTATTCATGCATGTTTATGTCTTACTGATATATTGATATCATGTACCACGCTATGTTCCTGGTACTGATTCTACCGGGAAAAAACGTGTGTGTTTGTGTGTGTGTGTGTGTGCATTTGTGTGTGTGTGGGTATTAGTCTGCAGGGGTATTAGTTCTCGGAGTTGGAAATCCTAGAATTACAGAAGTCTATCCAACGGTGAAGCCTCCTGAACATCAAGAATGATATGAATTACAAGAAGACTTTCAGGGAACCATGCCTAAAATCTGACTTTCCTTCACCTACAGGGGAGGCAAAGACATGAAGGAGATTGTGGGCAGCCTCCAGTGTCCAGAGAAGGTAGAGTGCTGTTTTAAAGAAAAGGAGCCGTGGCCACAGAGACAAGACAGAACTTGAGACCTCACATTGTACCCTACTGTTTCTCAGGTCTCTAAAGCCAAAATGTCTTTCCTATTCTACTTTTCTCCAGAAGAGTAAGGAATTACACAAAGATCCATTCAAACAATATCACGAACAACCTACCCAGATCCCTGGATATTATTTTTCTAGTATCAATAACTTTAATGACAAAGTTGAGCACCTGGATAGACCTGAAACAAATCTTTAACAATGAACTTTAGAGTTAATTTGTTTTTGAAAATACACACACTTCAGTATAGCAGTGTTTTCATGATGCCACAGGATATTCATAAACAGGACTCAGAATTCAAACTGGGTGGGGGGAATGCAGAGTTAGAAAAGATTAAGTAGGTTCCTTCACTATTGAACTTCTAAGAATCCATAACACTAAATTAGAAAAAAAAATTTCCAAATCTCAAGCATATGTGTATGAAAGTACCTCCTATATGACCTTGAACCCAGCATAGCTTTATTCATCCTATCTTGGAATTCATTAAGACTTGTGCCCATACAGAAACAGACACAGAGACCAATGGAACAGGTTAGAAAACCCAGAAATAAAGCCACACACCTGCAACCATCTGATCTTCAACAAAGTTGACAAAAACAAGCAATGGGGAAAGGACTCCCTATTCAATAAATGATGCTGGGACAATTGGCTAGCCATATGCAGAAGATTGAAACTGGATCCCTCCCTTTCACTATATACAAAAATCAGCTCAAGATGGAGTAAAGATTTAAATATAAAACCTAAAACTATAAAACACCCTAGAAGAAAACATAGGAAATAGCATTCTGGACATAGGACCTGGCAAAGATTTCATGATGAAGACTCCAAAGGCAACTGCAGCAAAAACAAAAATTGACAAGTGGGACCTAATTAAACTAAGGAGCTTCTGCACAGCAAAAGAAACTATCAACAGGGTACACAGACAACCTACAGAATGGGAGAAAACATTTGAAAATTATGCACCTGACGAAAGTCTAATATCCAGAATCTATAAGGAACTTAAACAATTCAACAAGCAAAAAACAAACAATTCCATTAAAAAATGGGCAAAGGACATGAACAGACACTTCTCAAAAGAAGACATACATGTGGCCAACAAATACAAGGAAAAAAATGCCCAACATCACTAATCATTAAAGAAATACAAATCAAAACTACAACGGGATACCATCTCATACCAGTCAGAATGGCTATTATTAAAAAGTAAAAGAGAAATAACAGATGCCGGCAAGGTTGCAGAGAAAGGGGAATGAATATACACTGCTGGTGGGAATGTAAATTAGTTCAGCTACTGTGGAAAGCAATTTGGAGATTTCTTGAATGTAAAACAGAATTGCTATTTGACCCAGCAATCCCATTACTGGGTTTAAACCCAAAAGAATATAAATCCTTCTACCATAAAGACACATGCACACATATGTTCATTGCAGCACTATTCCACAATAGCAAAGACATGGAATCAACCTAAATACCCCTCAATGGTGGACTGGATAAAGAAAATGTGGTACATATATACCATGGAATACTATGCAGCCACAAAAAAGAATGACATCATGTCTTCTGCAGCAAAATGGATGGAGCTGGAAGCCATTATTGTAAGCAAATTAACGCAGGAACAGAAAACAAGATACCACATGTTCTCACTTATAAGTGGGAGCTAAACATTGAGTACACACGGACACCATGGAGACAACAGACACTGGGGCCTACTTGAGGGTGGAGGGAGGGAGAAGAGTGAGGATCAAAAAACTACCTACTGGGTACTGTGCTCACTACCTGGGTGATGGGATCATTTGTGCATCAAACCTCACTGACAAGCAATTTACCCCTATAACAAACCTGCACGTGTACTCCCTCGACCCAAAATAAAAGTTGGAAGAAAAAAAAGACCTGTCCCATAATTATTGAAAACCAGAGCAATTGTCATTCCAAAATAATACTTTACTTTACAATCCTCTACTTAACCAATCAGTGATAGTCTTCAAGATCCTGCCTTATTGAAGCAAAACTTCCAGTTCTTATCCTAGATTTCATCTTTCCTCTTTTAACTCAGAAAGACTCACTCCCATCACATTGAATGATATAGCTCTCCCTTACATGTCAAGTAATAAACTCGACTTTGTTTTTCATTTCTAGGGATCTTCACATGCATTATAAATTTCCAAAAGGAGGATAGAGTATATGGTCTTTTCCAAGCTTATCCAGCTACAGACCATTTTTCTCAACGTGTCTCAGACTAGATCTCCTGCTGTCTTCCTTAAGGTATATCTCTAAAGCCACCTCTGTTTTTATCAGGACCTTATGACTCCATGGTATTCACAAATGACCAGCTAACTTGGGGATCAGAGTGTAAAAATCAAATATGAGAAAATATAAAGTATAATATAGACACATTTGAATGCAGATAATTATATACTTATCCAGGTATCTAATCTAGTGCCTGACCAAGTGGCTCACCACCAGGTCACTTAGAATTACAAATTCTTCTTGCAAGTCTAAATGACTCTAATTATAAAAATGTCATGTACAAATAGCTCTTCCAGAACGATTCACTTTCTATACTTGGTGTTCAGCCAGACTTGGATTGAATAACTAGGAGAGTGGAACTCCTATGCACACTTTCAGCTGAGCTCACTTCACTATTACTAATTATCCCTGCCATTTCTTCAACTTTTGGAAAATAACCTCTCTCTATCCTATTTTCCTAACAATTTTTGTAACAATAACCATTTTTCTAACAATTAGTTCTTTGCTCTGCATCAAATAGTTTTAAAGAAATAACCCAATGCCCTCCATATCTACTATTATTGCTTTAGTCCAAGTACCTGATCTACAGTAATAGCTTCCTAAGTTATCTCTCCTCATCCACTCATGGTCCCCTCCATTCTCCTCGGTGACCAGAAAGATCTTATAAAGGTGCATATCTAATCATGTTGCTTAATTAATAAAAAATCTCCAATGGCTTCCCATTAATTTTATTAATTTTATTTATTTATTTATTTATTTATTTATTTATTTATTTATTTTTTGGAGACAGCATCTCACTCTGTTGCCCAGGCTGGAGTGCAGTGGCACGATCTCGGCTCACTGCAACCTCTACCTCTGGGGTTCAAGTGATCCTCCCACCTCAGCCTCCTGAGTAGCTGGGATGACAGATGCATGCCACCACACCTAGCTAAGTGAGTGTGAGTGTGTGTGTGCATTTTTTTTGTAGAGACAGGGTTTTACCATGTTTCCTAGGCTGGTCTCGAACTCCTAAGCTCAAGGGTTCCACCCACCTCAACCTCCCAAAGAGCTGGGATTATAGGTGTGAGCCACCATACCTGACCAGCTTCTCATTAATTTCAGCAGTTAATTTGGCCTATAAGACCATTAGTCTATTAGGTCTGATCTCTGTCCACAATATCAGGCCTCACAAATTCCTCTATTGCTGTCAGACCGCAGCCACACCAGCCTCTTCTCAGTTTCTCCAGTACACCAAGGCTCCTTCCCATTTCAGAGCTGTGGTATACACTATTTCCCATTACTTCAAGTATTCTTTTTTACTCACCTCAGTAAAAGGAAAACAAAATCTTGGGACCCCAAACTCACTATGCCAAAGGGAAAAGCTATGCTTGGGAGCTAAATCACGCAAAAACTGCCTTCCTTTTTTTTTTGTTTCTAAACACATACTTTTTGTTTCTAAACACATGTGTTTCTGAAATTCCTTTTGTTTCTAGGCATATTTACTTTACTTCACATTTACTTTACCTCATAGAAAATGCAGATCTATGCATAATTGACTTTGTCCCCACTACTTTCTTTTCAGATGTAAAATGTGGATTGCTGAGCACTGGTCAGAGCTTCACAAGAATGGGACTTCTTGCTAGGTGCCTACCCTCCCCTTTTTCTTCTTTCCTCCTTCCTCTCCTGCCTGCTCTTTCTGCTTTAAATATTGAAGTCCTCTTTGGAAAAAGCACAGGCCACAGATCCTACTGCAACTTGTGTCTACTTTTCCACGGTGCATCCTCAACCTTGGCAAAATAAACCTCTAAATCAATTGAGGTCTGTCTCAGACACTTTTTGGTTTATACCCCATCTCCCAACCTCACCCCCAGGCTCATCCTGCCCAGGCATTCCACAGACTCAGTTCAAATGTCACTATTCAAGAAAGCTTTCCCTAACTACCTCTCTAACAGCACCACCACCAGGATTAGGACCTCCAGTAACAAGTTCTTGTAGCACTCTGTATTTCTCTGGAGAACTTACAATAATTATAATTAATTTAATTAATCATAATTAAATAACCACAGTTAGTGAATTGCGTAAGTTATTTAAACTGTTTTCTTCTTCCCCAACTCCTTCATATCATACACACACACACCAGTTGAAAGTTAGATCGAGAACAGATATTACGTCTTTCTTATTCTCCATTCTGTTCCATATACCTACCACAGTGTCTTGTAAGAGCAGTCACTCAAAAAATCATTGACAAATGAAGGACCAGCTAACTGCGCTGACAGAATTCTGATCACATCACATATGGAATATATCTTTTGTATGTAAATATATCCTCTATTATGTAAATATCTCATACTCCATGTTTTCCAAGTAGAAATTGATTACCACTGATATTAGATTAGAATCCCCAATTTATATCATTCACAAAAATAAATTCCAAATCTAACCATAAAAAGGAAAAGCAAAAAGTAGTAGAAGAACATACAGGAGAAGCCTTTATGACTTTGGTGCAGAAAAGATATTCTTAAATAAAACACCTAATTTGAAGCGGGGGAAAGAGTGTATCAGATTTGAAACTTTAATACTACAAAGTTAGACAATAATCTAGAAAGTTAAGGAAAACATTAATTTAATATTAATATTTAAAAATATTCAATGAGATTTATAGAGAAAAACATCTTATACACAGCAGGCTTTCATGAACTTAGTCAAGACACATAAAATTAATATATCTCTTGCAATATATACGTAAAATCATTAGGATCTAGGATACATAAAGAACATCTAACAACCAATTTAAAAAAACAAAAAGTCCAATATAAAAATAAAACTCACAGGAAAACTACAAATTACCAACAAATGTATGAAAGAAAGTTCAGTCTCACCATTAACGATGGGAAGGCAAAGTAAAACAATTAGATATTATTTTTGCCCATTAAACTGGCTGAGATTTACAATTCCGGCAACATGAGGTAAGGGCATGGATACAGGGAAAAAATCTTGTATACTGTTGTTAAGGGTGTAAACAGGTGCATTCATTTGGGAGGAAAACTTGGCAGTATTCATTAAAAGTGTGCAACCTTTGACCCAGCAATACTCTTTCTCAGTATCCGTCTCAGAGTACCATTGCATGTACGCACAAAGAGGGTGATCATTATAGCATTGTTTGTAATCCCAACAATTATAAAAACTTATGTTTTCAACAGGCAAATTGCTATTCAGACTATGGAATGTTATGCAGAAAGCAGAAGGAATAAGGGAGATTTTTATTTACCGCTATCAACAGATCTCCAAGGCCCACTGCTAAGAGAAAACAAATGGAAGAATTCAACATGAACACACAGGTATACACACAAGTACACAGAAAATAATACTATGTACTTTCTGTGGATACATATGTACACAGCACATGAAAATAAAAATATCTGGAAGATAAATACATTAGGGTCATAAGAACAGCTAACTTCTGGAGAGAGAGGAGGAAGCCAGGGTTGGTAAAAATGTCATTAGCGGCCAGGCATGGTGGCTCATGCCTGTAATCCCAGCACTTGTGGGAGGCTGAGGCTGGTGGATCGGGAGGTCAAGAGATTGAGACCATCCTAGCCAACATGGTGAAACCCCATCTCTACTAAAAATACAAAAATTAGCTGGGCATGGTGGTGCATGCCTGTAGTCTCAGCTACTCGGGAGGCTGAGGCAGGAGAATCGCTTTAACCCGGGAGGTCGAGGTTGCAGTGAGCCGGGATGGTGCCACTGCACTCCAGCCTGGTGGCAGAGTGAGACTCCGTCCCAAAAAAAAAAAAAAAGTCATTAGCTTTATCCATTGACAAAATCTCTTTTCTTCGCCAAACTTGTCAGGCTTCTGAAACTTCTCCTAGGGCTATCGGCGTACTTCCTTGTAAAATCTACTGTTAGCAAAGAACTCTAAGTCCTTTGGCAGGAACGCCCCCATCCTTGATATCTGACCATCCTTAATACCTGGTCAGTGTCCTCATCCTCCATCACGCCCCAGGTGATGTCTGATCAACCTGGCCTGTCTTCAGCAAGAATCCTATTAGGTTGACTTAGCCAGAATCCGCCTTAAGCCTGATGTTTCCCCTTAGTAATTTTCAATCCATCGACGTCCCAAACTCCAAAAAAAGTTCCTTGACTATAAATTCCCACTTGCCCATTCTGTATTCAGAGTTCAGCCCAATCTCTCATCCCTACAGCAAGACTTCATTGCAGTGGTTTCTTTACCTTTCCTGGTCCTGAATAAGGTCTCCCTTACCATGCTCTAACAAGTATCACTGAATAATTTTTCCTTTAACACTGTAATGCATTAAATGTTTAGAAGAAGATGTTTATGTATTATTTATGCACTTAATACCAATATTTTAAAATATTCAATGAGATTTACAGAGAAAAATATTTGGTACACAGTAGGCTTTCATGAAATGTATATTTCTCTTTGTATTGGGTAATTTTATGTGTCAACTTGACTAGCTAAGGGATGCCCAGACAACAGAAAACATTATTAGTCGGTGTGTCTGTGAGGGTGTTTCTGGCCAATATGGTGAAACCCCCTCTCTACTAAAAATACACACACACAAAAAAAAAATAGCTGGGCATGGTGGCACATGCCTGTAATCCCAGCTATTCGGGAGGCTGAGGCAGGAGAATTGCTTGAACCCAGGAGGCAGACATTGCAGTAAGCCGAGATCGCTGGGCGACAGAGCAAGACTCTGTCCAAAAAAAAAAAAAAAAAAAAAAAAGAGAGAGAGATTAGCATTTGAATCAGTAGACTGAGTAAAGAAAATCACTCTCACCACTATGCGTAGGCACCATCCAATCCATTGAGGGCCCAAATAGTATAAAAAGGCAGAGGAAAAGTAAATTCACCTCTCTCTTCTTGAGCTGGGACATCATCTCCTCCTGCTCTCTGGCCTTCAGACACCAGCACCTCAATCCCTTTCCAGTTCTCAGGCCTTCAGCTTTAGACTGAATTATACCACCAACCTCCTTATTTCTCCAGCTTGCAGTAAGCAGATGGTGGGACTTCTCAACGTCCATAATTATGTAAGCCAACTCCTTATAATAAATCTCCTTTTATATGTTTATACATACCCCGTGTGAAAGGAAAGTGATTTGGGGCCCCCAAAATCACTAAAGGGAAAATTCATGCTGGGAACTGCTTAGGGCAAACCTGCCTCCCCTTCTATTCAAAGTCACCTCTCTGCTCACTGAGATAAATGCATATCTGATTGCCTCCTTCCGGAGAGGCTAATCAGCAACTCAATGCAACCATTTGTGTCTTATCTACCTATGACCTGGAAGCCCCCTCCCCGCTTTGAGTTGTCCTGCCTTCTGGGTTCACACCTATTAGTTCTGTTTCGCTAATACACTGCCACTCCACCAAAAGTAACTAATCCTTTGGTTCAAACCCAGTAAACAGATCCCAGCAATGTGTCCCATGAAAAGGAAGTGGCACATGGCACGTGGAGAGTGGTGACTTACAGGGTAAAAGGGACAGAGAGCAAAGGAAAATGTCAAGTATGGGCAGAAAGGTCACCGAACGGACAAAAATGAACAAATGAGATCAGGGAAGACAGCCTGAAAGTAAAGAAATACGAAGCAACACTCAAAGGAAAAGAAAGAACAGTGATACCATAACTATTTTCTTTCTGAGCTTCTGATGTTCCATTCAGTTCATGTGCAATGTATCATTTAGTCCTCAGAGTAACGGTATTATTATGCCCGTTTTATATGATGCACAATAGGGTTCAAAGATGGAGAGATTCGGCCGAGGCCCTGCTGCTGATGGTGACTGCAAGAGCCAGTATTCAAACCTAACGCTGCCCTTTTCTACCATGTTGCAGCGGACAATGCAAAGAAAAAAAAATCAAGAAAAACACGTAGAGGTATCCAAATGAAAACAAACACACAAAAGATCAAAAACAGAAAAGAAAAAAGAAAAGAAAAAGAAAACCCTTGCAGAAGGTATGCCTGTAAATGAAAGGCCCAAGATGTTAATTTATTCGCTGCAGAGTGGAGTTAGGGGTCGCGGACGGCAGCTGTGGGGTCCGAGGCTTCTTCGCACTGGGTCCTTGGGGAGCACTGAGCCGCAACCCGCGGAGGGCGCATAGAGAGGATCAAACCTCCCACAGCCTAGAAAGGCTCCTACTCGGCGAGAAGGCGGGGCGAGCGATCGCTTCCGGTTCCGGGCGCAAAGGCCCCACGTGTTCCGACCCGCTAGGCCCCGCGCGGCTCGGATCCGGCGGCGCTGTTTCGGTCGGGAGTGGGTGGGAGAGAAGCCGGGGCAGGGGAGGAGCCGCCGGAGCTGTCGGAGCCGTGAGTCCTGAGTGGGCTGGGCTGGGCCGGGCCGGGCTGGACCGGGCCGGACCAGATCGGGCAGAGCCGGGCAGGGCGGGGAGGAGGGGGAGGGACCGGAGACCCCGCCCCCCAGAGTCTGGGGAAATCGCCGTGTCCTGGGGAAGGGGTGGCGGCGGTGTACTGAGGGTGCCGAGACGTTGTGGTCTCTGTGTTTCCTGGTGGCCGGAGCCAGTATCTCCGGGGACACGGATGGCGCTCCCGGCTTCCTTTCCTTTCCAGCCACCGCCCTCCGCCCCCTCCTGGGGCCTGCAGAAATGTAGTTAGTCCGTACCTCGTACCTCCTAACGCTTCCGCGCCAACTGTCCCCCCGGAACCGAGGGAGGAGTGGTCTAGGCCCCTTTATTTTCCGCAGCTTTTTCTTACCCCTCCTCTCAGATTGCTTAAGATCATCTCCGCGGGCTCCTTGCCCCGGCTAGCCCCATCTCCTTACACCACCAAGCCCCCCTCAGCCCCCCAGCACACACCCAGATACACTCACCCGTGATCTTGTCACCTGTGATGATAGTAGTCCTTGGCGTCCATTTGGCCAGAGGCTTTTCAGCTGCCACTGTGACAGACCCTGAGGTCCCCTCAAGCCAGTAGCTGCTGTCTCCACTTGCAACTTTCCTCTCCTCCCACTCCTAACAGCCAGTTTTGGCACCTCTTCTCAGCACCTGCGTTACTTTTAGCAGGAGTATACCTACTTCTTGAGTGTCTTGATTAAAAATTTGTTTTTGTGCCATGGATAGGCTGTGTTCCTTCAGAAAGGTGTCAGTCTAATTTTTGTTTTTCTGAACAATGAATGTTCTCATCTTCTAGGCGCTTTGATAACCCTGTCTGCCTTGGAATCTGTACTGACCTCCCCAGAGGGAGACTCTTAGACCCAGCCTTTCTTGAACAACCTTGGTCCTGGGGAGCAGCGCTAGATCCCAGGCTCTCAATTAGAGGCTGGGCTTAGAACTGTTGCTTTTTCTCTATCCACGCTCTGCAGGTGACACCCAGGGCAGCTACACTCAGAAGCCACAAGGAATGCTAGTGGAGCCCCTCATCCCTCCCAGCTTCTCTTCCAAGCTGCCCCGTGGGGCTTGATCCAGGAAGCTACTTCAGAAAGGTTGTGGGATAGCCTTGGGAGGAGGTTTGTTGGTGGGAAGCGTGTGAACGCGGAGCAGTCTGGGATAACTTTCTGCTGTTACTATCTAGCATAAGAGGGTGGGCAGGGTTGGAGAGAGGACAGGAATTTTTCCTCCTAGGACCAAACGCCTGGGATTCATAATCTTTCACCCTTTCTCCTCCAGCTATACCCTTTTTGTACTCTGTGTATATACTATATTGCAGTAGACAATCATTCCAAGGGTACAACAAGGTTTACCACAATGTGAGGGACTCAGCCATTGCAAATTGTACAGATGAGGTAAGTTACAGGTTTACATTTTTTTTTCCCAGTAAATTTGGCACAGATTTAAAATGTGAAACAGTTCTATACCCCTTGTTTTTGCTGTTCTCTCACCAGCAAACCCTTTAGTTTGGCCAGCAATGGCTTTCTGCATGAACTTCAGATTTACTTCATTTGCTAGGTGGTGGTTCTCAAACTTACTATAAGCACCTGAAGGGCTAGTTAAACGCATATTGCTGGGGCCCACCCCTAGAGTTTCTGGTAATAGGTCTGTGCTGGGGCTTGAGAATTTGTACTTCTAACAAGGCTCAGGTACTGATGCTGCAGATCTGGGTTCTTCACTTTGAGAACAACTACCTTTTGGCCAAATGTGATATATGTATTGCAGTAGGTTGAGGTTCAGAATACCTTTGTTTGAGTACTTCTGTGTTGGAAACTAGTAATCTGATCTTTTATAGATAATCACTTAGGTCTGAATATTTTGTTCGCAAAATTAAGAAAGCGTACTTAAAACAACTGAATGCTATATGCCAAATTTGAGGTGAAATATTGATAAGTTCTTCCCCTTGATTTTCTTAATTCTCTTGATAGGGGCTTCACGTTTTGATCAAAATATTACACCTGTATTCTGGGCTTTTGCTGTGAATTCCTAGTATTGCTAAAATTCTGCAATTTCTTAACTACCTGTTAAGTTCCTCAAGGTCAGAGCTTCTGCTTTTTTTATCTTTCTTTGCCCAGCACCTTGAATAGTGTGGGACACGTAATTGACGCTCAGTAGATATTTGTGTATTGAACTCCATCCCTTGTCCTCCTCCCCTCTTGATGTTTTTCTCTACTGGCCTTATGCTACACAGTAAAGCAGGGCATGATTATGCCACTTGATTACCCCCAAGAGATTGGAATAAATGCTTATGCCAAATTCCTACAGCTATCCCTGTGAATGGTTTATTACCCAGGAGCCCTGACACTGGCTGATTTCTGAATTTTCAGTGCTTCTGTAATATATACTAGTTGGGGGAGGAGAAATAGAAAGCTTAAACTCAATGTGCGTTTATTGAATACCTTTTCTACTAAGGGCTCCACAAAGTGGTAGGCACTGGGAATATAAAAATGAATAAGGAGACCCTTGCTCTCGAGGGCAGGGCCCACAGTGGGGAGACAGACGTTAAGCCATGCCCACGACAAGAATGACTTCTGAGATTCCTTCTCTGGATCATGATTTAGTCTTCAGTGGAAACCTGGTACTCCTCAGATTCCTCTGGTTCAACAGGCGGGGATCCCATCCCTTATCATCTCCTCAAATGCTAAAGGACCCTTGAGCAAAGCCAGGAGGAAGTCATCTAGACGTGAAACAGGGAGTATCCACACAGGCTGTGTTAATGACAAAGCTAAAAACATAGTAAATGACTTTTGAATTTACTGCTGTTATGAATTATCTATAGCAACACCTCCGGTCAGCTCTGTTATATATGTTATTGCGTTATTTCCCATTAAATGATGGTTCCTCTGACTATCTGATTGGCATTGACTATGTTTGTTGTAGAGATTGCATACATCTAGTTTAACTCTGGCTGTCAAATGAGAGCAGTTACTCTTATCAGGATGGGTGTCAGGTTTGATGTCCCCTCCTTTTCCTGCTTCAGGTTAATTTGTCATGTTCTGTTTTAAACTGAGACATATAGCTTGACCTCCTTTATTTAGGCCATTAACTGCTCTGGGGTAGTTTTCCTGAAGGTTAAAAAGCCTAGCTTCATGATGGAGGTTAACCAACATGACCATGATGGCCAGGTGTATAAATCTGGCCTCTTAAAAATCTGTATTTGAGGCTGGGTGCAGTGGCTCACACCTGTAATCCTAACACTTTGGGAGGCCAAAGCTGGCAGATCACTTGAGCCCAGGTATTTGAGACCAGCCTGGGCAACATGGCAAGACCCCTTCTCTATAAAAAATTTAAACATTAGCTGGGCATGGTGGCATGTGCTGTAGTCCCAGATACTTAGGAGGCTGGGGTGGGAGGATGGCCTGAACCTGGGAGGCAGAGATTGCAGTGAGTTGTGATCTTGCCACTGCACTCCAGTCTTAGCAACAGAGTAAACCCTATCTCAAAACTTAAAAATCTGTGTTTGGCCCCTAGCCGTCCTCAGCTCTTGAGTAAATCTCAGCATCCTAGGCTGTTACATTATGGCCCAAATATTCAATAGAGATGCTGTATATCCTTGTTCCTCTCAAAACCCCTCCTCATCACCATCAAAAAGCTGGTTCAGTTCTCTACCTTTAGATAAAGAATCATCCCAAGACTCAACATGAGCTGCCGTGACTTGTCCAAGATGACACCTCTTTACAATGTAGAGCAGTGGACAGAACACAGGTCACCCTCCGCCGAAGGCAACTATCTACTGTCTAACATTGCCTCCTAGGCCTGCCATATATAACCATCAAAAACAGTTTAGAATAAAGTGAATTGTTACAATTTTTATTTTTCATTTTTGTGTTTACATTTACTCTCAATGACATGTTTATTCCCACCTAATATCTTGAGGCTAACCACAAAATCTGCAGCATTTCCAGACAGAAGATACTTGTGACTTCCCTGTACTATCCACTACATACTTGACCTCTTTCTCTTTCTTCCTGTCTTCCCTTTCTCTATACCTTATTGTCTTTCTTTGGAACCTCTTGTAACAAATTTTGAGCCATTTCTCCCCTCACTACTCAAATATCACTTTTATGAAGGGGCGGGGGGGAAACTTAGGTGGCAAAAATATTTTACAGAAACAGTTTTAAACATGTTTTGAAGCATACTGGTCACGTGTTAGAAGGCCAAAAGCCAGGGAATTCATTCCCTTTCATTCATTGTGCTGTCTAGGTTAAGTTTTCACAGGACTTCTTGGTACACTGAGTTTGCCTCAGATTGTCTCCTGCCAGTTACAGGGAGTGGAGAGGACTTTGATATATTGGTAATTAGAAGCATTGCTGATATGGTCTTCGGTGGGAGAACCTGTGTCTAAGGTTCCTTCTCATCTGTATTCCAACACTTTCATTTAATCCTACTTCATAAGTGCCTCCAAAGCAAGGATTTTTTTTTTGGTTTAGCATGGTTTCTTTGATATAACAATAGACCGACCAAGATTTTCCTTATGCCATCTGTTTTTTTGTAATTATGATGCAATAGAGAACTGTTTGCTTGTTTATCATTTAAATCTTGCCTTCTTCCCAAAACGATTTCAAATAGCTTGAAGGAAAATGAATAAAATATATTGAGCACCTACCCTATGCCAGACTCTATACTGAAGGGTTTCTATAGGTTATTTCATTTACTCCTTAAAACAACCACATGAGATAAGTAGTATTAGCCACATTTTTGAGGATAAGACTGAGGCTTAGGGAAATTGTGTTACAAGGCTAATAAGCGAGGTCAGGGATTCGAGGTCAGGGATTCAAACCCAGCGTGCCAAGGCCACTAACCATTATGTGGAAAGCTTAGGTAAGCGCTTGTATATAGGACAATCAAGAATAAAAGAATATGTCCATTAGAAGGATTGTACTGGGCTAATCTTTCGTTTTAAAGAACAGCAGCAGCATTGGAAAAGAGCGGTTAACAGTTTTTATTAGCCAATTTCTATTCTAGAACACTGAGAGGAGCTGTTGACAGGCCCTGGTTAGCCCCAGCAAGTAGTTGTATTAAAATTACCAAACTATAGGCCTGCATTAAGGTATAAAATAAGAATGGGGACTGGAAGGGATATAAATATCTGCTAAATATAATAATTTCAGTTCTAATCACTATTTTCTTCTGAAGATTATTTGCCAGTACATAGGCAGATCACTGTCTCTCCTTTAGGTTGATGGTATATGACTACAGACTTTGTCATTTAGGGTCCAGAAAGATCACCCTAGCTAGTAGCGTTTTAAGGTAGAGAACTAGATATTGTTTCATTGCCTGTGGTTTTCTGTTCTTGTAAGAGAATTGAGCTTGGGTCTTCACTGCCACGTGACACCTTCAGATAAGGGGCAGAGACAGCTGGCCTGAGGATTGTACAGAGGTCTTACCTTGATAGCTCCTCTCCAATCCTATGCATCCTAGGAACACTCAAGACACTAGGTTGTATCTTTGCAGATACTGTTTTAGTGTCTTCTGGAACCAAGTCTCTTACTTAATCCTGGCCTGGTTTCATATTCTCTCTATTGTATTCTCTCTATAGTTTTTGTCTTACTCTGGAACTCTTCCAAGGACAGACATTGAAGAAAGGTATTAGAATAGCAAAGGCAACAAATTGCAAGGTATACTTATGGCATAGCACATCCCATTAATTATAGAATAAAAACACAACATCTGTTTTCTGCCTCTAATATTAAATCTTGACATTTGCACAACACATTTTAGTTCATAAAGCTCTCATATCTCAGATAATCACTGAGTTAGGAGACTGGTTATCTGCAGAGGGCTTTATCCTTTACAAGGGCTCTTGGGTACGTTACTTCACGAAACCCTCAGGGAAGCTCCAGTTTCTTGGGGATCTGGGGCCGGGGCATATGTCTTTGGATACCCAGTTTGGTGCTGTGCACAGCACTGCTGTACCTCCTATTCATTTCCCATCTCTTACCCCACAAAGACTCCTTCCTTCATTCCTTCTATTGCTGATCTGTTTTCCTTCATCTTCCTAGGCTGCCAAAGTAAATGCAAAACAAGCACCAGAAATCTCAGCTTGTGATTTCTGAAGGGCATTTTTAAATGGCAAGTTTGGTGTGGCACTGTTACATGTTCTTTTTTCTTTGGAGAGCAAAGCCCTTTGAGAGAGCAGGAACTCTTCTGTCAATGCATACGTTGTAGGATCCATACTGTGGAATCTCTTGTACCTAGTGCTGCGTGAAAACAATGAGGATTCCAAGTCTACTTCACTGGACGTCGGTTCTCAAACTTTTAAGATACTAGAAGTCCTTTTATTAAGCCAAAAGACCCTATGTATTAATTCTGTCTTCCAGGGGTAGGAGTTGGGGTGGGGTTTGGAAAGCTTTGTCTGGATAAATAATTAGTATTGTAGTTCCATTTATTTGATGTCTGATTTTGCGCTTATTAAAATTGATTTAAATCCTCAATGGAAAATGATTTTTTTTTTTTCAAATGCCAAGTGTTGTGTGACTTGCATTTGGATTATTCCCGGTGCAACCTGAAGATTCCTTGTGATGAGTTGTGGTTCCATCATCTTGGGAACCACTAAGAGAATTCTGTTTTACTCACAATCCAAACAATAAATGTTTTTTTCCCTATGTATGCCTTTATCCAGCACACAGTTTGCTAGACTTATGGATGAATATGGGTTAATATAACATGGTATCTATCCTTCTGGAAACAGACTTTTAAAACCTTACTAAGCATTCTCTGCATTCATCAAATGTGAAGTGAGTGCCTGGTGTGTGCCAGGCATCGAGCTGGGCACAGCATATCCCTGCCCTCAGAGCTTTACAGTCCAGTGAGTTCAACAGAAGATGAACAGTTTTGATGACACAAAAAATAGACACATGTGCATGCTGTGATAGGGGGAGATACAAGTTCCTGTGGAAGCATCATCTGGGAGGACCAGGGAAGGCATCTTGGAAAAACTGAGCTCTGAAAGATGGATAGAGTTAACCACATGAAGAGTGGAGAAGGGTACTTCAGACAAGGTGAACAGCATCAGGAAAGCCCAGGGAGGGTATAGAAAAGAAAGAACAGTAATTCTTGCAGTGGCTTTCAATGGGAGTGGCAGTCATGGAAGGAAGGAGAGGTAGCAGGGACCAGCTTTTGAAGGTCTTTGTGTATCACATTTTAAGAAGTTTAAATTTTAACCTAAGGTCACTGGGAAGCCATTGGCAGATTTTGTATGTTAGGAAGTTCACCACTCACCTACTTGGAGTATTGCAGGTGGAGCTAATGTGGATGGGCCTCCTGCCCATTATTAAATCCTGTTCCTGTCAGGAACAGGACAGCCCATGCTGTCTCTCCCTGTGTGTCTGTCTCTCCCTGTGTGTCTGTCTCTCTCTCTCTCTCTGTCTCTCTCTCTCAAAAGCTAAAGGAAAGCGCATAGGTTCCAGAAGGAAAAAGAAATAACCACTAGAAAAATAAGTATAAGCTGACTTTACCATGGCGCAGTGAGATTCCAAACCAAAATAAGGTTTCTAGGGATTGAGCTTTTAATACTGGTACTCCAACAGGGAGATAGGACTTGGGAAGCTGACGCTGTGTGAAAGTTACAGAATTAAGCAGCCTGCAAACCTGGACCTTTGAAAATCGTCCTACTGACCCAGGAAAAGTGCAAGGAAGTGGGTTCTCCAGAACCTTGGGTAGGCCAAACATTACTTGAAGGCATCGATCTAAATAATACACAAAAGCATTATTCAGGAACACCCTGAGAAATTAACATAAAAACTGATTTGGCCAGGCATGGTGGCTCAGCCTCTGGTAACAGTGCTTTGGGAGGCCAAGGTTGGAAAATCACTTGAGGCCAGGAGATCCAGGCTGTAGTGAGCTATGATTGTACTACTGCACTCCAGCCTGGGCAACAGAGGGAGAGTCTTAAAAAAGCAAACTGTCCAAGATCATTGAAACCATTAGCACTTAGGAAGAAACAAATGAAATTACATTCAAGGGGCTCACATTTAAATCCAGGGCTCTCAGGACTCCCAAAGTAAAAAGATGGACATAAAATAAAAAAATTACAAGCCACTTGAGAAAAAAATAAATCACCATGAGGTAGAGATAGCAGAGGAAAAATTACACATGAAGATCTAGGAATTAGGGAGCTATCCAAGATAGACTGTGAAAGTATGTTGCAAGTGACTGAGGGTAATGAAAAAAATGTCATAAGAGCATGAATTAGAAGCGTTTTGAGAAAGAATGAAGATAATGTGATCATTGACTGTAAACTCATTTGATGGGCAACAATAGATGAGACACAGCTATTAAGAGTGGATCGATAACCTTGAATGTGGATGTGAGGCAACTGTAGTATAGCACAAAAAGGTTGAGAAATGATGGAGCCCTTAAGCTGCTTGTGGACACTGGTCTGGAGGGGGACAGGACCAAGAAAACCAGTCATGGAGGTTGAACTAAGTCATCTCTCCAATGTATCCGTGCCTGTTACGTGCCAGTGCCGTTTAGGAGCAGAGGATATTGTAATTTTTTTTAAAGTTCCTATGAATACCTTCTAGTGGGTCATAATGGCTCAACCGGGAAATGGCAGTAGAGATGAAGAGATGGATGGATTCGAAAGACATTTTTTGGAAGTTGGAATTAACAGGATATGGTGAATAATCAAGAGATAGTAAAAGCATAATGGAGGAAACAATGGTTCTTCCTGTTACCATAGGAAGAAGCTTTGGAGTAGAGTTTTATTCATTTTAAATGCATTTATTGTGCACTTTATTATAGGTATTGGAGATTGATGGAAAATAGTCTCTGACCTCAAAGAGTTTCACAGGAAAGATGAGCGATGGCTATGTAATATGACCAATACTGGGATAGAGAGGTGCCCAGGTCACTACGGGAGGACTTAGGTGATTTCTAACTATGTCTGAGAGTAGGGGAAATGGGATCAAAGAAAACATCTCAGAAGACATGAAGCTTGAGCTTATGTCTTGAAAAATTTAAAGTTTAACCTAACCAAGGATAAAGAATCAGAAGAAACAGCATATTCAAAAGCTAAAGAACACGGGACTCTTGTGTGCTTTGCATGTACACACGTGTGTGCGTGTGTGTCTGAAAGGATTGGAGAGGAGGGCGAAGAGAATAACAAGATGAACGTCAACCTAATGTAGAATGTTTGAAGTTTGTATTTCACTTAACAAGACAGCGGGGAGTGATGGAAGGATCTTAGATAGGAAAGGGACATGAGCACGTTTGCCAAGAGAGCTCGTTCTGATCATAGTGGGTACGTGAAGGTGACAAATCTGGAGGCAGATAGCTCACATTTGGAGGCAGTTGCAGTCATCCAGATGAGAAGTGAGAGGGACCTAAGCTGTAAATTGTGGGAATAAAGACAAGACCCGTTAAAAAGAAAGAGAACACACCATGTAGCGTGGAAAGGAGAAGGGTGGAGAGTAGCCTGTGCAGAAGGAACAACCTTCAAAAAGACATGGAAGACTGAAAAGACACCCTGTTGTAGGGAGATCAGCAATGCATTTTTTATAACCAGGTGATACAGGGAAAAGGTAGGATCTGAAGCTTGAAAAATAGATTGGGGGCTGATTGTAAAGAGCTTCGTGTCATTCCCAGGATTTTGGAACTGATTTTACTAACATGAAAAAGGTTTTGTTTTAAAATACTGAGTAATATAGTTGGAACTATAATTTAGAAAGATAATAGCTGGTGCCATCACTCTTCTAAGCAAAGATAGTAATACATTTAATGCTCATAGGCTTTAGTAATACATTTAATCCTTACAGTAAGCCTATTAGATAAAAACCATTATTATCTCCCTTCTATAGACAGAGAAACTGGCATTAGGAGAATGAGAACTTGCCTATGGTCCCACTCTGGAAATACCTAGTAAGCGACAGAGCCAGGATTCAAACCCAGGCAGCTTGACTCCAGAACTTTCGCTCATAACCTTACACATCTCCCTCATGGTTGGTGTTTCTCAACCATGGATACACATTCGAACTGCAAGTAGCATCTCTAAACATACAGTTACCTGAATTGACTGAATCAGAGTGTCTGAAAAATGATGTGTGATACTATGTTTTGCAAAATCTCCACAGGTAATTCTGTTGTACTTTGCTTATAGTTGAGTACTGCAGGGATCTTAGGAAGTTAGAGCAGTAGTCCAGGCAGGAGATGATGAAGGCTCAAACTAAAGCAGTCTGTAGGAAGGAAGAGAAGGGAACCGGTTTGGAGACTTAAGCGGGGGAATTGGCAGTATTTGTGAAGTGGAAATGCAGTATTTTCTTGCAGAGTATGAACCTTGCCTAGGAAAGGGAGTAGAGGACCATACCTTTAGTTGTAAATTATCCTCTCCCAACTGGATCTGTTGATTTATGGCTATGGTGGTTGGGGAAAAGAGGATTTAACCATTTGAAGAAGTTTGTGTAGAGGATTATGATTGAACTCAGGCTGTTGTCCTTGTGTATAGTTTCATGCTTATACTCTTGTTTGTCTTTACTTCTCTATCCAGGGCCCTTGGAAGAAAATCCTCGCTGTGTCCAGGCTGAGGCGGGGGGCTAATGACAGTGTGAGCTCTAGATGGTGTGAGACCACCCCAAAGCCAAGAAATGGCTACAGCCGTGGAACCAGAGGACCAGGATCTTTGGGAAGAAGAGGGAATTCTGATGGTGAAACTGGAAGATGATTTCACCTGTCGGCCAGAGTCTGTCTTACAGAGGGATGACCCGGTGCTGGAAACCTCCCACCAGAACTTCCGACGCTTCCGCTACCAGGAGGCAGCAAGCCCTAGAGAAGCTCTCATCAGACTCCGAGAACTTTGTCACCAGTGGCTGAGACCAGAGAGGCGGACAAAGGAGCAGATCCTAGAGCTGCTTGTGCTGGAACAATTTCTTACCGTCCTACCTGGAGAACTACAGAGCTGGGTGCGGGGCCAACGGCCAGAAAGTGGCGAGGAGGCAGTGACGCTGGTGGAGGGTTTGCAGAAACAACCCAGGAGACCAAGGCGGTGGGTGAGGAGGGGGAGTCCTGATCTGTGTGATGTGGAGGGGGACTATTTGCTGGAAGGCTGGATTTGCGGGGAGAGCTTGCAGGATCCCCATAAATTATTAGTGGGCTCTGCCCTTGGGTTGCTCATATACCATGAGCCCCATGGATTAGGGGGATGTGTGTGTATGAATGTGACTTTCTGGATATTGGAACACCTGTATAGGGACCATCTGAGGGGTCTCAGCCACCAAAGGGTCATGGCTTTGGTTTTCCCTTCTTTGAATGTTGAGCCGTGGGTTCCTGGAGAGGAGAATTTTGTGACTTCCTCGAAGGTTCTCATAGATCCCCAGTCACAGATCCCCCTTCCTGGCTGGTCAGCTAGGGAAGCAGGCAGCAAGGAGAGCTGCAGGTGGGACAGGTGGAGATGGGAAGGAACCTTGGGTGACAGGGGCCCAGGCTGGGGGTGGTGAGAGAGCAGTGCAGGCCTGCGCATCCCCTGCCTTGTCCTGGGGAGGATAACCTTCAGCTCCTCCTTGCCTGCTCCATTGAAACTGGAGTTTCCCCTCCTTGTCTGGGTCCCTCTGGGAGTGTTTTCTCTAGGCATCTTCTCCTAAAATAAGCTCCCGTGACAACCAAGAACTTCCTCCTGACTCCATGGTGACTGGAAGTTGGAATTATTCCCAGGTGACTGTCCATGTTCACGGCCAGGAAGTCCTGTCAGAGGAGACGGTGCATTTAGGAGTGGAGCCTGAGTCACCTAATGAGCTGCAGGATCCTGTGCAAAGCTCGACCCCCGAGCAGTCTCCTGAGGAAACCACACAGAGCCCAGATCTGGGGGCACCGGCAGAGCAGCGTCCACACCAGGAAGAGGAGCTCCAGACCCTGCAGGAGAGCGGTGGGAAGCATCAGCAGAAAGGGGGGATTGTGGCAGAAGGCAGGCAAGGAGGGGGACATTTCTCGGACATTTCTCCTATACCAAGGAAGCTGGGTAGATAGACTGTATGGAAAGACATCACAGAATCCAGGATGTCAAGAGGAGACAGTACCGCCAGCTAGAGTCCCCCATAAACAGGGCCAAGCTTAGACAGCAGATTGTTGCTTGTTCTCTTGGCATTCTGATAGTCTCATAGGTGATGGGATTGGGATATGGGAGCTACCCTTAGGCCAGTTTCTTGGTTCCCATAATAGAAAGGATAGGGCCACCTTCCTACCAAAGATGGTGGGGGATGCCCAGATTTTTGCCCATTATTGGGGCATGCTGCATATTACTGATCTTTGCCTTCTTTTCTTCATAGAGGTCCCAGTGCCCGAGGACCCAGACCTTCCTGCAGAGAGGAGCTCTGGAGACTCAGAGATGGTTGCTCTTCTTACTGCTCTGTCACAGGTGTGCCCTAGTTACCTCTGTACCACAGAGAATTTGTTTGAAGAACCACTGGGCATAAGCCATACTAAACAGGTGAAGCAGGATGCACATTTACACTCTTGCCAGTTTTAAGCTCACAGTTCTGCAGGTACCTGGAAGGGGAGGAGATAATGAGATAAATTATCATACCTTATATTGGATCCACAGGCACCAACACCAGTTTATTTGCCATTGACTAGAAGAACTAACAAAATGGGATTATTTTGTAACACTCCAGTACAACTGCGAAGTTGTCAAATGAGGGTTTTTTAGTTTTTTTTTTTTTTAAAGGAATAAATTTGATAGTCATTTGTAAGTATGACAGACTGTACTGCTGAGACATTTAGGAAGTATTCACCATGATCAAAGCTCTGAAACTAAGCCATGTGGCTGGAGAAAAAGAAATAGAATTCATGTATGGTTTTAGATTGTAATCTAACTGAGGAAAAAAGTCTTGTTTTGGCTATAGAGTATAGAAACTATTGAAAGTGATTAGAGTCTTTAGGGAAAGTGTACTAGAAAAGATGAATTTTGCAGAAATGTATATAGCGTTAAAGTGTCAAGTAGGGAGCTGAATGATGATTTTTAAGACCTTTCCTAAATTTTAAACAATACCTTAAAGAAGAAGAACATAAGCTGGTCCTCAGGAAAAGTGGTGGAGTTGGAGGGGGCAGGGCCAGTGCCACAGGGGACACATGGCTCCCCCGAGAATGAGTTTAAGCAGCCCGCCACTCAAGCTCCTTTCATCTCCTAGAGGAGTCCACCTATTGTATGACCTTCAACAGGGACAAAATACGAGGCTACCCGTAGCATCACGTTTTGATGAAATCCTTATGTGGTTTCAGGGACTGGTAACGTTCAAGGATGTGGCCGTATGCTTTTCCCAGGACCAGTGGAGTGATCTGGACCCAACACAGAAAGAGTTCTATGGAGAATATGTCTTGGAAGAAGACTGTGGAATTGTTGTCTCTCTGTGTAAGGAATTTCAAGTATTCTAGAGTGTTCTAAGCCCAGAGATCTTTTTCCTGCTGGAAATTTTGGGGGATCTTAGACCTTAGATTGTATGCAGTGAACTTCTCTTATGCCTTCCCCACCAATAAAATTGAGGGATTAGGTGAAAAATATGGTGTCCTTTCAAGTAAAAGATAAATGGATGGAAATGGAAACCTCTAATAGGAAAACAAACTTGTAATATGACAGCTTTAGTGCAGAAATATTTGAAGTAAGCACATGAGTTTTAAAACAGTAAGAGTTGGAGATAATCTTTCTTGAATATGGGAAAAGAGGATAAGGTGTACAATGGTATAATTATTAAGTTGCAGGTGAAAACCACAAGAAAGGCAAGAGATACGCAGTCCTTGGTTAAAAGTACACAAACTAAAGAGATGAAAGATTTCATCACCTGAGCTAGCTATGTATTTGCCCCACAACCTACCAAATAGAAAAGGACCGCTCTTAACACAGGGAATTGTTGAGCCAATCGTGATATCCTATTTTCCCTCTCTTGAGCAGCATTTCCAATCCCCAGACCTGATGAGATCTCCCAGGTTAGAGAGGAAGAGCCTTGGGTCCCAGATATCCAAGAGCCTCAGGAGACTCAAGAGCCAGAAATCCTGAGTTTTACCTACACAGGTGAGGAATGACAAAAACGGTGTTACCCACCCTGAGCCAGCAGTTCCTCTAGGCAGTGCTTCTCTCTCTCTGTAGGGCCCCGCTCTCATCAGTTCTTCTAACATGTCAGCCAGTACTGCTTTCTCCCTCTGACAGCCATTTCTTCTGTCATTGCCCTCCTCTTTTCTCCTCCCATCATTTGTCTGATAGCAATGTAATACAAAAGGGTGAAAGAAAAATGTTAACTTTTGGAATTGCAGCTATACCATTTACTGTACAATTCCCTTAAACCCTCGATTCTCAATCTCTGCATTTGTAAAATGAAGATTATATTTGTGCATACCAAGGTTTGTTGATAGCATAACAATATGAGAAAGTGCTTGGCACAGGACAGGCATTCTATTTAGTCTTGCCATCTCAAAACCCTTTGTAAAAATCTCCCCATTGTGTAGAAGGCATTGTTGCCGCTACAGTGACCCCCTTTTTCCTCTCACCCTTTCTACAGGAGATAGGAGTAAAGATGAGGAAGAGTGTCTGGAGCAGGAAGATCTGAGTTTGGAGGATATACACAGGCCTGTTTTGGGAGAACCAGAAATTCACCAGACTCCAGATTGGGAAATAGTCTTTGAGGACAATCCAGGTAGACTTAATGAAAGAAGATTTGGTACTAATATTTCTCAAGTGAATAGTTTTGTGAACCTTCGGGAAACTACACCCGTCCACCCCCTGTTAGGGAGGCATCATGACTGTTCTGTGTGTGGAAAGAGCTTCACTTGTAACTCCCACCTTGTTAGACACCTGAGGACTCACACAGGAGAGAAACCCTATAAATGTATGGAATGTGGAAAAAGTTACACACGAAGCTCACATCTTGCCAGGCACCAAAAGGTTCACAAGATGAACGCGCCTTACAAATATCCCCTAAACCGGAAGAATTTGGAAGAGACCTCCCCTGTGACACAGGCTGAGAGAACTCCATCAGTGGAGAAACCCTATAGATGTGATGATTGCGGAAAGCACTTCCGCTGGACTTCAGACCTTGTCAGACATCAGAGGACACATACTGGAGAAAAACCCTTCTTTTGTACTATTTGTGGCAAAAGCTTCAGCCAGAAATCTGTGTTAACAACACACCAAAGAATCCACCTGGGAGGCAAACCCTACTTGTGTGGAGAGTGTGGTGAGGACTTCAGTGAACACAGGCGGTACCTGGCGCACCGGAAGACGCACGCTGCTGAGGAACTCTACCTCTGCAGCGAGTGCGGGCGCTGCTTCACCCACAGCGCAGCGTTCGCCAAGCACTTGAGAGGACACGCCTCAGTGAGGCCCTGCCGATGCAACGAATGTGGGAAGAGCTTCAGTCGCAGGGACCACCTCGTCAGGCATCAGAGAACACACACTGGGGAGAAACCATTCACGTGCCCTACCTGTGGAAAAAGCTTCAGCAGAGGATATCACTTAATTAGGCATCAGAGGACCCACTCAGAAAAGACCTCCTAGCTAGGTCCCCATGTGAGGAGATCTGCTTTCAGCCCTCACCTAAGGGAGGTGAGGAAGAGGAAAAGCCCTCTTGTCAGCCTGGGAAGACCTTTTCGAGGGAGTCTCCCTGACCTGCTCAGATCTGACATTACCTCTTCCTGCAACTAAACACGAGCCTGGGCAGAACCTCTCAGCCTTCCTCTACGCCTTGAGGGGATGTTTCATCCAAAGTACAACCTGAATTGAGGCTTCTCCTTCACTGGAGTGCACCTGCCTCTACCTCATGGGTATAAAGTAGGAGAACTAAGAGACTTAAGAGGTCGTGGTTCCTATATCGTCCAAAAAATAGGCTGTTACATATCCTAAAGACTGCTCAACAGCTTCAAGTTGAAAGTGGCCAAGGACAGCCCCTTAGGTTTGGGAAGGGACGAGCCTGAAGGATTCTGTCTTTACTGGGGTCAAATCTTAAAGCACACAGCTCTGGACTCAAGACAGGAGGTTTGCGTCCTGATGGCTTTGCCACACATTCACAGGATAACTGCATAGATCCCTCGCTGTCTGATTCACTTCTTACCATGCACTTTCCTTTGATGCTGAGGAGAAATGGAAGTGGGCGAAAAATCTCAAGGCTGCTTCATGTGGACCTTGTCAAGCTGCTCCCTCCCCCAGCGTCAAATTGTTATCAGGTGCCAAACACTGCTAGAAAGGAGGGCCTAGTCAGAAGCCTCTTTCCATACGAGTTTTGGTTTTGTTTTTAATATTTTTTTCTATTAAAATACTCATGCATTTAACCTTCCCGTTATTCAACCAGTCTCTTGGTTGCATCCCTAGCACTTCTACTACAAGTGAGATGGTAGTGTTTGAGTGCTTATTGAGTAAAGCATAATTCGGTCATAATGAAATCGTTCACATTCCCTCATATGCACAAGCCCACCAACCCCTTCACACCCCCCTTCACAGGGGTCGTATGAGTAAGGGGATTTGGAAACTGTCAACTTACAAAGGCACTATAACAATTACAGAATCATGATTGCCATGGGCCACTTTATTTACATGAAGACAACTGGAGAACGACTAAGACCAAATTATGGAAAATAAGAAAAAGCTGTTGCTGGCAAGACCATCAAGACTGTTCTGACACCCTGTCCCCATCATCCCTGACTGAGTACTCTGACATCACGGAAAGTGTTGAACCTGGGACCCTGAGGAATTCACCAGGAGTAAATGGCTTTCATGTATTTGTGTTGTTTGCTTTTTCTTACGTGATTTTATGTTCATAGAGCTAGAAAGTAGCATCTCATGATGGCCCAACAATCTCTGTTGCCAGTTAAAGGTTCCTTGGAGATGAGGCTGAATAATTATGAACCTCACCTTCTCTGATTGTGGGAGTGGCAAGAACTGGGGAGACGTCCTCCATAAGTGGAGCACAGGGTATGGGGTTAAAGCATGACAGGGAGAGTCTTCTGTGCCTGGTTTCTTCTCCTCTATCTCATAATGCATTATGGGCCCGAGGAATAGGGGAGGGTTAATAAGACTCCAACCCTAATGGCCCAACAGGGAAATTCTCATTTTGGTCGATGATATTCTGATGGACTGGTTTGGTCTTAATACCAGTCAACCGTTGTCCTTCTGGAAATATACATATATGAAATAAATAAAGGTAACACTTGCAGCCAAGTTCCCTGGTTTCTGGGACTTCCCATCTTACCCATTCCTTTTCCAGGGCTTCAGTGTCCTGATACTTCTGAGGGTGGTTCATACTCAAATAGATCTGGGAGTACAGAGTATTTTTCCTTGAGGAAAGGAAGGGTTGGGATGATTAGCAGAGTCCGGTGAAACATATGCACTCTGAGATAAGATCCAAGCCTGGAGTTTGCAGAAGATACTGTCCTAATAAGCAGGCATTTCTAAACCAAGTATCTAAGCCTAAGCACAGCTTGTCCTGGGTGAAATGTCTGCCACAAAAGATAGTTTCTCCTAGCTCAGACTTAACCATTTATAAAGGTTGGTAAAATACTGGCAGTGACAACAAATTGACTTTTTAATTTTCTTATTTGCATTATTCCAATAAATGAAAATCTGTCAGAGTTCTACATGAGGGAAAGCTTGTGAGGCTGGGCCGGTTTGTTGGAACATCAAATAGTCCTTAATTACTGATCTCCCTGCAGAGTTTCATATGCTGACACTAAATCTCTGGTCCCTTTTGTAAATTACTGAATTTTCTGAGGTTCTGGGAGGGACATGTTGTCTCCCAAATCTGAACAAACACAACCACAGTGTGCAGCGGCAGGAAAGAAGTAGTGCAGCTGAGCGTGAGCAGGGAGGTTGGAGCACAGGGTGTGTATTCGGAGGGGTCCCCTCTAGTATCTTGTGAGCAGTAGAATTCTAGCATCCTTGAATACCATACTAAGTTTCTGAGGGAGAAAACGGTGGGATTTTAAAGATATTATTTGGAGGAAGTTAATACGCTACTTAATTAACAGAAGTGGCAGGTGGTTGGAAATGTGCTAAAGAGGTATGACACATTAAAAATGATAATATAAGGATGTTTGACCAGATAATTTAGGAATAACCAAGGAATATTTAACCTCTTCACCACAAAGTCCGAGGAGAAATAAATGCCCAAGAGATCAAGCCAAAATACATTTTTATTATCTGGGACTTAGGCCTCATATTCCGGAGCAGAATCCGGTAAACTCAGATGAACTCCATGGAGAATTTCATAAATCAGATTAACATCAAGGTACTAAAATCAAAACCCACTAAGAAACCTGTTGCCCCCTTCAAAGCACAACTGAAGTAATGGATCTAATAGAAGATACATTGTTTGCACTGAGCAGTAGAGTAGTAGAGGAGAAAAGCCCAGAGATGGCACAGACAAGTTGTTCCAGTCCCCTTCAGTCAAGGCCTCTGGACCACCACCCTGCCACAGGCGAAAAATGGGATATTTAATAAATAAAAAATTTTGATTCACCAGACTGGCTGAAAGGACAGTAATCCAAATGAGAGTTAACGGCTCCATAGTAGTTTTCTAGAATGAAAGCTGAACTGAGAAATAGTAACTGATGACATGTTGAGCAGGTTAATAATTTGGTACCCTTCCACACCAGTATTTGTTTGTTTGTTTGTTTTGAGATGGAGTCTCGCTCTGTCGCCCAGGCTGGAGTGCAGTGGCGTGATCTCGGCTCACTGCAAGCTCCGCCTCCCGGGTTCACGCCATTCTCCTGCCTCAGCCTCCCCAGGAAGCTGGGACTACAGGCACCCACCACCACGCCCGGCTGATTTTCTGTAATTTTGGTAGAGACGGGGTTTCACCATGTTAGCCAGGATGGTCTCGATCTCCTGACCTTGTGATCCGCCTGCCTTGGCCTCCCAAAGTGCTGGGATTGCAAGCGTGAGCCACCGCACCTGGCCCCACACCAGTATTTTTAAAAATAGTTTGTTTTACCTCTAGCGTCTTCCCTCAGCTGACCTAAATAGTCCAGCCACAATAGCTGAGAGAAATATACCTACAATTATTTCCATCTCCTTATATTTCTAGTGATGTTGGCTGACTAACCCACTAATCTAGTTTATGGGAGAGGGAAAGACTGAAAGAGCCACAAAGTGGATGGCCAACCCACGTGATTACTAACCTTTATTGTGGCAAAGTAACTGATACAATGTTTCAAATGTAAGCACATCTCCTTGGAATAAGTGGAATAACTTAATTCATCCTTGCGGAAGTCCTGAGGATCAAGCAAGGAGGAGCCCAGCTTTCTTTAGACACCACCTTTTTTATCTTTAATAACAAAAAGGAACAAAGTGATTGTCAGACCAGCACAAAGATACCTCTTAATGTGCAATTTCTATTCTCTTTAGTGTGTGTGAGTGCACGCATGCACGTGTGTACACCGAGGTTTCAGGTAGAAGGAGGAATGCAATTCAAATTCTAAAAAAGGAATCAGTCAGCACAAACTAGTTTATTTGGCAATTCATAAAGATAGGGACTCTTCAGAGGAGGTTGAGAGCATTGTAGGGTTATGTAAAGACTTCCAGAAGCTGTAAAGACTTCCAGAAGCAAGAAGATTCAACCATCTAAAACGCCATGCAGGAAAATAGCCAAACCTTCTCCATTTAAGTAGAGAATAAATCTTAGTAGCGTTCTCTGCAGAATATAACAACGCTGCAAAAAGGCCATTTCACAGGAATATAATCAAAACTGCAGATTCTCAGGGTTTCCCGTAAGACGACTTCTCTGCTCTTCTGTTTGTGGTTTCTTTTTTAGTTGTACATCTCTCCTAGACAAGTCCAAGGAACTACTAACGAGAAGATTTCAGGAAGAGGCCTACAGCAATTGCTTGGTGCTTGGGTTCATTTGCGGAATCTTGGCAACAGGTCTACAGAGAAGCAGTTCCACGGCAAAAGAGCTGTGGGGCAGTTGAATAATCCATCCAAACAATGAGGAGTAAACCCTGAGTCAAGAAACCAGCAAAAAGCAGAAGACTGGGTCAGCAAATAAAGGGAGAAGATCCTTGCCTCCTTCAGTGCCCCTAGCATGATATTCTGAAAGGCCCTCCACTAAAATACAACTACAGTTTTAATAAATTACTAAAATAGAGAATAGAAGTAGTATGTAAGTTGGGATAGGGTGATCTGAATTAAGTGTTTTAACATTCATGAACTGTTCAGGACAAAAGCTGTAAGATATTGGTTAACCTCAACATTGTTAAATTAAGTGTGCACTGTAGTATCAAAGATACTCATAAGAATGGAGAGAGTAATTTTCTAAATAGTGGAGGGAAAATAGGAATTAATTTTTTTCAAAAGTGGGACTTAGGTTGTCTAAAGAAAGGCCAAAAAAAGCATAAAAAGATGAAAAAATAGAACTACGAAGAACACAGCCCAAATATATGAATAAAATAGAATAAATAGTAACTACCATTTAAGATAGAGATTGTCAGAATGGGTAAAAAAAAAAGTAAATTATAACAAAGTATATACAACAGATATACAAAAATAGTGATTTTTTTTTTTTTTTTTTTGAGATGGAATCTCACTCAGTCGCCCAGGCTGGAGTGCAATGGCATCATGTTGGCTCACTGCAACCTCCACCTCCTGGGTTCAGGTAATTCTCCTGCCCCAGCCTCCCAAGTAGGTGGGATTACAGGTGCCTGCCACCATGCCCGGCTAATTTTTTTTTTTTTTAGTAGAGACTGGGTTTCACTATATTGGTCAGGTTGGTCTTGAACTCCTGACCTCGTGATCCACTCACCTCGGCCTCCCAAAGTGCTGGGATTACAGGCATGAGCCACCGGGCCCGGCCAGGATAGGGAAAATTTTTAAAAAGTGAGGATATACCAGGAAAATACTGTACAAAGAAAGCTAAAGGAATTATTTTAATATTGAATAAAAAATGTTTTAAGCCAGAGCATTATGAGAAGGCCTCTACATAATTAAAAGTTTAATCTACCAGGAATATATAACATGTCTAAATTTCTATATGCTTCTGGCTTTGTAATAAAAATCAGTAGAATTACAGGAAAAATTGATAAATTCATCACTTCAGTGAGCAATTTAAATGCACCTCTCCTAGTTTTTGATAGATCAAGCAGATAAAAAAAGGATAAATATTTATACAATAAATTAAAAGAATATAGAAAGGAGATAATTGGAGAAAGTAATGATAAAATATATATAATATGTTTAACAAAGTAAGTAAGCTGGTTCTTTGAAAAGACTACAAAAACTTCTGGCAATATTGATGATGAAATGGAAATATAGAAATACACTAAGTAATAAGCTATGGAAATGGTAAATATGTTGATAAGTATAAATCAATAATGATTGTATAAAGTAAATATGTCTTATGAGATATATGTCAGCAATAACACATAAGATGAAGAGAGTGGATGGAGTTAAAACATTTGAAGGTTCTGGCATTATTGAAAAAGTGGAAAAGGGCTATTTTGTTTTTTAGACAGTAATAATAAAAAATATATGTTATGATTTCTAGAGTAACCACCAAAACAATAGTAAGCAAATGTATAACTGACGAGTTAATAGAGGGAAAATAATGTACTAAAAAATTATGCAAATGAAGCTAAGAGAAAAAGGAATATAAAACAAGTGAGTCAAATAGATAACAAATAGTAAAATGGTAACTAAAACTCAAATATATAAATAGTAACATTAAATGTAAATAGATTAAATACTTCAATTAAAGATCAAGTTAACATTTTATATGCACACAAATAGAGTCATGTGGCACACAACGTTTTCATCAGTGACAAACCACATATACAACAGTGGTCCTGTAGGATTGTAATGGAGCTGAAAAATTCCTACAGCCTACTGATGTCATAGCAATGCATTACTCATGTTCATGATGATGCTGCTGGAAACCTACTGTGCTGCTAGTCATGGAAAATTCTAGCACATATAATTATGTACAGTATATAATACTTGATAAGAAATGACTGTCATGGGCTTATGTACTTATATTTTCATTATTATTTTAGAGTGTACTCTTACTTATTTAAGAAATAAAACAGTTAACTAGAAGACAGCCTCAGGAAGATCCTTCAGGAAGGATTCCAGAAGAAGGCATTGTTATTATAGAAGATGACAGCTCCACTGGGGTTATTGCCCCTGAAAGATGTTCCAGTGGGACAAAATGTAGAGGTGGAAGACAGTGATACTGATGATCCTGACCCTGAGTAGGCCGAGGCTAAGCTATGTTTGTGTCTTGGTTTAAAACAAAGAAGTTTAAAAAGTAAAACAATAAAAATTGAAAAAATTGAAAAAAGCTTAAAGAATAAGGAAAAAAAATATTTTGGTACAGCTGTACAGTGTGTTTGTGTTTTAGCTAAGTGTTAGTATAAAAGAGTCAAAAAGTTAAAAAAGCTAAAAGTTTATAAAGCAAAAAAGTTACACCATGCTTAGGTTAATTTATTATTGAAGAAAGAAAAAATTTGTAAAAATTTCGTGTAGCCTAAGTATACAGTGTTGATGAAGTCTACAGTTGTGTACAGTAATGTCCTAGACCTTCACATTCACTCACCAGTCACTCACTGACTCACCTGGAGCAACTTCCAGTCCTGCAAGCTCCATTCATGGTAAGTGCCCTATACAGGTGGACCATTTTTTATCTTTCACATTGTATTTTTACTGTACCTTTTCTATGTTTAGATATGCTTAGATAGACAAATACTTACCAGTGTGTTACAATCACCTGCTGTATTCAGTACAGTAAAATGCTATAGAGGTTTGTAGCGTAGGAGCAATAGGCTATACCATATAGCCTAGGTGTGAAGTAGGCTATAGCATCTGTGTTTGTGTACATACACTCTATGATCACACAATGACGAAATCATCTAATGACACACTTCTCATAACATATCCCATTGTTAAGCGATGCATGACTGTGTAGGCACACACACACGAGACATACCTCAAAGAATACACACAAGAAGGCCAAACATAAAAGGCACTCCTTAAAATGAATTGTCCCTGGAGAATGGATGTAGCCAAGAGGCATTAAAGGAATAAGAAACATCATCTTTACCACAGTGCTGGAGGCAGAGAGAACACACTATGGTAAAACTGCCTGAGCCTAAGAAGAAGAACAAATCTGGGGGAAAGGAATGGAATTTTGTATGGGGAGAGTGCAGAACGAACAAGGAACCGCTGCTTTTGCTCAGTTTGTGATCCCTTCTGGTCAGTTACACTCAGTTCTGGAGTGTAGGCTGATTATTGCATGCTGGTTGCTTAATGTAGCTTATTGAGTCATCACAGGTATCTTTTTCTTACTTCACAGATTAAGAAACCAAGGCTCAAAGGAGAAAAGTAACATATTCAAGCCTCCCAGTCATTCACAGAATGAGTTCAAAGTCACAACTTTTTGACCCTAAAGCCAATTGTATTCACATTAGCAGACTGTTGAGAAGAGAACTGAGGAGAAGGGAGGCAGAATGCCAGAGTCAGAAGAAAGGGAGTAAAAGAAGGCTGATGGGGCCGGTGCCTGTAATCCCTGCACTTTGGGAGGCCGAGGCAGGTGGATTACCTGAGGTCAGGAGTTCAAGACTAGCCTGGCCAACATGATGAAACCCCATCTCTACTAAAAATACAAAAAATTAGCTGAGTGTGGTGGTGCATGTCTGTAATCCCAGCTACTCAGGATTCTCCTGCCGGAGAATCGCTTGAACCCCGGGGGTGGAGGTTGCAGTGAGCTGAGATCGCGCCACTGCACTCCAGCCTGGGCAACAAGAGCGAAACTCCGTCTCAAAAAAAAAAAAAAAGAAGCCTGTTGGTATTTGTATTATTCAAATACTGCTACACAATAACACAGAATGTTGGTGGTTTACAATAATAAGCATTTATTGGACGTATGCAGTTTGCAGATTAGCTAGAGTTTCAGAAACTGATCTTGGCTGGGTTGGACTGGGTGGCTTTGCTTCTCCCTGATGGTCTGTGGGTCAGCTGGGGTAGTTGTGCTCTACACATCTCCCATTCTCCTCCTGGGCTTAGTGAGGTGAGCCACATATGTTACTCTCATGGTGATCAAAAGGTAAAGAAAGAAAACCCAACCACCAAGTGCATGTCAAGCCTCATGCCTCCAGTCCACTAACATCCATTAGTAAAAGCAACGTGGCAGAGCCCAAAGTCAAAGCGTGAGAATTTTCACCAATTCCCTTAGTGGGAGGGACTGATGAATTATATGGCAAAGGGTTTGAGTATTAGGAGGGGTCAAGAATGGGAGTCAAAAATTCACTCTACCAGTCCCCAAGCAGGATTCACAGTTCATTCTTTCAGCATTTTACATTCAGGTTGACTCGGAAGATGCTCGTTTTTATAAGTCTTCTAAGATTAGTCATCCTGTCTATACAAGAAACATAAAACATGTTTGTTTCTCCTTTCTCCTGCAAGCTGATAATAGAGAATAGGATCAAGCACTTTCTTAGCAATGATCAACTGGGTGATTACAATGTCCTATGTAACTTTATGGAAAAATCAAGAGCACCCTTGATTGCTTATAGATTTATTCCTCTGAAAGCGTTTCATTTATGCACTCATTCAACAAATAGCTTTTGAGTGTCTTCTGTGTACTGGGAACTATAATGGGCTTGAATGAACGAGAAGCTAGGGGATGAGGTGGAGGATGCAAAGATGAATAAATCACAACATGCACAGAGGGCTGTGGGGATCTGGGTGACAAGTGACATTATTATTCAATTTGGAAACATAGGAAAAAGAAAAATGCATAAAAGAAAGATATTGAGCTCAGTTTTGGTTATATAGAATGTAAGGCAATGCTAGAATATCCAGTAAGTAGAAGTAGCTCTGTTGTGAGAAAAAATCTGGAAAGAAGATACAGATTTGGGAGCAATATGCAGTATAGGTGACAGTTCAGAGAATGGGTGTGGAAGGGAACATTTTAAAGAAGGAAGTTGAATAGATTGAAAAGAAAATTGCTAGGGACAGAAAAACATTTAAGGAACCATTGACGGAGGCAGAGCGGTACCCACCAAAGAACATTGAAGAACAACAGAGAGTAAAGGGGAATCAGAGAGAAATGTTGAAAAAAGTCCAAGAATTTTTTTTAACAAAATGGAAAGGAGGAACTGGTTAGTGTTATCAAATGCCGTAAAACGGCCAAGTTAAATAAAAACCTGAAAGAGAGTATTTGATTAAATAATTCAATTATATAAAGTGAGACAAAACTTAAATGAGCAAGTAAAAGTAGAGAAATTGGGCATAGAGAATGCTTTTGTAAGAATCTTGGGAAGGGCCAGGCGTGGTGGCTCACACCTGATATCCCAGCACTTTCAGGTGCCGAGGTGGGCGGATCACCTGAGGTCAGGAGGTTGAGACCAGCCTGGAAAATATGGTGAAGCCCCGTCTCTACTAAAAGTACAAAAATTAGCCGGGCCTGGTGGTGCACACCTGTAATCCCAGCTACTGGAGAGGCTGAGGCAGGAGAATCGCTTGAACTTGGGAGGCAGAGTTTGCAGTGAGCCGAGATCACACCATTGCACTCCAGCCTGGGTGACAGAGCGAGACTGTGTCTCAAAAAAAAAAAAAAAAAAAAAGCTTGGGAAGGAAAAGGAGTGTGGCAGGGCAGTTTGGGGAAATGCAGTGTCAAGAATGGATGGTTTTTCTCAGGCTAAGGGACACTTGAAGCTTTAGGGGAGTCAAACTAACATTTATTGAGCACCTGCTATTTTCCGGACACTGTGCTAGGAGGTGTATTTATACATATTGCCAAATTATATAAGCTGAGGAGAAGGAACAAGGGGAGACTGAAACACTGAAAAAGGCAGAGGAGATAATTGAGGAAGGAAATCTTTAAGAGGATACGATCAAAAGCACAGGTGAAGGGATTAGCATTGAAAAATATTTCATTCTGGGACAAAAGAAAAAGATGTTCAGGTGAACACAAAATGTGTTCAGCTCATAGAAGGGGGAAGGAAGGAAAATTAAGGCAATCTGTGACTGATGGTTTCTCTTTTTTTCTCCTGTGGTAAATGCTGTGGTCATCATCTGAAAATGAGGGATGTGGAATAAAGAAATGGGCTCAGGAAGAGAAGAGTTGGACTTAGGAATTGAGAGAAGGGGTTGGTTAATAATAACTAGGGAGGACTTCTGGGAGGATTTGAGGGTTCAACTAAAGTGTTATTAGGGAAGGTAGAATGGTCGGCTTTAACTGTGCAGCAAGCTTGAGATTGACTAGACACAACATCTGGCTCAATGGCCCTTCTCAAACCTCCTACAACCACTTTAACCCCTTGTGGCTTTGACTTAAGCTCTAATTTATTTTGTTAGGCTGGATTGTGTTAAGCTGATTAATAAAGTGAACTGACAACACCCTCACATCCCCTTAGATATTCATGTTTATTTCCTGGTAGGTTTTTGTTTTGTGTTTCTTGTTTTTGAAGAGTGGGTTGGGAGTTTCAACTAGTCAACTTTTTTATTTTTTGAGAGGACATGGTGGAGGAGTAATCATTTTCTGTGATCAGAACTATCATAAAGAGTACAGCGAAAGTTCAATCTAAATAAAAATACTGCTCCATCCATTATTCTCATATGAGAAGACTGTTACATGAACAGGGAAAATGATTGCACGTAATTGCTAAGCATAGGAAGCTTTGTTGCTAAACTGACCAACAAAAAGTTACAAATAATTATTGCTCTATATAAATACTTACTGCAGTGAATTTTCTTAATAAAAATCTGCCTGTAGTTTAATAGGGGGCATACCAACTAGAAGGCCCCAGAGTCAAGGAATTGTAGACTGTTAAGAGAGGCAAAAATGTATAGAGCACACCTAATGCAATCATTCAGAACATACAGTTCCTGTACTGAGGGATGAGTTTCTTCGTTTTTCTTTCATGCATCCAGAAAGTATGTAATAAACACCTATTGTTGGAGGTGTTAGGGAAGTAGCAGTAAACAAAAGAGACAAATATCCCCACACTCATGGAGCTTATAGTATGGTGAGGAAAGACAGTCAACAAAATAAAGCATTATTTAAATTATATCACATATTAAAAGGAAAAAAAACTGCCAAGAAGAAAAATTAATCAAGGAAAGTGGAGAGGAAGTTCCACGGATGGGTGAGGGGATAATCCAGGAAGGCTTCACTGGGAAGGTGACATTTAAACAAAGATGTGAAAGAGTTGGAGGAGCAATTTAAACAGCTATTCATGAAAAAGCATTCCAGAGAGTGAATAGCTAGTGTAAAGTCCCTGAGACAGAAGTGTGCTTGGTGAGCCTAGAACCCGGAGAGAGAGGGGAGAGCAATAGGAGATGCTCTTAGAGGGGCAATGAGGAGCCAGATACATGGGCTTGGAACAATTGTGTCTTTGATTCTGATTAAGATGGGGAGCCACTAGAGGGTATTGTTCAAAGAACTCACATATCATCTCACAACTATAAATATGCTGATAGCTGAGAATAGATTCTTGGCAGTTCAGGAAGAGACCACTAAGACACCACTTGGCAGGCTAACACAGTAATCCAAGCGAAACACATGCACAGTCTGGATAAGGAGCAGAGCAGTGGAAATGATGAGAAAAGGTAGAGTTCAAATCATATAATTAAAATAGAATTAACAAGATTTGCTAGTAAATGTGAGATTTGTTGGGGGGTGGGGAAGATGAGTTAAAGAGAATTGTATGATTTTGGACTGAGTAAATGGGCAAAGGTGGACGCCATTGATTAAGATGGAAAGATAGTAGGTGGAATACATCTCTTTAGCATCATCGGGAGTGTAGTTTGGACATGGGATGTTTGAGATGTCTATTTGACATTCTAGTGGAGATGTTATGTAAATAGCTAGCTATAAGAGTCTGCGAGAAAACTGAAACTGGACCCCTTCCTTGCACCTTGTACAAAAATTAAGTCAAGTTGGATTAAAGACTTAAACATAAGACCTAACACCATAAAAACCCTAGAAGAAAACCTAGGCATTACCATTCAGGACATAGGCATGGGCAAAGACTTCATGACTAAAACACCAAAAGCAATGGCAACAAAAGCCAAAATTGACAAATGGGATCTAATTAAACTAAAGAGCTTCTGCACAGCAAAAGAAACTATCATCAGAGTGAACAGACAACCTACAGAATGGGAGAAAATTTTTGCAATCTATCCATCTGACAAAGGGCTAATATCCAGAATCTACAAGGAACATAAGCACATTTACAAGAAAAAAACAACCCCATCAAAAAGTGGGCGATGGATATGAACAGACACTTGTCAAAAGAAGACATTTTATGTGGTCAACAAACATATGAAAAACAGCTCATCATCACTGGTCATTAGAGAAATGCAAGTCAAAACCACAATGAGATACCATCTCACACCAGTTGGAATGGCGATCATTAAAAAGTCAGGAAAAAACAGATGCTGGAGAGGATGTGGAGAAATAGGAACACTTTTACACTGTTAGTGCAAGTGTAAACTAGTTCAACCATTGTGGAAGACAGGGCGGCGATTCCTCAAGAATCTAAAACCAGAAATACCATTTGACCCAGCCATCCCATTACTGGGTATATACCCAAAGCATTATAAATCATTCTGCTATAAAGAGACATGCACATGTATGTTTATTGCAGCACTATTCACGATAGCAAGGACTCGTAACCAACCCAAATGCCCATTAATGATAGACTGGATAAAGAAAGTGTGGCACATATACACCATGGAATACTATGCAGCCATAAAAAAGGATGAGTTCATGTCCTTTGCAGGGACATGGATGAAGCTTGTAACTATCATTCTCAGCAAACTAACAGGGACAGAAAACCAAACACTGCATATTCTCACTCATAAGTGGGAGTTGAACAGTGAGATCACATGGGCACAGGGAGGGGAAGATCAGACCCTGGGGCCTGTCAGGGGGTCGGGGGCAAGTGGAGGGAGGGCATTAGGAGAAATACCTAATGCAGATGACAGGTTGATGGGTGCAGCAAACCACTATGGCACGTGTATACCTATGTAACAAACCTGCACTTTCTGCACATGTATCCCAGAACTTAAAGTCTAATAAAAAAATTAAAAGAGTCTGAGAGTAGGATTATAATATCTGCCCATTCATTAAACATTCATTGTGTACTTACTAAGAGCTCTGCTTCCAGGGAATTCATGAACTGGTGGGAAAGACTGGTCTCTAATGTATGAGATGTGCTACAGTAGATATATTAGAGAGCATATAAAAGGGATGGTCAAGGCCAGGCACAGTGCCCCATGTCTGTAATCCCAACACTTTGGGAGGCTGAAACAGGTGGATTGCTTGAGCTCAGGAGTTCAAGACCAGCCTGGCCAAGATGGCAAAACCCTGTCTCTACCAAAAATACAAAAATTAGACAGGTGTGGTGTCACATGCCTGTAGTCCAAGCTACTGATGAGGCTGAGATGCAAGGATTTCTTGAACCTGGGAGGAGGTTGCGGTGAGCCAAGATCAGGCCACAGTGGCACTTCAGCCTCGGTGACAGAGTGAGAACTTGAAAAAAAAAAAAAAGAAACAAAAAAAGGAAGGAAGAAAGAAAGAAAGAGAAAGAAGAAAGAAAAAGAAAGAAAGAAGGAAAGAAAGAGAAAGAAAGAGAAGGAAGGAAGGAAGGAAAAAGAAAGAAAGAAAGAAGGAAAGAAAGAAAGAAAGAAAGAAAGAAAGAAAGAAAGAAAGAAAGAAAGAAGGAAGGAAAGAAAGAAAGAAAGAAAAAGATTGGTCAACTTTGCCTAAAGAGATGATTCAAGTAACAACAGAGGCAGAACAGGTAGTGGTTAAGAGCACAGGCTCTGGATTAATAAACCTACGGACCAGGATTTGAATCCTACCTTCATCACTTACTAGCTGTATGACCTTGGGCATGTGAGTTCATCTTACTTCATATCTCTAAGGCCTCTCATAAGTAAAACTGAGATATTAATAGATCTCTTAGAAGCCAACATTTTTTATTAATTGTAACCAAAACCTGAACTCAGCTGCCCTGGTTCTGGCAAAATAAGCCAAATCACCAAAGTCAGGACTTGCAGTTTAAAGAATTACCACTAGAGGTCGACTCCCAGTGCTGGAAGCTCGCTCAGTCCACAGGGACTCTAACTCTGCAAAACGGTGGAAATAGGGAAATGTCTGGAATTATAAATTTTTGAAAGCTTTTTACTGCTAACCAGTGAGGTTTTTGGACCCAAACTCCTCATAGGCAATTAAGCTGTGAGGCAATGTATACAACTTGCGGCACTCTGACATGAGCAATCTAAACAAGTAAGTAAAAGTGATCAGAATGCCTGAGGTGCTGAAAAACACAACACCATGCTCAATTTCTTGACCTTTTGTTGTTGTTGTTTTACTTGAGATGGAGTCTCGTTCCGTCATCTGGGCTGGAGTGCAGCGGTATGATCACGGCTCACTGCAACCTCCATGTCCTGGGTTCAAGCCATCCTCCCACCTTAACCTCCTGAATAGCTGGGACTACAGGCATGTGCCACCACACTTAGCTAATTTTTTGTATTATTTGTAGAGACAGGGTTTCATCATGTTGCCCAGGCTGGTCTCAAACTCATGGGCTCAAATGATCTGCCTGCCTTGGCCTCCCAAAGTGCTGGAATTACAGGCATGAGCCACCACGCCTGGCCAACCTGTCTTCTTATTACACCAAAATCCCATTCATCCTTTCTAGAAGTGAATATAAGTTGGAATGGGCAGGGGGAAGGGATTAGTGCCCTCACTAAAGCCAGTACCCCAGCATCTGTTCTTCTTCCTGAAAGTGACTGGCCACCATTGACCTAAATCAGAAACCTATGATTTGTCCCAGATTTTTCTTTTTCCCTTGCTCTTCATATCTATCAGTGATACTAATTCTAAACTAACCTTAACGAACTGCATCTGTGCCCCTCTCTCATCTCTCCTCCCTCACTTTCAGTGCATTGACTGAGGCTACACCATGTGAATTATTACCATGGCATGCTAACAGAATTATTGCTTCCAATGGTACCATGCCATAATTCATCCTTCATATGGTTGCCAATAAATTTTTAAAATATTTATTTGTATCTGCTACTTCTCAGGTTAAAAGCTTCCCAGCATGTTGAAGATGGAATGCAAACAGCTCTGCATGCATGCCCTTTGCTCATGCAGCTCCTATTGTCCATCCCCCACTCTTACCCACTCTTGCTGGATAATTCCTTTTTATTCTTAAGACTTCATCCAAGAAGCAAGCTCTCATATTTCCTTCATATACTTCTGTCATAGCCCTTTACATATGTTAATCATCTGTTACCTTTTCTCTTGGAAGGCAAACACTGTCTTTCATTGTTTTTTGCCAACATCTAGCAGAATTTTTGGTTTATATTAGGAAATAAATAAATGTTTGTTGCATTGTAATGTCAGAAGAAGTCTAGGAGAATGTGTAAAAGTCGGGTGATGGCTTGGTGCGGTGGCTCACGCCTGTAATCCCAGCACTTTGGGAGGCCGAGGCTGGCGGATCACAAGGTCAGGAGATCGAGACCATCCTGGCCAACATGGTGAAACCCCATCTTTACTAAAAATACAAAAATTAGTTGGGCGTGTTGGCACGTGCCTGTTAATCCCAGCTACTTGGGAGGCTGAGGCAGGAAAATCACTTGAACCAGGGAGGCGGAGGTTGCAGTGAGCCCAGATGGCACCACTGCACTCTGGCCTGGTGCCAGAGCAAGACCATCTCAAAAAAAAAAAAAAAAAAAAAACTTGGGTGATGAGGTCATAGACACTTTTTGTGAACTGCTGTGAAGAAATTCAAGAATACATCTGCTCACAAGAAGCATCAGAGGAGGCCAGGCGCAGTGGCTCACCCAAGTAATCCCAGCACTTTGGGAGGCCAAGGCGGGAGGATCGTTTGAGCCCAGGAGTTCCAGACCAGCCTGGACAACATAATGGGACCCCCGTCTCTACAAAATAATTTTTCAAATTAGCTGGATGTGGTGGCACACAGCTGTGGCTCCAGCTACTGAGGAGGCTGAGGTAGGAGGATTGCCTGAACCTGGGAGGCTGAGGTAGGAGGATTGCCTGAACCTGGGAGGCTGAGGTAGGAGGATTGCCTGAACCTGGGAGGCTGAGGTAGGAGGATTGCCTGAACCTGGGAGGCTGAGGTAGGAGGATTGCCTGAACCTGGGAGGCTGAGGTAGGAGGATTGCCTGAACCTGGGAGGCTGAGGTAGGAGGATTGCCTGAACCTGGGAGGCTGAGGTAGGAGGATTGCCTGAATCTGGGAGGCTGAGGTAGGAGGATTGCCTGAACCTGGGAGGCTGAGGCTGCAACGAGCTATGATAGTGTCACTGCACCCCAGCATGGGTGGTAGAGACCCTGTCTCAAAAAAAAAAAAAAAAAGTATAAGAGGAAAGGTGCAGTATCATATCTCCCAGTGCTTAAAATATTGCCAGCCTAAGACACCTACTACTGGCCTTTATCAGAAGCGTATTGCCACCCCAGCCTATGTCCTCCAACAGTGTGACAGTGACTGGGAGGTCACGCCCATGTGAGCTCTAGCCTGTAACCTGGACAGAGACTTTACCCATGGGCACTACAATGTTTCTAAACCTGATCAAGCCAGGCACGGTGGCTCACACCTATAATCCAAGCACTTTGAGAGGCTGCGGTGGGAGGATCGCTTGAGCTCAGGAGTTCCAGGCCAGTCTAGGCAACATGGTGGGGACCCCATATCTACAAAATAATGTTGTTTTAATTAGCTGGGCATGGTGGCACATGCCTGTAGTCCTAGCTACTGAGGAAGCTGAGGTAGGAGGATTGCTTGAGCCTGGGGTTGAGGCTGCAGTAAGTTGTGATCACACCACTGCACTCCAGCCTGGGTGACAGAGCAAGACCCCGTCTCAAAAAACAAACAAATAAACCTGATCAATCCATTGTTACCATTTGTCTTGGTGGTGGATTGAGGAGCAGTGAGTAGAGGGAAGAAAGAGTTGAGAAGAGCAGTGAAGTTCGCCACCTCCTCCCCACCTCAGTACACTTTATGGAAAAGTATTTTCAACTAGGGCCATCTTGTTCTATGTGTAACCCTAATAGAAGCTGGGGTCTCACATGGCCTACCGTCTACAGCAGCTTATACTCAAAGGAAAATATACCAAAGTTCCAAATCCTTGAAAAATTATATATATATTTTTACTATAGGTTTTCTTAGAGCAGTCACACTTTAGGACACACACGTTTGGGTTTATAGTACCTGTGACAATGCCTGGTACAGAATAAATGCTCAATAATATATGTTGAATGATGAATGAGTGAGTGAACGAATGAACGAACAAACACCTATTTTAAGGCATTTATTATAATACTCCAGGCTGATTTTTTTGTTTCTTCCTTACTAGCCTATGAGCACCTTATATCTCTTGAATAAACTTCAGGACTAGAATATAGTAAGTACTTATTGTTTCATCTATGAATACAGCACCCAACTCTTGAAAATGTAAACAATTACTAAAGAATTTAGTTTAGTGAATTGTTTAGTAATTGTTTAGTAAAGAATTTAGTCATTGTGGAACTTTTTCTGTTCCACAAGTTTGCACTTTAAATTGAGTTTTTAAAAATGAAAGTACATATAGAAAATATTTTTAAAATCAAGTATGCAGAGGCAATTTGCAATATATACATATTTTTTAAATCGTACATAAGAGAAAGCTCACATGGAAAACAATGAATTATCCAGCCAGCTGGCTTTGCATCCTCCACATCTCATTCCCTGCAGACACCAGATGGCGACATTTTGCCATGATCTGCTGAGTCCTAGACGTTTGACAATGTATTCAACGAATGTATAACATGAGTCTTACGTTAGGCACTAAGAATTCGTAAATGAGTGACGCACAGACCTTGCATATCAAAGGGCTTATCATCTATTTGGAGAGTAGATAGATATACGGATAACTTAAAAGCACAATTAGTATGATACAAAATAATAGCTAACATTTTTGAGGTGCAAGGGACCTGAATAGGCACTTCACAAGTGAGGATATCGAAATGGACAAAAAGCGCAGGAAAAAGTAATCAACATTTTTAGTCATCAGGAACATGCAAATTGAAAGCTCAATGAGATACTACCCTATTGCCACTAGAATGACTAAATGAAAAGAATTCAGAAAACCCAGTGATGGTGAAGCAGCTGAGCAACTGGAAACCTTTCACACTGCTGGGAGGAATGTAAACTGTTACAAGCACTTGCACTGCTTGTACTACCAAGAACTGCTTGGTAGGATCTACTAAAGTTAACCTTACAAATACTCTATGCCCTAGCAATTTCACTGCTGGGTGTATATCAACGGAAATGAGTGCTTACATAAACCAAAGACATGGGTAAGTAGCTCATAGAAAATTATTTTTTTAACAGCAAAAAAAGGAAGCAACTCAAATGTCCATAAATAGTACAGTATATAAATAAATTGTGGTATGCAATAAGTGGAATGTTATACAGCAATGAAGACCAAAATGTTATTGCTACTTGCAGCAACATGAATGAATCTCACTAAAAATATAATATTGATTGAGAGAAGCCAGACTCTAAAGATCACATAATGTATGATTATATTCATGTGAAGTGGCCAGGTGTGGTGGCTCACACCTGAAATGCCAGCACTTTGGGAGGCCAAGGTGGGCGGATCACTTAACATCAGGAGTTCAAGACCAGCCTGGCCAACGTGGCAAAACCCTGTCTACTAAAAATACAAAAATGAGCTGGGTATGGTGGCACAGGCCTATGGTCCCAGCTACTCAGGAGGCTGAGGCATGAGAATCACTTGAACTTGGGAGGTGGTGGTTGCAGTGAGCCAAGGTCGTACCACTGCACTCCAGCCTGGGTGACTGAGACTCTGTTTCAAAAATTAGATAGATAGATAGATAGATAGATAGATAGATAGATAGATAGATATGATAGATATAGATGATAGGTATAGATGATAGATAGATATAGATGATAGAGATAGATATAGATGATAGAGATAGATAGATAGATACACACATACATACATACATACATAGATGAAGTTTGAGAACAGGAAAAACTAATCTATGGTGATAAAGGTCAGAATATTGGTTACTTTGGTGGGAGTTGGATATTTACTGAAAGGGAGTAGAAGTGAGCCTTCTGTTGTGCTAGAAATGTTCTGTATCTTGTTCTAGGGGTTGTCACAGAGGTATATACAGATGTAAAGATCTATTGAGGTGTATACAATTTGGACACTTCACCACATATAAATTATTTCAACAAACAAGTAAATAAAAAGAAAGCAATAGCTTAACATCACTGAATATTTTTTAGAGGCAAGGCATTTTATCTACATATAAATTATCTCACTTAGTCATTACAATAACTCTGTGAGGGATGCTCAGTTACTAACTCCAGTTTACAAACTGGGAAGCTGATGTTTAGGGTGCTAAGTACCGTGTCCAGGTGTCCATCATATGCATACGGCCGAGGAAGAAGACAGGTCAGTGTGGTTCCAAAGCCCCAGCAATAGTCCATTATTCAGATGTTTTCCCATTTTCACAAGGCCCAGTGGGAGTGATGAATTCTGGCTTATGGGAAAGTTGATTAACAAGGACTTCAAAGAAGAAGATGATTCATTTATACCAAACAATAAACTGAAATGTTTTGTTTCCTTGCTTCCTACTAGAACTATAGAATCCTGGATTTGGAAGGGGATGTGGCAATTGTCTGGTCTATCCAATCTCTTCATTTTCTATGTGAAGGAATTAAAGCTTAGAGTGGTGACAACACTCATTTAATGTTAGCAAAGGCCAGGGCTAAGGTCAATTGGAAAACAGCTGATTTTAACCAGAGAGGTTACAAAATTTGAGGCCACTCAGAAGTAAGTGGCAGAGCCAGCAACTGAATTCAGGCCACTGTGTGGTAGAGTCCTGACTCCTAGCCCAGTGTCCCATCCACCACCCCAGCTTGCCTCTAAAATACACTGAAAAGTCAGTCAATTAGAAGGGATTGGCATGATCTTGGTCGACTGGGGTGGGAGAGGTGGGCATGTGGAGACAGGAAAAGATACATTCAACACACACCACAAGCCAACAGCTCAAGGGTAGCAGGGAAAGGAACAGAGGTCTAAGAAAAGCAAATTCAAAGGGAAGGGATTTTGGCAGCAAATATTAGGACCATGTCCTGGCCAAGATAGAGTAGGCTCTCTGCCTGTGTAGATGGCTCTAGGGAGTGGAGGGAGCACTGATTTTGAACCCATACTCACCCAGAATGAACTTCAAGAGGTCCCTTGACTTTAGTGAGCTTAGGAAATTCAACACAACAGTTATTTTAAAAATCAGAGAATATACTGCTGTTCGAATAGGATAAGTGGATATGAAAAAAGTAACTGAAAAGCAGTAATTTTAAGAAACTATCGGCCAGGCACAGTGGCCCACACCTGTAATCCCAGCACTTTGGGAGGCCGAGGCAGGAGGATTGCTTGAGCCCAGGAGTTTGAGACCAGCCTGGGTAACATGGCAAGACCTTGTCTCAAAATAAATAAATAAATTTAGATAAATAAATTATTTTTTTAAAAAAGCAAAAAAAATTACTTCTTATGAAAATTGTACCCTCAAATACATAAAAAGGCCTTAAACTCCAGGCTACAGGAACTCCAAGAAAGGATGGTGTCGGTGGGTTGGCAGGTGGGGATTCAGACAGGGAGACTAGTCTGCTTGCCCTGTTGAATCAGGCCAAATCCAAATGCAAACAAATCACACAAATAATTGGTTATTGCCAGCCAATGAAAGACAACTTTGAGTAGAAAGAAACCAGCACTGGAAAACCATCTAATTTCAGCCAAGGAATCATTTCAAGACTTGAATTTAGACTTGAAAGAAGAAAAGCACAGTTTCAGCAAAGCTCAATTAATGTATAAAAAATCCAACTTGGATTGAATTGTAGGCCTGTCTCAGCACTAAGGTAAGATGCTTATCTGGCCAAGGCGCCACAGCCCAGAGACAACAGCTTATGCCAGCTCCTCCCCCTCTTTCCACTCTTTCTACCAGCCCCTCCCTCTCCTCCAACAGAAGTTCCTGGTTTTTCCCACACCTTTTGTGATTCTTGTCCACTTCTCAATGTCCCATTTCATTTACGAGTGGCCTAATATACCGATGGCCTTTGTCTTGGTACAGGTGTCTTTGCTGAATCTTTTCCTGCATTGTATTCTTTTACTATGGCAGCTATGACAAATTTGGTGGCTTAAAACAGAAATTTATTATTTCTTAGTTCTAGGAACCAGAAGTCCAAAACCCATTTCACTGGGTTGGAATCCAGGTGTTGGCACGGCTGCCCTCATTCTAGGGCAAGCTTGTCCAAACTGTGGCCCTTGGGCCAAATGCAGCCCAGAACATCTTTGAATGCGGCCCAACACAAATTTGTAAACTTTCTTAAAACATAACGAGACTTTTCTGCGATTTTTTTTTAAGCACATCAGCTATCATTAATGTTAGTGTATTTTATGTGTGGCCCAAGACAATTCTTCTTCCAATGTGGCCCAGGGAAGCCAAAAGTTTGGACACCCCTGTTCTAGGGGCTCAAAGGGAGAAGCTGATCCTTGCCTCTTCCAGCTTCTGGTGGCTGCTGGTGTGGCATTCCCCGGCTGTGGCTGCATCGCTCCAAACCCTTCCTTCACCTTTACGTGGCATCCTGCTTCAGGTGTGTGTCATCTCCCTTTTGCCTCTCTTGTATAGAGACACTAAATGGCATCCTGGTCCCATCTGGATAATCCAGAATAATTCCAAAATATTTAATGAGATTTGTTACCATGTAAGGTAAAATTAACTCTTTTTTCAAATGTGACAAGTTCCAGGGGTTAGGACAGAATCTCTTTGGGTAGCCATTATTCAGCCTATTACAGTTTTCAGCCCTTAGAACCAAAAACCTGAGGGTCATCATTAACTGCTGTCTTTCTCACACAACCTACATCCAATCTATCAGCAAATGTTATTGGTTCTATCTTTGTAAAAATCCCGAATCCTGCTACTTCTGTCCACCTGGATCCATCATGAGCCTGAGCCACTCTCACTTTTGGCCTGGACTTTTGCAATGGCCTCCTAATGGATCTCCCTGCTCCTTCCCTGAGCTCCTTACAATCTCCATGGCCACGGAGATAATTTTAAACATAAATCTCATTGTGTCATTTCCCTTTTCAAAATGTTCCAACAGCTTCACATCATATTTAAAATAAAATCCCAGCCAGGCACGGTGGCTCATGTCTGTAATCCCAGAACTTTAGGAGGCTGAGGCAGGAGGATCCCCTGAATCCAGGAATTCAAGACCAGCCCAGGAAACATAGCAAGATCCCGCCTCTACACAAAGGACAAAATTAGCCAGGAGTGGTGGTATGCAGCTGTTGTCCCAGCTACTTGGGAGACTGAGGTGGGAGGTTTGCTTGAGTCCAGGAGAAAAGGCTTCAATGAGCCATAATCATGCCACTGCACTCAGCCTGGGTGACAGTGAGATTTTGTCTCAAAAATAAAAGAAAATCCCAAGCCCTTACATGGTCTGTGTTGCCTCTGCAACTCCATGTTACGTCTGCTTTGCTCCTTGTACTCCAGGTACACTGGCTTCCTACTGCTCATCAGAAGTGCCATGCCCCTTCTTATCTCAGGACCTAGCACTTTCTCCTCCCTCTTTGGGGCCACTCTCCCCCAGAGATTTCCACAGCTTGCTCCTTGACTACGTCTCAGTGTCTGTCATTTCCTCAGGGAGACCTCTCCTGACACCCAGCTTAAAACAGCATTTCTGTCACTCTCTGGCTCCATATAATCATTTTCTTTGAGACACTCAGCACTATCTCACATTATATCATGTATTTATTTGTCTGATTGCTTATCTCCAAATCCCCCCCGACCCTTCAATTAAAACATTAATTTCCTGGGAGCAGGGAACATGCCTCTTTTGTTCACCACTGGATCTCTAGTGCCTAGAACAGTGCCTGACACAGAAAAAGAACACGTTAAATAATTTTTGAATGAATACATGAATGGATGATTGAAAGATTTCAGGGGGTGGATGGCTGGAATGTGAAAGGAAACTCTTAAAAGGGACTGCCCTCCGCTTCCCCACCACAAACCCAAATCATTTTAGTGGTGATTCTTCCAAGCTTGAACAACCCTGCCTGCTGCAGCTGAACGTCAGCCAGAGGCAGCAACTGCAGCCGCCCCCATCTCAGCTTTCCGGCCACCTCCCAGGGGACGTGGGCAGGGAGGCCACGTGGCAGGAAAAGCGACCTAGGAGAGCAGTTAGTAAGGGACTGTGTTTGTGTTATGGCAGCTGCTGGCACATGAAAACTCTATGCGTTAAAAGAAGTACAACCTATTGGGATTCTCTGCAAGTTCTTAGCAGGAAAATCTGCATTCGTTGCCCCACTTGGAGCAGTAGTTGGAAAAGACTGGAGCCACAAGGCCAATGCCATTTGCACCCCTTCCAAGGGCCTCTGTGGCGCATGGGTCCAAACCTAGTGCCTTCTTTCCACTTCAGACACCATTCCCACCACCCCACCAGCCCCTAAAAAGAGCAGTATTTGCCAGTGGCCAATAGAAACCAACATAAAATAGAGAAGCCATGTCACATATTCATGAACAACCTAGATTTTAGAGGCAAGCCTCAATTAGAATTCCCAATGTGGATTGCTGGTGTGTGTACTTGGATGAGTCCTTATCCATAAAATCAAAATAATGTCTATCTCTTACGAATGTTATGAGGAGAGAATGTTCTAGCCCAGCACAGGACCAGCATGGTTATCTTTGGTTGGCCTTTATAAAAGAATGGAGGGCAGGGAGGGAAGCAGTAATGGTCAGCGTGCCAACATTCTGAGACTTGCTTGGCATGGCAGTAAAGCCATAGAACCACAGAATGATGGGGTTCAAAAACACTTGGGAGATTAAAAACAACAATCACCACAATAACAAAAAAAAACTTGCATTTTATTTATTAAAAAAAAAAAAAAAGTGCCTATAATCCCAGTACTTTGGGAGGCCGAGGCAGGCAGATCACCTGAGGTCAGGAGTTAGAGACCAGCCTGGCCAACATGGTGAAACCCCATCTTTACTAAAAATACAAAAATTGGCTGGGTGTGGTGGCAGGCACCTGTAATCCTAGCTACTTGGGAGCCTGAGGCAGGAGAATTGTTTGAACCCGGGAGGCAGAGGTTGCAGTGAGCTCAGATCACGCCATTGCACACTAGGCTGGGCAACAAGGCAAGACTCCATCTCAAAAAAAAAAAAAAAAAAGTAACTGGGCCTAGAAAGATGAACCGATTTGCCCAGAATCATACAGCTAGTTAATGGCAAAGCCAGGGCTAGAACCCAGACCTCAGACCTCTGGCCTTTGGCCCGTACTGTTGCTCCTTGGGGTTTTCAACAGCCTGGTTGATTTGTGAGTCCTCCTGCCTTCACCACTGCCCAGGCCTCAAACCACACAGTTCAGGACCAGCTCTTACAGCAGATGAGATCAGACCCAGCCACAGCCTCACAAGGCCGGCAAGGACTCTGCCCCCAAACCCAGTTCTCTAATTTTTCTTCCTCCATCCATTATAGCCTGTGAGCCTCAGACTCCTTGCTCCCCGCCCCTTCTCAGTAGAACACCTCAGTCACGTGGCCCATTGGCCTGTTGTGAAATAAAACATTTCCTGGAGGTGGAATGCTGAGAAACTGCAATGTCAATCTGAGATCCCTGTGCTCAGGTGGCAACAAAAACACTCAAGGTAGTGGGTTTCCCAGCTTAGGTCTTTGTAGGGCATGTGCCTCAGTCTCTTCATCTATAAAATGGGGATAATAATATGAACTCTTTCATAGGGTTTTCTGAGATTGTGACTTGATACATGTAAAGCATTCATGGAAATATCTGGAACCAAGCAAATCTTCAATATTATCTTATTATTATTATTAGAAAATTAGCCTCCCTCATTCCCCTTGAAAACTGGCACAAGACAAGGATGCCCTCTCTCATCACTCTTATTCAACATACTGTTGGAAGTTCTGGCCAGGGCAATCAGGTAAGAGAAAGAAATAAAGGGTATTCAAATAGGAAGAGAGGAAGTCAGATTCTCTTTGTTTGCAGATGACATGATCCTATGTCTAGTAAACCCCATCGTTTCGGCTCAAAAGCTTCTTAAGCTAATAAGCAACTTTAGTAAAGTTTTGGGATACAAAATCAATGTGCAGAAATCACAAGTATTCCTATACACCAAAAACAGACAAGCAGAAACCCAAATTATGAATTAACTCCCATTCACAATTGCCACTGAGAATAAAATACCTAGGAATACAGCTAAAACGGGAAGTGATGGACCTTTTCAAGGAGAACCACAAACCACTGCACAAGGAAATCAGGGAGGACATAAGCAGATGGAAAAACATTCCATGCTCATAGATAGAAGAATCAATAACGTGAAAATGGCCATACTGCCCAAAGCAATTTATAGATTCAATGCTATTCCCATTAAACTATTATTGACATTCTTCACAGAATTAGAAAAAACTATTTTAAAATTCATATGGAACCAAAAAGCAGCTCACATAATTAAGACAATTCTTAAGCAAAAAGAACAAAGCTGGAGGCATCATGCTAACCAACTTCAAACTATACTACAAGGCCGCAGTAACAAAAACAGCATGGCACTGGTACAAAAACAGGCACATAGGCCAATGGAACAGAGTAGAGAACTCAGAAATAAAACCACACATCTATGATCTTTGACAAACCCAACAAAAACAAGCAATTGGGAAATGCATTCTCTATTTAATAAATGGTGCGGGGAGAATTGGCTAGCCATATGCAGAAAATTGAAACTGGATCCCTTCCTTACACCTTATACAAAAATTAACTCAAGATGGATTAAAGACTTAAATGTAAAACCCAAAACTATAAAAACCCTAGAAGAAAATCTAGGCAATACCATTCAGGACATAGGCATGGGCAAATACTTCATGATGAAATTGCCAAAAGCAATTGCAACAAAAGCTAAAATTGACAAATGGATCTAATTAAGCTAAAGAGCTTCTGCACAGCAAATGAAACTATCATCAGAGTGAACAGGCAACCTACAGAATGGGAGAAAAATTTTGTAATCTATCCATCTGACAAAGGTCTAATATCCACCAATCTACAAGGAACTTAAGCACATTTACAAGAAACAAAACAAGCAACCCCATTAAAAAGTGGACAAAGAATATGAACAGACACTTCTCAAAAAAAGACATACAGCCAATACATGTAGCCACACACCTGGAAGCCTAGCAAATGTTCAACAGTAACAGAGCTTGTAATGGGACACAGACCAAGGGGGTTTAACACCAGAGCTCACACACACCCAACAACTACTCTCTAGTGCGAGGCTTTCTGAATTGAGGACCCTGCCTTCTTACTGTCAATCCGTCCTTCAGTCTTCAAGAACTGGAACTCTGTTCTTGACAGCAAAGCAGAGCCAAGGCTTCTGCTGCCTAATGAGAAGATGCCCTGGTTCTGCCTTTTGTCTTCTTGAGTTCTCAGATATGGCTTACTCCTAGTGTCTCTGTCACTGTATTCTCTCTATCTAAGGAACACCCACCCATCATTCTTGTTGGAGCTCCCTGATGACAAGTGCTTACTGAATAGCTCCCCATAATATGTACTGTCTGTTAATCATATGCCATATTTTGCATATCAGGCAGTACTTCCTCCCTGCAACTTCAGTTAAGTCTTTCCCCTCCTTCCCTTCCCCATTCCGGGGAGGATCCTTGTCTACCCCATCTGTCCTCTCCTGCTGTCTGAAGCAGTTTGTAGCTAGTGTTGCTCATGTATGTGACACTACAAGGAGAGCCCTGGGGATGCAGAGAGCATGATACCCTGTCCCTGCATGCAAAGGACTTGCAATCTCATTGGCAGACAGACTATAGAAAACTAAATGCAAAGTAGTGCACACTGAACGATGATAGAGCAGCACAAATATTTATTATGTGATAAAGGCCTAGCATTAAGGCCTGGCATTAGGGAGAGAATAAAGAATAATGATCAGGATGTAATCTAAACAGTTCCTGCTTATCTTCTGCACCAAGCCCAGTATCCCAGTATTAAAGGGTGCCCCATAGGGGTACAAATTGAGCTTACCAAAAAAATGGCAAAGCAGCTCTGTGGAGTGTCCCCTCAATTTGCAGTTCACTCCGTGTAATAGCAGTTGCAGAATCTTGTTTCTGCCCCTCACTACACGTGATCCTCAGTCTTTTATCCACAAATCAGGAGTCCTGTGACCATAATTTAAGTTCTCCCCAGTGCCTTGCCTGGCTGGGTCATGGTAAGTTGCAACTCAAAAAGCTGCATTTTTTTAAATTTTGTATTAGACCCACACAAGCAAAGCATTTTCAGGTGATTTTTTGCAGCCTCCCTTCTGCTAGCTGAGCCTCATTTATCTGCAGCCATTAAGTCTATCCACAGGCAGGTATCAGACATGACCAGGAAATCAATATGAGCCAGTGAAACAAGATATTTTCTCCCTCCTTTGCTTGTCTAAGCAGGGAAAGCTTCCAGTGAAGATCAGAGTGCAGCCAGCTCCTCTATGCCCTTTTCTCCCTCCATGCATGAGAAATATAGAAATTATTCTTTGCCAAGTATATGGACCAAGGCTAAATTCAAAGATTTTAAAAATACGGTGAAGCCAGAGTGAAAATCTTCACATCTTGGAAGCAATTATGGAATATGTTCTAGAAAAAGATGGGAAAAAAAGATCAGAGATTCATTGGGTAGAGATGTATGAAATGATTAGGATTTGTATTTCTGGACAGGACTACATGTTAACCATTCCCATTTACTTCTAAAAAGTCTCAAAAACCTTTATTTCCAAACCCCATTCCACAGACTTATCTGTACACATTGGGACTTCTTCGCTTAGTCCAGTGTGTTTTCATCTAAGATAACGTATTATTGATGGCAGCCTTTCATCCTGATCACTCTGTTGTTCAGTAAGACTTTGAAATTTAGCAGCTTTATGACTAAACAGCAGACTTCATTTACCATCGCTGGTAGAAGTAAACACTGAATAAGGTTTAAGAAGAAAGCAATGATCAAGGCTTGCTCTGCCATTAAAAAAAAATATCATAGGGCCAGGCGCGGTGGCTCACGCCTGTAATCCCAGCACTTTGGGAGGCCAAGGAGGGCGGATCACAAGGTCAGGAGTTGGAGACCAGCCAGGCCAATATGGTGAAACCCTGGCTCTACTAAAAATACAAAAATTAGCTGGGCGTGGTGGCGTGCACCTGTAGTCCCAGATACTCGGGAGGCTGAAGCAGAAGAATCACTTGAACTCGGGAGTCGGAGGTTGCAGTGAGCCGAGATTGCACCATTGCACTCCAGCCTGGGCGATAGAGTGAGACTCTGTCTCAAAAAAAAAAAATATATATATATATACATATATATATACACACATATATGTATATATATACACATATATATATACATATATGTGTGTGTATATATATGTATATATATATATATATACACACACATACATATATCAGTTTGAGTGGATTAAAAAACCGAAATTTATTTTCTCACTGTTCTGGAGGCTAGAAGTCCAAGATCAAGGTGGGTGGCATGGTGGGTTTCTGGTGAGGGCTTTCTCCTTGGGTTGCAGATGGTTACCTTCTTGCTGTGTGCTAACGTGACCTCTTCTTTCCTTGCAAGCAGGGAGACAGATTGGAAACTGTCTGGTGTCTCTTCTTATGAGGGCGCTAATTCTCCCAGGAGGCTCTACCCTCATGACCTCATAACCTAATTATCACCCACATGCCCCATCTCCAAATACCCTCATATTGGGGGTTAGGGTTTCAACGTATAATTTTGAGGGGACGCAATTCCATCCAATACAGCACTGCACTAGAAGTGCTCTCTGTTCCTGTATAAGCCATCCTGATCAGGGCAGCAGGGCCCATTAGATTCAGGACTGCATATTTCTGAGAGAGCTTCTCCTGTGTTTTCTGCAGGCATCTGTGGTTGGTGCGATGCAGTGTAGTTTCTGTGTTGTGGTATGATCCACACTGACCTTGCTGTCAAAAGACATAGGTTTCAAATGCCTCACATCCATTGGGATGGCTATTACCCAAGAGCAAAAAACAACAAGTGCTGGCAAGGATGTGAAGAAACTGGAACCCTTGTGCCCTACTGGTGGGAATGTAAAATGATGTCACCACTAGGGAAAACAGCATAGCAGTTCCTTGGAAATTAAACATAGACCTATCATATGTTCCACTTTTGTGTATAAATTCAAAGGAATTGAAAGAAAGATCCCAAAGAAATATTTGTACACCCATGTTCGTAGCAACATTATTCACAATAATTAAAAATTGAAAACAACCCAAGTGTCTGTTGAATGATAAATGGATACACCAAATGTGGTATATACATACAGTAGAATATTATTCATCCTTAAAAAGTAAGAAAATCCCATCACATGCTACAACAGGGATGAACCTTGGAGACATCATATTAAGTGAAATAAGCCAGTCCCAAACAGATAAATACTAGATGATTCCACTTACATAAAGTAGTCAAATTCATAAAAGCAGAAAGTAGAAAAATGGTTACTAGGGGGCTGCGAGAAGAGGGAAATGGGGAGTTGTTGTTTAATGTGTACAGAGTTCCAGTTTTCCAAGATGAAAACGTTCTGAAGATTTATTGTACAACAATGTGAATATCGTTAATGCTGCTGAATTCCACACTTAAAAATAGTTAAGGCTGGGTGTAGTGGCTCATGCCTGTAATCCCAGCACTTTAGGAGGCTGAGGCGGGCGGATCACTTAAAGTCAGGAGTTTGAGACCAGCCTGGCCAACATGGTGAAACCCCATCTCTACTAAAAATACAAAAAATAGCCAGGTGTGGTGGCGGGCACCTGTAATCCCAGCTACTCAGGAGGCTGAGGCAGAAGAATTGCTTGTACCCAGGAGGCTGAGGTTGCAGTGAGCTGAGATCACGAGATCGTGCCACTGCACTACATTCTGGGTGACAGAGCGAGACTCCATCACAAAAAAAAAAAAAAAAAAGTTAAGACGGGGGCGTGGTGGTATGTGCCCATAATCCAAGATACTTGGGAGGCTGGGGTAGGAAGATCACTTGAGCCAAGAAGTTCAAGGCCGCAGCGAGCTATGATCCCACTAAACCCCAGCCTAAAAAAAAAAAAAAAAAAAAAAGACGGATGTTATCTTCTTTTTTTCTTTAGCACATCCAAAAAAAGAAACAGACATAAGTTTCAAGCCCAACTTCAAGCAATTGCTATCAACGGGATAGTCATCTGTACTTTGTAAGCTTCAGTTCCTTCATCTGTAAAAGCAGGGATAATAATATCTATCTCTCAGAGTTATAGAGAAATCTAAAAGAGACATGGAGGAGGGAGGGAGAGTAGGTGGGAGGGCTGTGAACAATTTAGTATGATACAGAAGTAGTGTGCTAATACTGTTGCTGTAAATCACTGTGCCACAATTCCAATAATATTAAATGCATTAGTTACCTAGAAGTATATTAATTCTGGCCTCTACAAAAACCCTTATGCAATATGAGCACAGGCGCTGCCTCCCATATCAATCCCAGTTTTGGAGGATGGTGTAAGTTTTAAGTGAAATTTCAAGATTGACAGCATATCATCTAGGTAATAGAAAACAGAGCAATCTCTTTAAGTCTAAAGGCAGTCAACAAGTGTTTGTAAATAATAACCTGGACTGATTACTGATTTCTCTTTGTGAAAGAAGGGTCAAGAAAATTGGTTCCACGTGATGCATTCCCCAGCTGCTACTCAGGAAGTGGCAAACCAATAGAATCCATTTGCAGGTTATGAAATACTTAATGCTTATTTGCACTGATGTTTCATCATGAGAAAAAAAAACGTTCATTTATAAGGGGACAGCAAACATCAGGAATTAGCACACATTCACACCAACCTGCCTGTCCACCTTCAGGAAGCTCTGCTCCCAGATTCTTGAGTTTTGAGTAAAGGATGAGGAAAGAACATAAGCTCCCTGCTACCCACCTACGTTAGAAAGCCAAGATCCTCCTTCCTTGGTTCTCCTACTAAATAATAGTCAAAAACCAGAACCCAGTTCTCCTCTGGACATCTTCAAAAGAGACTAGAAAAATAGTTTCAGAAAAAGGATCTGGCCAGGCCCGGTAACTCACACCTATAATCCCAGCACTTTGGGAGGCTGAGGTAGGCAGATCACCAGAGGCTGGGAGTTCGAGACCAGCCTGGCTAACATGGTGAAACCCCATCTCCACCAAAAATACAAAAATTAGCCAGATGTGGTGGTGCACATCTGTAATCCTAGCTACTCGGGAGGCTGAGGCATGAGAATCGCTTGAACCTGCAAGGTGGAGGTTGCAGTGAGCCAAGATCGCCCCACTGCACTCTAGCCTGGGCAACAGAGTGAGACTCTGTCTCAAAAAAAAAAAAAAAAAAAAAAAAAAAGGAAGAATGAAAAGAAAAAGGATCTGTATTCCTTCATTTACAGATGGCTCCCAGAAGGAAATTGTCACACAACCAGCAGATAGCCTATTCAGACTGTTCTGTTGCCCCCTGAAGGTCTTTAAGGAGTGATATGATTAGTGTCTGAGTGGATTCCAGAATGTCGGAGACAGAGGATAATATGTTTACAATGCAGTTATTCTCACTGATTTTGGCAGCCTAACAGAGCAATGAGCAATAATAAGGGCAATCCCAAAGACCGGGTAATATTTTTTAAAAGTTGAATTTGACTTTTGCATATTACCGTTTCTTTTAGAAAGTTTATTTGGTAGATGTAACTTAAGAAGTCAAGGGAAGCTTTTCTCTTTTTTTTTTAGGACTTTTTTTTTGTTTTTTCCTAAGAAAGTCTTGAGTCTTTATTCCAATTGATATCCTGGTAGCCTGCCAGTTATGTCAAGGATCCTGGGGTAGATAGGAAAATGAGATACTCTGACAAAACATTGATAGAAACACATACAGACCACACACCTGGCTCTCATTGGAATGTAAGCTCAGAAAGAGAAGAGATTTTTATTTGTCTTCTTTACTGCTTTATTCCCATCTCCTAGAACAGTTCCAGGTGTAGAATGAGTGCTGAACAACTATTTTTTAAATGAACGAATGGATACTTGCTGAAAATGCACTCATAAAACAAGCTTATATAATTGGTGATAGTGAAGCAACTTGTTTTTCATGCAAGGGAAGCACATGCATATCATATACACTGTAAGACTATTTTCTAGATATTATATCTAATACACCTACAGTTGTAAAGAAACTAATGACACTTGTGCCTTATATCCAGATATCATGTCCAGACTACTAAGAATATATTGAGAAATCAACCATATGAGTAATGGGAACTATAAAACATCTGATGTGGGACTGACACTGAGCAGCCAAAGACTATAGAAAGCTTAAAAATTAATCCTACCAAGATTGTGGGCCTCCCATTATCAGGTCCCAGGGTAGAGTTAAATCACTGTTTAATTACTTTCTTTCTTAGACTGAGTTGATAAAGACTTTACCTGACTTGCTAACTTGACTGTTAATTTATGACTTTGTTGTGAGTCCACATAAAGTTACACACTTTAGATGTTTTAAAAACAGCTTCTAGCACATTACACTTTTCAGAGAATCTTTATATACATTACCTAATTTAAAACACCTATGCAAAGATTGAAGATCAAAGTTCCGAAGTCTAGAAAGCCTGGGAGATCATCCAGTTTAAATTTTTCCTTTCCCTCCACAACTTGCCTTTCAGTACAGACTAACATAACTAGAACAGAAGAGGTAGAAAGGAGATTTCTTATCCCATAAGTAACTGAAATTAGGGTTCTAGGGATCTGTTCCCCCTCATGTTTTTGAGTTCTCTAGTGGTTCTGATACAAGTGTAACAAAAAAGTAAAAATCAGGGCAGGTAGTGACAGCACCAAATACTTTATTTTCCAAAGCTAGGCATGGAACATTGCATAGGAAGCCAATGGGAAAGTGGTGTGAGTTTGTGTGTGTGTGTGTGGTGTGTGTGTTTGTGTGGGGGGTTGGTTTTCAAGAGTTAACAGACTTTGGAGTCAGTCAGAGTGCAGACACTGCCACCCCAGCCTCACCATCACCCCCCTGTTATGGTTTGAATGTGTCCCCTTCAAAATTCACGTGTCGCCAATGTGATAGTATTAAGAGATGGGGCCTTTAAGAGGTGGTTAGGTCATAAATGACCCTCCCCTCATGAATGGATTAAGATCCTTATAAAAGAGGTTTTACACAGCATTAGGCTTGTTTGCTCTTCTGCCTTCACCATATGAGGACACAGCATTCTTCCTCTGTAAAGAATGCAGCATCAAGGTGCCATCTTGGAAACAGAGATCAGCCCTTGCCAGACTTCCCAGCCTTCAGAACTGTGAGAAATGAATGTCTGTTCTTTGTAAATTACCCAGTGTCCAGTATTCTGTTCTAGCAATGCAAATGGACTAAGACACCCCCATCACCACCGTCACACTGTTGATTCTCCTTCCTGGCTACGCATCAAATATACTTATTATTTGCTGCACATGTTCACCTCAGAGAGTCTGATTAATTTTATCTGGGGTAGGTCCAAGTATCAGCATTTTTCAGAGCTAGAAAAATGATTATTATATACAGCCAGAGTTGAGAACTACTGGGTCATGCATTACAACAGGTTAGACTGAAGTTAGATAGAATTTTCCATTGACGAAGTATGATCTTCAAACTAGGAAGTTTATAAATATAATTATCTGGGCTTTAGAAAAGGAAAACAGGTTTTGAATTATATATGGTGAATTAAACATAAGTTTATCTACACTCCCTCTTGAGTTCTGAGTTCCCCCTAAAATGAGAGTGAACGTTATAAGCCCATAAAGACAAATAAAACGGAGAGAAGAAAACAACAGACCAGAGATAGCAACACATTTTTGAAAACTGGAATGTAAGTAGAGGAATAAACAACTGACTTTAGAGAGTTGGAATAGCTAAAGCCTAAGTGTTTGCAGAAGGAAATGTCAATGAGAGTCAAGCTGATCTGTGTTCAAGAATACTTGAAAAGCCTTAGAAACTGGAAGCACCAAGATACAAAGGTGGGAAGAGGGGTAGACAGAAAAGGGAGGATTAGGTTGAAAGTCTGTATAATGGGCAGTTAGTCCCTCAGGTTCTCTCCCAGTTGGAGAAGGCAGGTGACTCCCCTTCTCAGTGGTATTAAGAACTAGGTAATTATCTGGAAAAACCAAGTGAAGAGTCTTCAGACAGGATCCGGTAGAGTAGAGAACAGGGAAGAGGCATTGTGTCAAAAGGAGGGGGATTCCATGGAAGTCTAGATAATCAATTTTGTGCACCCAGCCTTCTTCCACTCTATGGTCTCAAGAATACTGACTGCCAAACAATTCCCCTCAGGCAAAAGGTGGGACACTCTTTCTCTGGAGAAATGGAAAAATCCTAAAGAAAAACACACCCCAAAATGACATTTATAACACCCACAATAAGACAACTGGTTCTGAGCCCCATCGCCATACCAGGAAGGCAACGATTTGACAAGCCACACCGATTATTCCTGAGACTCCAATCAGCTTTTTAGAGTCTCACTTGGAATGGAGCACTCAGGATAAGCTTCCGTCCAATGGCAGAAAATCAAAACAGAGGAAATGGCAGTCAAAGGAAAGGAGACACAAAAGATATTAAATTTATAATTAATATACTCTGTAAAGAAAAAATACTGCATCCATGAACTAAGAACAGAAGGCTATAAAAAAAGAAACTTTCGGAAAACAAGAAAAAGTATTTGAGAAACAACAATGTGGTAGCTTTGGTAACTAGTCTTCAAAGATGAGTCCCAGTGAACCACGCTTCCCAACACTCACACTCTCATGCAGTCCCCTCCCACATGAAATCTGGTTCGGCCCTGTGACTCACTCTAAGTAATGGAATGAGACAGAAGAGATTCTATGCCAGACTTTGTCCTAAGTCTGAGGAATACCTAGCTGCTCTGCCTTTCTGCTTTCAGAAGCCCTGAGTTGCCATGTAAGAAGTTCAGGTGGTCTGCTGAGAAACTACATGGAGAGACTGATCCTATCGAAGAGGTCACAAGGAGAGAGACCCTCAGACTACCTGGAGAAAAACAAACGTTCAGCCACCCCAGTTTCCTGGCTGAGCAGTTTTCCAGCCATCCGACTAAGACATCAGATGTGTAGGTGAAGTCATGTTGGAGATTCCAGCCCCATCTGCCCTCCAGCTGAGAGGGAGACCACATGAGAGGCCCCAGGTGAGACAGCTGAGTCCCAACCAACCCACAAAATCATGAAAAATAACAACCAGGTTGCTGTTTAAAATCACTAAGTTACAGATAGTGTATTATGCAGCAATTAATAACTAACATAATTGCCAAAACAGAAAAATGAATCTGAGTGACATCCAACTTAACAACAACACTGACAGCCAGAAGACAGTGGAGCAATAGCTTGAAAAGCTGGGGCAGCAGGAGACCAGCATTATTTCAATCCACAGTTGTAGAATCAGAAGAATTAACAATCAGACATAAGGTAGGAATAAAGAAGATTTCAGACATACAAAGTCTCAAAAAATTTACATTCTATGCAGCCTTTCTTGGGAAGATATTTTCAGATGTGGTTTAATAAAATGAAGGATTAAACTAGAAATTCCCAACTGGGGGGCAATTTTGCCCAGCAGCGACATTTGGTAATGTCAGCAGAGACTTTTGATTGTCACAAGGTGGGAAGTGGCTGCTAATGGCATCTTGTGGGATACTGCTAAATACTACAGTGCGTAGGACAACGTCCCACAACAAAGAATTATCTGACCCAAAATGTCAATAGTGCAGAGGCTGAGAATTGCTGGATTAAACCAAGAAAGAAGACATATTGGTGAATAAGATTTTTAACACGGTAGATTTGCAAAGTGAAGCCTTGGGAAGGCGGATGTATTGTAGGCTTAGAGAGCAGCCAGCACAGACTGAAAAAGGATCACAAAAGATTCCAGCAAAGATGTACCCAGAAGGAAAAAAAAAAAAGGATAAAACTGGAATAATACCTGATTATCTATATGGAAACAGTATCGGAAGGGGCATTTGTAGTTCTTTTGAAAAGTAGGAAGATTTTGTGATAGAGTCATGAAGAAGTAAACAAACTTGAAGACAAAGCAAATATTAATCACATAAGATATAAAAAGGGTACAAAAAAGGAAATATAATTATATTCTCTTGGCTCAGCAAGAGGGTCTTATATAAGAATAATAATATAATTATAATAATAGCAAACACATATATGGCTTTTCATAGCACTGCTCTAAGTACTTTACCTATATTTACTTATTTAACGATCACAAAATATTGTGATGTCGTTACTATTATTATCCCCAGAAAAGACACAGACACATTAAGTAATTTGCCCAAGCTGGTGCAACTAAACATGGCCGACCAGAATTGAACACAGAAAGTCTGGCTTCAGAATTTGAGCATTCATCTACTATCTATCTTACGCTATTTACTGATATAAACAAACAAACAAAAACTGATATTCATTTGCTACGCACTGGTTTGGCCAGGCAGTCAATAACTCTTCTGCATGTTACTCAAGCAGTTAGGAAACGTCTGGAACACTGCCCCTGGAACCAAGCTGATAGGATGGGGAAGGCAAAATTCAAGTGTGAATGTGCTAAACCCTCATCTCCTATAATAGGAAATCGATAAATATGTCTAAAATGAAAATAAATAAAGATATAGCAGCACCGTCATATTGTTTTGAAATATGGAGGAAAATATCAAAAGAAACAGCTAACGGAGATTAAAGTGGTTGCCTGGAGGGGATGGGCCTTGGGAGTGGAGAGTGATAAAGCTGGGAGAGCCGTTATCGTGTAAACCCTGTGGTGCTATTTTACTTTAAAATTATGTACATGTATTACTTTGATAACAAATAAAATTTAATTTAAAATTTTAATAAACTCTCATCAGTTTGGGATTGTTGAGGCTTGTCTTGCTTGGAAACACAACCCAGCGGCTCCTACGGTGGCCTTTTATGCTAGGGACCATGGAAAAAGGAATATTTACTCTCAGGGAATGGTCCAAGTTGACTTTTCATATATAGGACAGGATGACCTTTCAGAGTAGAGACACTTGTCTTGAGCCACCTAAGACTCTAAAGGGGCTGTTAGAGTCTAGAAGCATCTATACTCTCCTGTGTGATGCCCAGCAGAACTCCTTTATAGGGGGAAACATGGGGGATCTCAGAGGGGAAGGAGTCCTCTCTGAAAGAAATGGGAAATTGAAAAACACCATCCCTAGATACAAAAGATGAAGGTAAATTGCACAAGGGAAGGAAGATTTTGTAATAACATCAGGCGAAACTCCACTTAAATTTCAAATGAAAACTAAATACTAAATAGGGAACTATTTTGAGATTTATTGAAATATACCCAGTGATCGACTTATTTTTTTAAACCTTTTTCTCTTGCTTTTCAACAGCCCAGGACACCTCTTCTGCACCACCTAATTAATATCCTGTTAGCTTCTCCATCTTAGAGGGCTTGGAATGCACGTTCCTGTCCTACTCATTGTAACAACCCTCTACTCAACTGACCAACTTCAAGCAGGCACAGTATGACAGTGCCTCCCTCGTACCTGAGTTGGCATCTATTGCCCAGGAGATCGTTTGCTGACTCTGAGGTGAGACCCACTGGACAGCTGGACACTTACACCTGAGCTGCTCAGAAGCATCAGAGAAATTGACCCTGTGTGACGCACTCTGACCAATGGACACCAGTGGATAAATTCTTCTCTCTTCCTCCCTCAGAGAAACTTTCCTGAGAAACAGGCATTTTTAGCATGAGATCCTGTGAAATCTAGCAGCTAGTCCTGCTTCATGCCAGCTTAGTAACACACCCTCATGCTGGTTCTCCCTCCTCCCACACCTTACTTCCTTTCTCCTTACTCCCACTCTCTGGGATTGCCCACCTAACCAACTAATAACCCGTAAAGTTTGTCCTCAAGCCTTGCTTTCTGGGGAATCCAGATTTTGGATTTTATAAATGTTAAAGGCCTCACCCAGTATAAGATAAGTAAATCCGAATAGTCCTATGACTATTAGAGAAATTGAATCCACAATTTGAAAGCTTCTAGAACAGAACTCTTTGGGCCAATTCACTGGAGAATTCTACCAAAAGTTCTAAAAAGGATTGGCATCCGTTTTACACAATCTCTTCCAGAAACTAGAAGAGGAAAAAGCACTTCTCAATTCATTTTATGAAACCAGTATTACCGAAATATCCCAACCTGTATACAGTAAAGAAAAAAGCTAAAAGTTAAAAATAGAGACTAATATTTTTTATGAACTTAGATGCAAAAATATGAAAACAAGAAAATGCTACCCTATCAAATCCAGCAATATATAAAAACAATTATAGATCATAACCAAATGGGGCAAGGGCTAGAATAAACCAGTAAGGCTGTTTTGATGCTTGAAAATTAATTCATTGATAGAGAAAAGGCAACTGACAAAATTCAACATCCATTCATGATAAGAACTCTCAGCAAATTAGGAATAGGAGGAAACTTCCTCCACCTAATAAAGAGCATCTGTAAAAATCTATAACTAACATGATACTTAAGAATCAAAGACTGAATCTCTCCTTCTAAGATTAGGAACCAAGCAAGGATGTCCACTCTCACTACTCTTACTCAATGGAGTAGTGGAAGTCCTAATCAGAGCAAGAAGAAAAGGAAATAAAAGGTGTATCTGTTGGAAAGGAAGAAATAGAACTTTAAATTTGCAGATGATGAGGTTATTTACATAGGAAATCTCAAGAAGTCAACGAAGAGTTTATAGAACTAATGGGTAGGTACAGCAAGTTCACAGGACACAAGATTAACACACAAAAATCAAATGTATTTTATATACTAGTAATGAACATGTGGAAAACAAAAATTAAAAACCTAATATCGTTTACAATTAGTCCCCCAAAATGAAATACCTAGGTATAAATCTAACAAAACATATATAGGTCTATATGCTCAAAAATACAAAACGCTGATGAAAGAAGTGAAAGAAAATCTACATAAATGGAGAGGCATACAATATTTGAAAGTTGGTGGATGCGGTGGCTCATGCCTGTAATCCCAACACTTTGAGAAGCTGAAGTGGGAGGATCACTTGAGGCCAGGAGCTCAAGACCAGCCTGGCCAACATAGGGAGACACTGTCTCTATTTTTTGAAAAAAAAAAAAAATATAAAATATAAAAAATCAGAACATTGAAAGATAAGGATGTCAACAAGCTCATTATACGGAAAGGCAAAAAAACCAAAGTAGCTTAAACAATTTTTAAAAAGAGAAATGAAATAGGAGGAATCACTCTACCTGAGGCTAAGACTTATAATGTAGCTACAGTAATCAAGATAGTATAGTATTGGTGGAGGAATAGACACATAGATTAATGCAACAGAATAGAGAACCCAGAAAAAGACCAACACAAATATGCCCAAATGACTTTTGACAGACTGCAAAACCAGCTCAATGGAGGAAGAATCATCTTTTTCAACAAATGGTGATGGAGCAATCGGACATTGATAGACAAAAATAATAAACCTTGACATAAGCCTCACATAATATATAAGAATTAATTCAAAGTGTATCATAAGTTTAAATGTAAAAATGTGAAACTATAAAAGTTTTAGAAGCTAAGATTTACTAAATATGACAACCAAAGCACAATATGTAAAATAAAATTGATAATTAAACCGCCTCAGAATAAAAAATTGTTGGCCTGTTAAAGACCTTCTTAGAAGATTGAAAAGACAAGCTACAGACTGTGAGGAAATATATGTAAGCCATGTATCTTAGAACACCTTGTATCTAGACTGCATAAAGAACTCTCAAGCTGGGCACAGTGGCTCCTGCCTACAATCCCAGCATTTTGGGAGACCAAGGCGGGAGGATTTCTTGAGCCCAGGAATTCCAGACCAGCCTGGGCAACATGGAGAATCCCCATCTCAAAAAACTTAAAAAAAAAAAAATTAACTGAGTGTGGTGGTGCGCCTGTAGTCCCAGCTACTTGGGAGGCTGAGGTTGGAGGATCACTTAAGCCTGGGCAGTCAAGACAGCAGTGAGCTGTGATTGCACCACTGCACTTCAGGCTGAGCAACAGAGTGAGACCTGTCTCAAAAACTAAACAAAACAACTAAAGAAAACAGAACAATTATGAAATGTGCAGAAGAAATGAGCAGGCATTTCCCTGAAAGACAGATGTAGATGGCAAACAAGCACATAAAAAGATGTTCAGCATAATTAGCTATTAGCAAATTAAAACTGCATGAGATAGCACTACATACCTTTCAGAACAGCTAAAATGAAAAATAGTGACAACACCAAAAGCTGGCAAGGATGTAGAGTAACTAGACCACTCATAGGTTGCTGGTGAAAAGACAAAAGGTTACAGCCGTTCTGGAAAGCGGTTTGGTCATTTCCTATGAAACTAAACATGCAGTTACCAGCATTTTACTCTTGGGTATTTATCCCAGATAAATGAAAATGTGTTCACACAAAAACCTGTATACGATTGCTTGTAGCAACTTTGTTTATAAAAAAATAATGGTAACAACAGAAGTCTTCTTCTAGTGAATGGTTGATCAAACTCTGATGTACCCGTAAAATAGAACACCGCTCATCAATAAAAAAGAAATGGCCTGTTGATACATGCCACACCTGGAGGGACCTCAAGGGTATTGTGCTTGCCAAAAAAAAAAAAGTCAATCTCAGAAGGTTATATACTGCATGATACCATTAATAGAGCATCCTAGAGATGACAAAAATATACAGACAGAAAATAGATTAACAGTTGCTAGGGATTGGGGATGGCGGGTGGAGTGGGATGCGGGAAGGCATTCTTACAAAGATGTAGCATGGGCATTCTGTTGGGGTGATGTAACGATTCTGGATCTTAATCATCAGGGTGGTTATATGAACCTATACACGGGAAAATTGTATAGAATTATACACACACAAACATATAAATGAATGCAGTTTTTAAAAATGGTGAAAGCTGAATAAGACCCGTAGTCTAGTTAACACCAAGGTACAAATGTCAACTTTCTGGTTTTAAGGTCATACTACAGCTAGATAAGATGTCATCGACAAAAGGTGGGTGAAGAGTGCATAGAACTATTTGCACTATTTTTGGAACTTCCTGTGAGCCTATAATTGTTTCAAAATAAAAGATTCTTTTTTTTAAAAAAAGGAGCACTATATAAAAATAAAAGTAAATTTTAAAAATGACCTACCTCCCTCGAATTTTAAAGACCTCTTAGTGTGCTTTAATGAGCCCTTTCCTTGTTGTGAAGATGGATGTGGGCGTGGAACAAAAGCCCAAACTCGAGGCAACAGCTGAAGATCACAGAGCTGAGTAGGCCAAAGCCTTGGAACTTACAGGAGAAAAATAATATGCCTTGAGCAAAGAAGTGGGCTACAGAGTTTAAGCAGAAGGAGGCTGTGTGTTCACTGACATTCAAGCATGAAGGAAATAGAAGCAGACAGGCTGAAGCAAATCTGGGTTTAGGGGGAGTTGGAGTGGGAGGAAGAGAAGATCTCTGAGGAGGGTGTGGGGATAGAAGAAGGGAACCCTTCTGGAATGAAAACACAGTGAGTCTACACCGCTGGTGTGGCAGGGATAGATGTGCAGCCTCATGGACATTGATCGTCTGAGAATGCATCCACCCCGTGCTAACAGAGAGCTGCAGCCCCTGGCTGCCTCCAGGAGCAGGAGCTTTGCTTGTTCCTTCGGTTCCTCCCTTAACCAAGCCCAAGGCATATTAATAATCGTCATCATCACACCCTACATTTGCATAGAAGCTTTTCTTTTTTTTTCCAAAAACGTTCCATATCTATGACCTCATTTGAGCCTCACCGTTCACTTGCAAGGTAGTCAGGGAGAGTGTGGTTTTAAGGAAAGAAAATTAAGAAATACAGATATTTCACTGACTCATGGATGGGGGCTACATTTCAGGTCTCAAGGCTGTGACAGTCAATTCTGAAATACGAACTGTTTTCCCTGTTTTCCTACTGGACCAAGTCAGCTCAGAGGCCACAGGCTCTTTTGCAATATGAGGTACCCAGAATGAGAAATTCAGAGAAGAAAAGATACTAGCAAAATCCAGCCTCATAGAAAGAGCCATAATAATAAAGGCAAGGCATTGGTTCGTTTGTCTGAGGGTTTCATTTTTCTGAAGAGAAAAGTATGCAAATTTCACCCTGACTGGCGTTATGTTTTCAGGTGATTCCTGAGTCTCAGTCATGCATGGGTCCTGGATTAATCAAAATATATTTTTATCTCCCAATCTTCCGGCTGAAGCTTAGAGTGCTGTTCTTTGCCTGCTGGGTGAGGTTGCCATAGAAACCCATTCAGGAGAAGCAGTGTCTCTCTATAATATTGCGACTGCAAGCAGGGACTGAAACAGACCAGCCACTCCCAGATAAGAATGAGGAGGGTCTGGAACTCTGAAAGTGCTACATCCCCTCTACTCCAAATTTTCTGTGCCCTGATGTGTGAAGTGTTCCCCAAACAGATCAGTGTCCCAGCACACACAAGAAAATATCCTTTGGTCCCTCAAGTCTCATCTTCATTGGCCCCTCCTTGAGGGATGGCTGGGAAGCCCAGATGACTATCAGGAGCACTGGTGGAAGCACTAGAGTGCTCTGGAGCAGGCTGGCGTTGGTTCACAAGACCTATGTGTGTATTTCTCCCCAATTCTATGTTCAGGGGCATCACATTAGAGCTTGAAATTAGCCCTGATGAGAGAACATATGCCATAGAAATTGATAAAGCCTACAGATCAAGGTCTTGTCTTTTCTTTTAAAGAGATAACTTCTCTTTCTCCAAAAACTCTAAAAATATTTAAAATCCAATTCTGAATACTTTGTCTTCCAAATATTCCTGAGTTGCAGGTATCTTTGAGTTCAAAAGAGACAAAGTAACTCAGATTTATATCTCAGACTAGGTGTAGATCACAGGTGTCTCCTCTAACTTGTTACCACTCTGGTAACTATTATGTATCACTATTATCACACTGCAGGTTTTTAAAGAAGGTATGTCACCTTCATTAGACTGTATCTCCTTGAGACCAGAAATTATTTCTTATACATTATAGTATCCCTAGTGCCAAGCATAGTGCCTGGTATACAGTAATGCTCAAGAGATATTTGGTGAATGAATGAATGTTAGAACTGGAAGGGCTAAGAAATAGTCTAACAAAGTAATGATATTGGTAAGAAAATGGCTGCCAATAAAGTAGTAGTCACCTGCTCAAGGACACAAATCATGTTAATAGTAGAAACAAGAAAAGAATTTAGCATTATCTTTTTAAAATGAGCCATGTTGTCACCTAGTTCCAAATTCCTAGTTTCTGTAAAAAGTACCACATTCAACTTGTGACCTCAGCCTTTCCCACTTACTTCTGAACATTCTTCTTATAATCATATTATATGAGGATCCCACCTCAAAGAAATTTCTCTGTGCTTGTCTGGATGTTTCCACCATGCCTAATACTCTGTGTTCCCGCTCCAATGAGGCATAAGGATAAGAAGAAGAGTGCCAGGACACATGCATCAGACCGTAATGCCCTAGTCTTTTTCCTTTTCCCTGGCTCCCTCCCTCCCTCCCTCCCTTCCTTCCCTCCTTCCTTCCTTCCTTTCTTCCTTCCTTCTTTCTTCCCTCCCTCCCTCCCTTCTTTCCCTCCTTCCTTCCTTCCTTTCTTCCTTCCTTCTTCCCTCCCTCCTTCCTGCCTTCCTGCCTTCCTGCCTTCCTGTCTTCCTTTCATCCTGCCTTCCTGCCTTCCTTCCTTCTTTTCTCTTTCTCTTCTTCCCCACTCTTCTTTTCCCCCATCCCTTGTTCTCTACAGACTCCTTCCCTTGAAAGGTAGGAACCTTTCATAAATAATATCTAGAGTTTCTCTACAAATCCTTAGTGTAAAGATTTAAATTTACCAAGGCTCTGGATGTATAGGAGGGATATCACAAACAAGGAAGAGTGAAAAAGGAAATCACATTAATAGATCTTTTTAAATATCACCTTTGCAGATCTCTATGTTTCTAATACAGTGTCTCACTCAAAGCTTCTTTTCTCCCCCTACTTCCTTTCCTGTGACTGTGGCTCAGAGCTCTTCTTTATTTCCTCCTCTTCTTTGTTCTTCATAAAGTGTGTTAACAATTCATGAAATAATGCACCGAGTGCTGAATAGAGCATTGGTTTGTCAAAATGATAATATACTTCTGGTGGTTTTGACTAACAAGTACAGAGAGGGACGAAAGCATCTGTCACATCAATAGCTACATACCAGGTTCTAGGTGATATATTGATGTGCTCTAGTAAAGAAACCACATCTGAAACAGCAGCTGCAATTGATGTCACCACCTGAGTAAGTTTCCAATGATACATTACCATTTTTCAAGATCCTTCTGTGCTCTGCATAGATCCAACCATCAAAACAAACTGTTAGAGCCACTCCCAGCCATTCAGGTTAAAACACTGAATGCAGAATCTCTGGCCAGTGAACCCATATTAATAAATTTACCTTGATCTGACCATTCCTGTACATATTTCTCAGATTTTTTTCCATAAAAATTATCAAAATATTTTGAGCTCGTAGTAAAAGAGAGTAGAACAGTGTTTGCCAGGGGCTGGGGGATGGGAGAAATGAGGACATGTTGATCAAAGAAGGGTATAAACTTTCAATTATAAGATGAACAAGTTGGCCGGGCACAGTGGCTCATGCCTGTAATCCCGGCACTTTGAGAGGCTGAGGTGGGTGGGTCACCTGAGGTCGAGAGTTTGAGACCAGCCTGGCCAACATGGAGAAACCCCATCTCTACTAAAAATACAAAATTAGCCAGGCGTGGTGGCGCATGCCTGTAATCCCAGCTACTTGGAAGGCTGTGGCAGGAGAATCACTTGAACCCAGGAGGCAAAGGTTGCAGTGAACCAAGATCATGCCACTGCACTCCAGCCTGGGCAACAGGAGCAAAACTCCGTCTCAAGAAAAAGAAAAAAGAAAAGAAAAAGATGAACAAGTTCTGGTACTCTAATTTACAACATAGGTAGTGATAGATATGTTAAAATTTAATTGTGATCCTCATTATACAATGTATACATATGTCAAATCATCACATTGCACACCTTAAAATATTCAAACTTTATTTGTCCATTAAATATTTTTAAACTAAAAATTACAATTTAAAAAATCAATTACCAAACTGTTAAAAAAATTTTTTCAAAATCTTGTAATCTTTTTGGTGTGTATAGTACCTTTTCATGGGTCACACTTGTACGTGACTCCTGGGGCCTTCCAGAACTTGAGTCCATTTAGAGATCTAGAAGCAACGAGATCTTCTAGATCTTCTTCACCTCCCAGGTGGTTGAGGTGAGAACCAGTGCTCCCATACAAGACAGTTACCTCTGGAGGGGTCCTTAAAGGTTCTTCAGGCAAGGTAAATTAAACTTCTCAGATAGAGGAGAAAATAATATTTCTTTTTCATTTTCTTTTCATTTTATTTATTTATTTATTTTTTTTGAGACATACCAAGGCTCTGTCACCCAGGCTGGAGTACAGTGGTGCAATCTCAACTCACTGCAACCTCTGCCTCCCAGGTTCAAATGATTCTCGTGACTGAGCTTCCTGAATAGCTGGGACTACAGGCATGTGCCATCATGCCCAGGTAATTTTTATAGTTTTAGTAGAAACAATGTTTCACCATGTTGACCAGGCTGGTCTCGAACTCCTGGCCTCAAGTGATTCGCCCACCTTGGCCTCCCAAAGTGCTGGGATTACAGGCGTGAGCCACCATGCTGGGCCTAGAAAAGAATATTTCTACAAGCAAAGGATGCTTAGCAGAATTTTGGGGCTTAAGATTCTCGGCTTCATCAAAATCTTTCCACATGACCCTAACCTAATTTTCAGCATCCCCAATTGATGGTCTTCCACACCAATGCCCTAATTTTATCATGAGAGACTCTGTGAGGCTGTGAATTCAATTTATGTTGTAATTCAGCCACTCAAAGGATTAAACTTTGGGATTGATTTTCAGAAACCTTAACCTGAGGCTATAGTAGATACAGGTTATTTTATGGAAGTCACAGAGACTCTCTGGTTCTTTACTTGGACCTTGAGCTGGGAATTTAAGCCCTGACCTCACTATTTTCCTTCTCTAACTCCTCCAGAGAAATTAGAAGAAGCCAATCACCACCACAGGCCTTTATTGACATTTAAATGTTCTATGGCAACATGTTATTGACCATCCAGAGCCTTGCCTTCTATAAACCCTTCACTGCAGCTAACCACAGATGGTAACTAAGTAAGTGTTATGCTATGATATGTCCTTGACTTCTGGTATCTTATCTACCCATGACAACAGTCATTGATGGCTTTCAGTTCAGCCAGACCAGAGAAGAGATTCAGATTCTCATCCTTCAAGTTCTGCTTCTCTAGAATCACATTCAGTACCAATAAACTGTCAGAATTCAGGCAGAGAAGGAAAACAACCGTGAGTGTTATGGATATAAAAGACCTATTATAGAAATTAGACCAGTGACTCAAGTGGCTGAGGTAGAAGGATCACTTGAGGCCAGGAGTTCAAGACCAGACCAGCCTGGGCAACATTTTTTAGAGACCTTGTCTCTAAAAAAAAAATTAAAAATTATCCAGGTGTGGTGGCATGCACCTGTTGTCCCAGCTACTTGGGAGGCTGAGGCAGGAGGATCTCTTGAGTCCAGGAATTCAAGGCTACCCTGGGCAACATAGCAAGATCTCATCTCTACAAAAAAAATTAATTAAAAAAATTACCCAGGCATGGTGATGCACACCTGTAGTCCCAGCAGGAAGATTGCTTGAGCCCTGGAGTTGAAGGCTGCAGTGAGCTATGATTGTGCCACTGCAGTTTACCCTAAGAGACAGAGACTAAAAACATTTTTTTTAAATTAGAGCTCTGTTAGACATTAAATTTTGTTACAGGAATGAGATACCAAAGTAGAAGGCACTAAGGAAATGAACATCTGGAAGGAGGAGTTGCACAATCAGAAAAAAAAGAGACACTAAACAAGTCTGCCCAAAGTGCTGGCATAGGCAGACAAGTAGGGGCATGCAGGAAATTGTGAGAGACAATCATGTCCAGCAGCTAAAGTGGGGACACAAAAGAGAAACTTGCGGAGAGGTCTGTGGGAAATTTTGGCCTTATGTTAACTACTGCCTCTGTGGGTGCACAGCCTGGAGCTGCTGTTGGTCATCGGGGCCCACAGTCTGGAGGACAAGCTGAATGCAGAGCAGAGGAGGGCCAGAACCACCTAAGACCCACAAGGTACTCATCTCTTTGTCTGTCTGACAACATGTCTGACTGTGATGAACTTCTGAGAGGAATGGCTGTTGCATCACTCTGACATCCCAAATCGCATGCACATTGTTCTTTTGGTCAACTCTAAACTGGAACCACATCAGGTAGGGAATTCTGGGAAATATAGTTCCCCACTTGACCAAGTTGACATAGTATCATCTAGAGCAACCCTCAAGGAGTGTGCAGTTGGAAGCAAGTGACATTAAGTACACACCCAGAGAAGAATGTAGAAATACACGGAGAGCCATAGGACCTTCTGAGAGATGAAAAACAAACACGATGACAATTGCCTTGTGGTCAGCTGTTATCTGTGGATCTGGTACTGGTAGGTGTTAAAAGCTGGGAATTTAGAAGAAAAGAATCATCACTTTGCTCCCTTTTTACTTTGACAGACTATTAAGTTAGGTGTTTCTCTACTCCATATTTTAAAATTTATTAATCAAAAAACAAGGAAAATGGAAAGTGACAACTCAGCTAATTCCCAAAGAATTTTTTCTCAGGGGATGTATTCCCTAAACATTATCAGTCTAACTTTAGTGTCTATAAAATTTCGTGGTTCTTTTTACTGTAGAAAACATTCAGTATTAAGACATTTTGTTCACATAATTCATTAAAGTGTTGTTCTAGAGCTTCCTTTCTGGGTATTTTGGTACATCTTTATAGAATTATAGAATCAGGTGGATGAACTAAAGTATTTGTTAGTGTCTTTTCCACCCCTCATTCTATAATTTTACTCAAAGCATGAAACTTCTTCATTGCTATTTTCCATTTATTTATTTATATAGAGACAGAGTCTCACTCTGTTGCCCAAGCTGGAGTGTACTGGTGTGATCACAGCTCACTGCAACCTCTGCCTCTCCCGGGTTCAAGCAATTCATGTGGCTCAGCCTCCCGAGTAACTGGGATTACAGGCATGCACCATCACGCCCAGCTAATTTTTGTATTTTTAGTACAGACAGCGTTTCACTATATTGGCCAGGCTGGTCTTAAACTCCTGGCCTCAAGTGATCCACCCACCTTGGCTTCTCAAAGTGCTGGGATTAGAGGTGTGAGCTACCGCACCCACCCTCATTGCTATTTTCTAATAATATATGCATGCTGGGTGATTTTAGATGATATTTAGAGAGACAAGATAGTTGTAACAATTGCCCTTATAAGGAATTTAGAAATTTACACAGCACTTTCATATATGTTTTCACATTTGAGTACCAAGCAATCCAATGAAGTAAGCAAGGCAAATGTCACAATTACCATGTTCATAGATGTGGAAACATAGTCTCTGCACTTTTAACACACTTGCTGTTCCCAAAATGCTTTCAATTCATCATGCATGATGTAACAGAAATTATGTAACTGATTATGCTTGCTGGGTCAAATGCTTTCTTTTTTCTCAGGGGGGATAATGGTTTGCTCTACTTCATCCACACTTTGTCACCTGGTGATTTGTATAATCAACACCCACATTTTGAAATAGTACTGAAAAGAAAATGTACTTTGGTAACAGGAAGACCTGGGTTTAAAGAGTGGCACTAATCATTACTAGCTTTGTGGCTACGGGTGAATTACTTCATCTCTCATATCTAAATGCCTCCATTTTAAAAATTGGAATACTTTTTGCCAGGTTGCAAAGTTGTAAAGATTACATTATGTAATGCCTATTATTAGAATGCTTAGCATGCCAGCACATAACAGGTGCTCAGCCAATGCCACACTTCATCTATAAATCCTACTTACTTCTAAAGGCTGAGGGCAGTTCCATACAATGCCCTCCCTAACTTCTCTCCTTTTTTCCAGTTTCACTCTATCCAACACCACTCAGAGCCTACTTAGTTGTTCTCAAATTGTTTTATATTCTGGTATTTTATGTTCATTCAACAAATATGTAGTGAATGCAAACTATTTTTTCAGACCCTGTACTAAACTCTGCATATAAAATAGTAAAGAAAACAGATGTGTTTCTGCCCTCGAGGAACTTTTTTTACTGTTTTCAAGCGGGAAGCAGATCACATATCAGTAACACACAGACACGTGTACAGTAATAAGGGGTGGTAAATGCTGTGAATGCAAAGACCAGGTTGGAACATGGAAGACTATGTTTGACTGGGGTTGTGAAAGACATCCTCCTTGGTGTAACATTTAAGCACAGATGTGAAGGATCAGAAAGAGCCAATCATGTAAAGAAGAAAAAATAACATGTCATAGGGAGAGAACAGGTGTAAACAACTTGAAAAGCCAGTGTGGCTGGAACGCAATGAGCAAAATGTCATGGCGTGAATTGAGGTTGGGAGGTAGGCATGAACCAGACCACACAGAGCCTTTGACATAGGTTGGACCCTCCCAGAAGCAAGTCCTGAGACAAGTTTGAGCAGCCACAGTTTATTTAGAAGATATGGCAGTGGGACCGAGAAGAAAGAAAATGAAGCCAATAAAAGGTGTGTCATTGAACAGGCTGCACCTGCGTCTCAATCCCTCTGAGAAACTCCAAAAAGTAGTATAAGTAGAACACGCACCCAGGAGGCCGGGAAGCTGGGCTGTTTTATTTTTCAATGTATAATTTCATTACTTTTAAAATTGCAGTTGTACGTATTTATGGAGTACAATTTGATGTGTCAATGCATATCTATGTTGTAAAATGATCAAATCAGGGTATCTAGCATATCCATCTCCTTATGCATGTATTATTTCTTTGTGATAAGGGCATTCAAAAGCCCCCCTTCTAGCTATTTTGTAATATACAATACCCTGCTGTTCAAACCAACTTCACCCCACTGTGGTTCCTCAAAAAATTAAATATACAACTACCATGTGATCCAGCAATCCCACTGATGGGTACATATTCAAAGGAAAGGAAAACAGTATATTGAAGACATATCTGTATGTCCATGTTTATTTCAGTGCTATTTACAAAAGCCAAGATATAGAATCAACCTAAGTATCCAACAGCAAATGAATAAAGAAAATGTGGTATATATACACAATGAAATACTATTCACCCATTAAAAAAAATGCTGTCATTTGTGACACCATGGATGGACATGAGCTCATTATTAACCAAATCCCTTCACTGTCAGGCATTAACTCTCTGTTACTTACAGCTGGCCCTGTGCAGGATTAGCATACTCGTGGCCAGAAAAACAAGCCCAAGAGCAGAAAGTTACAGGTGTACACATAAAACAGCCTTCAAACATAGAGATAAACGCTAAGGAGGCCAGGCACGGTGGCTCACGCCTGTAATCCCGGCACTTTGGGAGGCCGAGGTGGGCGGCTCACCTGAAGTCAGGAGTTTGAGACCAGCCTGACCAACATATAGTGAAACCCCGTCTCTACTAAAAATACAAAAATTAACTGGGCATGGTGGCACATGCCTGTAGTCCCAGCTAGTTGGGAAGCTGAGGCAGGAGAATCGCTTGAACCCATGAGGTGGAGGTTGCAGTGAGCTGAGATCGCACCACTGCACTCCAGCCTGGGCCACAGAGCAAGATTCCATCTCTCAAAAAAAAAAAAAAAAATGCTAAGGGGATGGGATGGGGAATGAAAGAAGCCTTATTGAACACAGTATGCTAATTATAATAGAGAGCCATTGAAGGATTTTAACAGTAGTATGATACAACATAATTCAGGTTGTTAGTTTTGTTTGCCCAGGTATTTCATAAGATCCTTGAGAACAAAGGACATACTTCACATTTCTTTAGCACTAACCACAGCGATGACACAGTGCAGTTTACAGATGAGGTACTGAATAATTGTGTTGACTGATTGTCCAGGAGAAAAAGCATATGATGAATCCAAGTTACCTGGACCAAAAAAAGATCAAATTAAAACTTTTACCTATAAAAATATTTAGCGTCACTTCCTCTTTTTTAATTAGAAATTGAGATGGGATCTCGTTATGTTGTCTAAGCTGGTCTCAAACTCTTGGGCTCAAATGATCCTCCCACCTGTGCCTCCCAAATTGCTGGGACTACAGGGGCAAGCCACCACTCTCAGCCTATCATCACTTTCTACTAACTCTCTTAAAGTAGCCAGATGGTGCATGGACCACCTTGCAGGTGAGTTAGCTATTATCTGAACTATTGGTTTTAGAAAGAATTCAACCATTGGATGAGAGAACAAAGCCCGTTTCACTTATTCTGTTTTTTATTTAAGTCTTTTTTTTTTTTTTGAGATGACTCTTGCTCTGTCACCTAGGCTGGAGTGCAGTGGCGTGATCTTGGCTCACTGCGACCTCCACCTCCTGGGTTCAAGCGATTCTCATGCCTCAGCCTCCTGAGTAGCTGGGAGTACAGGCATGTGCCACCACACCAGGCTAATTTTTGTATTTTTAGTAGAGACAGCGTTTCACCATGTTGGCCAGACTGTCTCGAACTCCTGACCTCAAGTGATCCACCTGCCTCCACCTCCCAAAGTGCTGGGATTACAGGCATGAGCCACTGTGCCTGGCCAAAATTTTATTTTTTATTTTAATTTTTTAGAGATGGGGGCTCTCACTATGTTGCCCAGGCTGGTTTTGAACTCCTGGGCTCAAGTGACCCTCCCATCTCAGCCTCCCAAAGTGCTGGGATTACAGGCGTGAGCCACCATGCCTGGCCCAAGCCTCTCTTACTCTCAGAAGAACAGAGTAATATTTTGAACAAAAGCACTGACTTTGGAGTCCCACCCAGAGCAGACAGGGCTTTGATCCTTAGCAATTATGGGGCCTTGAGCAAGTGACTCAAGCTCATTAATCCTCAGTTTCTTCATCTGTAACACGGACATAGTAACAATGGCATTTACTTCAAAAGGTTGGTGTAAAGGTTAAATAAAATAATACTCTCTGCCCAGTATAGAATTAGCATTCATTACATATTATTATCATTACTAATATTTTTACTTCACTTAGAGTTATTCTTTATTTTATATTATTTCATTTTTTTTCTTTTTTTGACATTGCCTTTTTCCACAAGCTCTAACACTTTAGGTTATTCTGATAGGTTTTCCGGAATACAGATGTAGATTTACTATTAAGTTTAGGCCAGGACAGCTATGGTGGCTCACACCTGTAATCCCAGCACTTTGCAAGGCCAAGGCAGGAGGATCACTTGAGCCCAGGAGTTTGGGACTAGCCTGGGCAACATAGTGAGAACCTGTCTCTATTAACAACAAAAAAAGTTTTGGCTAGGCACATGGTCTGGAGGACCCTCTTGTCTGCCTGCACTTGTTTCTTTAAGCCTATTCTGCAGCAGGGAAAGATCTTCATTTCCAATAGACAATTCTTTCCAGAAGTAGACTTTCCCCCAGGAAATGGTGCTTACTAAACCTGTTTATGGAATGAACAGAAGTGTGTGAGATGCCACCGTGTGGCACCCACACCCTCGCCTTCCCACCATCTGCCTTGCTCTTGTCACTGATGCTCTCTCTGAGCCACCTGCTCCCTGGAGAATCCAGACCCAGGCGTGCAGTATCTTTATAGAGCATCTTTATAGGCTGCCTGCCGCAAAAGGCCTGGCCAGCTGGCACTGGACTGAACTGAGCTGCACTTGAGTATCCGTCTTTTCTCATTTGCATTTTTTCCTAATTTTGTTGAGATATGTTCTCTTTGTAGAAATTTGGAAAATGTATTAAAGTTTTAAAAAGCAGGATAATAAAGCTCTTTAAAAACCACGCTAGGCCGGGTGTGGTGGCTCACGCCTGTAATCCCAGCACTTTGGGAGGCCGAGGCGGGCCGATCACAAGGTCAGGAGACCGAAAAATAGAAAAAAATTAGCCGGGTGTGGAGGCGGGCGCCTGTAGTCCCAGCTACTTGGGAGGCTGAGGCCGGAGAATGGCGTGAACCCGGGAGGAGGAGCTTGCAGTGAGCTGAGATCGCGCCACTGCACTCCAGCCCGGGCGACTGAGCAAGACTCCTTCTCAAAAAGAAAAAGTAAAAAACAAACTCTAGGATATGGTTCTATATTTGTCCTACATGTGTTTAGTTGAATTTTAAAAAAATAACATTAGAATCAAGTGCTTTCATATTGTGTCTGAACTAAAACTCTTTACAATGTATTCTCCTTTTTTTCTTGCTCTCACCTATGTGCAAACAGAAATTGGGGGGTACTATTGTCTGCCTTCCGAGTGTAGATATTTGTCCACCTTTGTACTTCCATCTCCTGGACACTCAAAAGAGCTGTCTCCCTCAACAGAGGGAGCCAACAGGCTGACAAGAACAGCAATTCCCAGATCAAGGTCAAAATGACACCATCGCTGTGGGCAGAAGGGCAGGTACAAACCCAGAGCTGGGCAAAGACCAACAGTCAGTTGGTGCCTATGTAAGGTGAGGAGTTGTCAATTCGTCCGTCGCCTAAAGAATTGGCACGCTGGAGGATTTGATGCTGTTGCCTTCTCATGGCAATTACGAATTCAGCTTGCAGAGGCAGCTTCAATTCCCTGGCTCACGGGGAGTCTTCCAGCCACAGCCTTGTCTAGTTGGGAACAGACATTCATGCAAATTGAGAGCAGCGAGTGACTTTTTGAGCGAATCTAAATAAAGCTGCAGGGGATGTTCATCTTACCTCACTTGATTAGAATGCATTTCAGGCTACTAGGTCAGGAACTTCTAGGAAAGCTGCGGATGGGCTGCTGCTATTCCACTGAGGGGTTCAAATCAGCTGAGTCTAGGAGTCAGAAAGTGGAAATCGGGGCTTCTCAGCTCCACATCCTGAAGCGAAATAAATACATTTATTTATTAAATAATAAAATTATATATTCTACATTGCTGAGAAATGATGGAGCAGAAGCCAGTGGATGATGTACTTGGGATGCCAAGGAAAGACTAGCTGGCATTTGCAGGAGGGTGCTGGCATGTGCCTCCCGATGCCATTTTCAACTCAGGATTTACAGTGGAAACTGGGATATGTTCTTGGGGCTGCATTCAAACAGGAGAAAGCTCGCTGGAAATTGCCCTGGCCAGGGGACAGATTCACAGAGGAGATGAGGTTGGGACAGATTTCTAGCTGTCATTCTGCCTTATTCCTGCTGACAACAACTCCAGGAAGATGTATCTATCTTCGATTTCTAGTGTCTTCCAAACGCTCAAGAAGCTCTTCCTTAGCATAAATCCGAGTTTATCCTATTGTCATGTTACCTCACCCTGTGTTTATTTCCTCTGGACTATAACATTTCTTGGCACAAAAAAGTTGGTGTAAGATAGTGTAGTAAGCATGCTGCCGCTGGAATCAGACAAACTTGAACTTCAATCTCAGATTCTCCACTTGTTAGCCATGTGACTTCGCCAACTTTACCTGGCCACCCTGCACTTCAGTTTCTCAGTAAGTAAAATGGGCATAACAATAACGCATACCTCTTAGAGTTGTTGTGAGAATTAAATGAGATAATATATGTAATGCTCCACAATTTAGAGGCTAGTAAATATCAGTTATAAATAAAATGTTTTTGAGAAATACACTGGGGAATCAATCAATCAATTAATAAAATAAAATGTTAATAGCAAACATGTATATGGCATTCGCAATGAACCTGGCACTGTAATCCAATTTTTAATGCCAGAGTATGAATTAGATTCTTTAGCCCCCGCCCCCCGCCCCCCCCCACTTTTTTTTAGGCAAGCCTATAATCTTTATATGGTTTAGGGTTTGTTTTTGTGTTTTTAAGCCACTTCTTGATTTTGGAAAGTAGAACTTAAAGGAATCTAAGGTTCTTGTCAATTTACTCTAAAAACCAAAAATCACCCTCACTTGGTCTGTTTCAGAAAAATGATGAAATCTTTTCATCCCTTTTCCCTCTGGTCCAGAAGATAAAGACCAAAGCATTGGCTTATTAGGGATGAGATTTTAAAAAGCAGCCACTTCCTTACTCCTAGCTTCCACTTCAGTTACACACAAAAACAGGGCCAAGGGTGTGTCTCCTCTCTTCTGCATAAAAACAGGAGGCATCTTCTCCCTCTGAGATTTGATTCCTCTCTCAAGGCCTTCAAGGCCCTTTGGGATCGCTGACAATGCAGTTACTTATTTATTTGGCCTATATTTACACATCATAAATGCCAGTTGCAGAGGAACCATGATGTTATTTGAAGTCAGCTTTGTCCTTTTATGAACAAACTCTTCCCTGATTTTGACTTGTCTGTCCTTCACTTCTATTCACTGAGCCTTTTCTTGCCCCCTCCCCTGCTCTCAACAATACTGAACTCCTTGTAATCCCCTCAAAGGAGGCCATATATTCTACCTCCTTCTTTGCTCCAGGAAGAGAAGAATTCATTATCCTTGCCCCCATGCCCATATTCAGACCATAGTTGTGGCCACAGGACTCAGCCAGCTCTTCTTTTGTGGAGTTCATACAAGTCACTTTGTCACTCTTTCTGCACCATCCTCAGAGTTCTCTACCAGCTTCCCTATAATCTCTTACTCAGTGACATGAAAAATGGCTGTCCTCCCTTCTCCCACCATCACCATGGGGAATGCCAGTTATCCATGCCAATAATGCTTCCCATATTCTCGCCTCACCTTTTCTTTTTCTTTTCTTTTTATTCCAGAGAACTGCCAAACATCCAATAACTTTCAATCCAGTCCAGCAAAACATACGTGAGTTCAGTAAGGAATTGCTGACTTACTGACCTGGATGTGAACCTGAAATTTCTCCCTCTGTTTTGTTCCTTGGAATGCTATAATGTATCAGTGTTGCTTTTATTGATTTAAAAAAAAAACTAGCAGTATTATTTCCTTCTTGAAAAATAACTCAAATTTGTAGAGAAATGTATAAACGTTAACAATTATGTATTCCTGATGTCCTGAACTCCAGTGCCCTCCACCTGCAATGCACCTCAGTCACTTAGCAAGAACTCTAAAACATAGACTTGCTTATCCTTCACCATGGCTCAAAATTAAAGATGCCAACCCCCAAATATCCTCTCTTACCATCATCAACTTTCCTTCCTCCTCACTCAATTGCTTGCCAGCCCTAAAGGCATCTCTATTTTTATTTTCACCATCAGTCACACTATGATCCTCTATTCTCCTTTTCTATCACATCTATCAGGCTTGGCATATTATTAACCATTTCACAAACATATTCACTACCACCCTAGGATGGCTCCTGTATTAGTCTTTTATCATACTGCTATAAAGAACTGCCTGAGACTGCATAATTTATAAAGGAAAGAGGTTTAATTGACTCACAGTTCAGCATGGCTGAGGAGGCCTCAGGAAACTTACAATAATGGCAGCAGCAAGGCACCTTCTTCACAAGGCAGCAGGAAGGAGAATGAACGCAGGAGGAACTACCAAACACTTATAAAACCATCGGATCTCCTGAGAACTCACTATCGTGACAACAGCATGGGGGAAACCACCCCCATGATTCAATTACCTCCACTTGGGCTCTCCCTTGACATGTGGAGATTATGGGGATTACAATCCAAGATAAGACTTTGTGTGGGGACACAGCCAAACCATATCAGCTCCATACTTTGTATTTCTCCTGTTCCACCTTGCCAAGTCTGCCAAGTCTGCAGCCTTCAAGAATGGTTGCAAACTGTTATTGGAGAAAATTGTGAAACTGTTTTAACTGGATCCACCCTGAATCTGTTCTTTGTTGGGTTTACTGATGCTCACTGCTTTCCTTCACCTTTAATCAATCCATCACCTCACTTCCCAGAGACTTTTCCATCTCTCTCTTATTCTGCACAAGGCCCTGATTCTGTTCAGCTCCCCACTCAAAGCAGATGACTTTATTTCCTGTTTTAATGAGACATATTCTTTCACATTTGATAACTTCAAATTATTTTCTTTCCACTTCAGCATCTCTGTGTATCTTTCCTCTTTTTCCTCCTCCTCCCTTAAATCTGAGGTTAATCCCTCGGGCATTGCTCTTGATTCAAGTTCCTTCTTCCTCCTTGGAACTGTGCTCCTCCATCAGTTACCTCGCTTCTGTCACGTCTTCCAACTTTCCTTCTGAGTTAATGTCTCAGCTTTTGTCTATATAACCTTCTCTAAGGAAACCCTTACTTATTCCAAAGTCTCATCATTTTCCAATCTCTCTTCCATTCCCACTATCAGAGGCTTTGAAATTATAGTTAAACCAATCACATCCACTAGGTTTGCACCAACACTTCTTACTTAACATCTTCCATTATGTAATTGTCCCTCACTCCCTCCAACTACAGTCCTCCTAAGGTCATCAGTGATTTCCTAGTTACTAAGTCTCCTAGCCAATTATTCCCCCAATCAATTCTCTGCTGCAGAACTCCCTGCTGACATGGAACATTCTCTCTCTTTACTCCCTAATGCAGCACTGTTTTGATCTCCTACTGTGATTTAGTCTGTTCTCACATTGCTGAGAAAGACATACCCAAGACTGGGAAACGTACAAAAAAAAAAGAAGTTTAATGGACTTACAGTTCCATGTGGCTGGGGAGGCCTCACAATCATGGCAGAAGGCAAGGAGGAGAAAGTCACGTCTTACACAGATGGCAGCAGGCAAAGAGAGAGCTTGTGCAGGGAAACTCCCCCTTATAAAACCATCAGATCTTGTAAGACTTATTCAGTATCACGAGAACAGCAGGGGAAAGACCCACTCTCATGATTCAATTACCTCTCACTGGGTCCCTCCCACAACACGTGGGAATTCAAGATGAGATTTGGGTGGGGACACAGCCAAACCATATCATCCTGTCACTTTGATCATTTTTTTTTTCTGTCTCTGTTACTGGCTCTACGGCTTCCTCTCCCTCCTAAATTCAAGTATTCTCAAACTTTTTTTTTTTTAAGACAGGGTGTCTCTCTGTCACTGAGGCTGAAGTGCAATGGTGTGTGTAATCATGGCTCACTGCAACCTCAGCCTCCCAGGCTCAAGCAATGCCCCAACCTTAGCCTCCTAGTAGTTGGGACTATAGGTGAGTGCCACCACACCCAGCTATTTTTTTTTTTACTTTTTGTAGAGATGGGGTCTCACTATGTTGCCCAGGCTGGTCTCAACCTCCTGGGCTCAAGTGATCCACCTGCCTCAGCCTCCCAAAGTGCTGGGATTACAGGTATGAGCTACTGCGCCTGGCTCTCAGACTTTCTATCTCTTTATATTCTCTTTTAAATATCATCCATTTCCATTACTTTGATTATCACTGTGTATGGATGACTCTCAAATCTGAATTGCCAGCCCTTATTTTTTCTGAGGACCTGACTTAAATTTTCAGACAATCTATCAGTATCTGAAACCCAAAATATGCCAAACAAGATCTGTCACTTTTTCCCCCAAATCACCAATCCTGCTATCTTCTCTGTAGCTTCCATATGCTAAATGGCATAACTTTTTATACATAATGTGGTATCAGTAGTATAAAAAATTTTCCCAATCTACCACAACTAGAGTGACATTTCCTCTTTTGCCTCATATCTTATCAGTTGCCAAATCCAATGTATTGCACCCTCACATTTTCTTTAGGATCAGATGTCTCCATTTCACACTGCCTTACACCAGGTTCTCCTTCCCTCTTACTATGGCTACTGCAAACATTTGTCCTAATTTTCTTCATGCCATGTTTCCTATTCTGCCAGATTAATTTTTCCTAACTCATTTCAGATCACCTTACTCACAGCTCCCAGTTATCTATCAAACTAAGTCCAAACTCCTTAATAAGCATTAAGACTACTTACTTATCTTTCCAGCATTAATCACTATTATTTCTCTAAATGTTTCCAATGTTCAGATAAAGTATATCATCTACTTTCACCAGCTCAGACCTGAAACTTTTCTGCTTCTATGCTTTTGTTGGTGTTTTTTTTTTTTCCTGCCAAGAATGTCATGCTTTTACATCTTGTAGAAATCCTATCCTTGCTTCAGGACCTGTTTTATTTTACTTTTTTAATTTTAATTTTTTTAGACAAGGTCTCATTCTGTCACCCAGGCTGGAGTGCAGTGGCCTGATCTCAGCTCGCTGCAGCCTTGAAATTCTGGGCTAAAACAACCCTCACACCCCAGCCACCCAAGTAGCTGGGACCACAGGCATGTGCCACTATGCCTGGATAACTTTTGTATTTTTTGTCCATATGGTGTTTTGCCATGTTCCCCAGGCTGGTCTCAAATTCCTGAGTTCAAGCAATCTGCCCACCTTGGTCACTGTGCCCAACCAGGGCCTATTTAAAATACACCTTCTTCATGTATCTTTTACTGTTTGGGGGTATAACTTGTCCTCTGATCCCATATATCTTACCTTGATCTGCTCTGTATCATTACTATTTGTGAATGTGCCACCTTGTCACAACTGGTGTGTTGCCCTCACTGTAGATTATGAATGTCTTTATACCATTTTCCAGGTATTTTGCTTCATTCTGCAGGCCCTTCAGATAAAAATTTTCCTAATTTCCCTGGGAAATTCAAAACCCTCTTACCCAGAGAAAAAATGTATTTATGTTACTCATCCCCACCCTCTTATACAGGTTTCTCATTCACTTAGGAGGTGACTGAGTTCCTATTGCCACTCCTTAAAATGTGGAGGACATAGAAAAAGTGGGGCCATCTTTACCACAGTAGCAAGGGGGAGTGTGTTTTCAAATCTTCATGTTGGGATTCTGAATGCAATTTTTTGCTCTAGAGGGCAGACCACAGCCTAGTGATAGGGACAGACCCCAAAGCATCCAGTTACAAGCTGTTTGACAAAAATAGGAGTGTATGCTGTGGGAGGTATGGGAGGTGTCACCTTCAGGGAGTGGGAGCAGGGAAGAATAGGTCTGATAGCAGGATGAAATAATTCATCTCAGTCAGGCTTTTTTCAGCATGCCTCATTAATCATTCTGAAATACAAAGTCCGGCACTATGTCTTACCCAAACATTAGGTATAGTCATGTTGTCTTGCAAGTACTTACTGAAATGCAATAACTCTTAGATTATGTTTCTGTTTCAGATAGCCTAGTTAAAGAGGCCCTTCTCTTTCCTCTTTTCATCCTGGGGTTGGTGTACAAGGCCTTTCCTGGCCATACGGCTGCTGGGAAATCTGGTTTCATGAGAGTGGTGACTGAGAGAAATCAAAGAATAGAAAATGAAGAATGGGTGGCTCTGCCACATATAAGTTAAATGACCAAGTCATTGAACTTCTCTTGAGTTTAATTTCCTAAAAAAATATATAAATAAAGGTAGCAATAGTGCCAACTCTTTATTTATACAGAAGGGAAATAAACTAATATTTATTAAGTTTATGCTAAGGGTCAGGCATTGTGCCAGGTGACATACATTTAACTTATTTAATCCTCATAAATAACCACAAAATAGGTAGTATTAATATTCTCATTTTATGTCTGAAGAAACTGAGGCTCAGAGGAATTAAATAACTTTCCCCAAGTAACAAGCAGAGTGTTCAGGATAAATCTGTGTGGCCCAAAGCTATCACTCTTTTCCATTGCTCTATTCAGCTACTCCAAATCACAATCTTACTTGAAAATGGCAGTGTCACTTGGTGAAAAATGCCCCAAATTAAGAATCATGAGAGTACCAACTGCATCAAGAAGGTGAGTCTCTCAAAACAGCCAATAACTCCCAATCTACCATTCCTTCTCTTTGGGAAATTCTACTTATCCTTTCCAGGTAATTCTCAAATGTTACCTCTTTTGAAGTTTTTACAACGGTACTCTCCCCAGGCCCCAAAGCTATGACTTTATCTTCCAGGACACCTGTATACAATAGCTCTTACCACACTATTTCACAGTTATTGTTAAAGAAAATTAAAGCCAGAGACTAAGACAGTACCTGGCATACAGTAGGCACTCCGTAAAAGTTTTCTGAATGAATGAATGAAGTGTAATAGTACACAAGTCACTTAATCTCTCTCTAGATATCAGTTTTGCCACCTTTAAAATAGATTAATAGGCCGGGCGCAGTGGCTCACGCCTGTAATCCCAGCACTTTGGGAGGCCGAGGCGGGCGGATCACGAGGTCAGGAGATCGAGACCATCCCGGCTAAAAACGGTGAAACCCCGTCTCTACTAAAAATACAAAAAATTAGCTGGGCGTAGTGGCGGGTGCCTGTAGTCCCAGCTACTTGGGAGGCTGAGGCAGGAGAATGGCGTGAACCCAGGAGGCAGAGCTTGCAGTGAGCCGAGATCCCGCCACTGCACTCCAGCCTGGGCGACAGAGCGAGACTCCGTCTCAAAAAAAAAAAAAAAAAAAATAGATTAATAGTCTTTTATATCTCACAAGTATAACATGAAAATTAAATAAAATAATACATTGTGTGATATGGTTTGGCTGTGTCCTCACCCAAATCTCATCTTGAATTGTAACTCCTACAGTTCCCATGTATCATGGGAGGAACCCAGTAGGAGGTGATTGAATTATGAGGGCATCCTCCAGACCCCAGAATGTTCCTGCACTGTTCTTGTGATATGAATGAGTCTCACAAGACCTGATGGCTTTAAAAATGGGAGTTTGCCTGCGCAAGTTCTCTCTTTGACTGCTGCCATCCATGTAAGACGTGACTTGCTCTGCCTTGCCTTCCACCATGATTGTGAAGCCTCCCCAGCCATGTGGAACTGTAAGTCTAATAAACCTCTTTCCTTAGTAAATTGCCCAGTCTCAGGTATGTCTTTATCAGCAGTGTGAAAATGGACTAATATGGTAAATTGGTACCAGTAGAGTGAGATGTTGCTGAAAAAATACTTGAAAACGTGGAAGCAACTTTGGAACTGGGTAACAGGCAGAGGTTGGAACAGTTTGGAGGGCTCAGAAGAAGACAGGAAAATGTGGCAAAGTTTGAAACTCTCTAGAGACTTGTTGAATGGCTTTGACCAAAATGCTGATAATGTTATGGATAACGAAATCCAGGATGGAGATGAGGAACTTGTTGGGAACTGGAGCAAAGGTGACTCTTGTTACGTTTTTGCAAAGAGACTGGAGGCATTTTGCCTCTGCCTTAGAGATCTGTGGAACTTTGAACTTGAGAGAGATGATTTAGGATATGTGGTAGAAGAAATTTCTAATCAGCAAAGCATTCAAGATTTGACTTGGATGCTGTTAAAGGAATTCAGTTTTGGAAGGAAAGCAGAGCATAAAAGTTTGAAAAATTTGCAGCCTGACAATATGATAGAAAAGGAAATGCCATTTTCTGAGGAGAAATCCAAGCTGGCTGCAGAAATTTGCACAAGTAGTGAGAAGCAGAGTATTATTTCCCAAGACAATGGGAAAAATGTCTCCAGGGCATGTCAGAGGTCTCCATGGCAGCCCCTCCCATCAAAGGGCCTGAGGCCTAGGAGGAAAAAGTGGTTTCATGGGCTAGGTCCAGGGTCCCATGCTGTGTGCAACCTAGGGACTTGGTGTCCTGTGTTCCAGCTGCTCTAGCTGTGGCTGAAAGGGGCTGATGTAGAGCTCAGGCTGTGGCTTCATGGGGTGCCAGCCCCAAGCCTTGGCAGCTTCCACATGGTGTTGAGCCTGCAAGTACACAGAAGTCAAGAACTGGGGTTTGGGAACCTCCACCTAGATTTCAGAGGATATATGGAAATGCCTGGATGTCCAGAAAGAAGTTTGTTGGAGGGGTGGGGCTCTCATGGAGAACCTCTGCTAGGGCAGTGCAGAAGGGAAATGTGGGGTCAGAGCTCCCACACAGAGTCCCTACTAGGGGACCATCCACCTGAGATGGTCCCCTACCACAGATGGATGCGTGAGCCACTGTGCCCAGCCCCAAATCACTTCCAATAGTAGAAATGGAAATAAATGTGAGCTTGGAAAAGATCAATATAAACAAGAAAGATAATTATTTACCCAAGTTTTGGTATATCTGAGTGATGGCAGTTGTAGTGGTGGTGGGTTAAGTCATGGAATAAATGCTTAGAAAGGGAAAATTGTAAGGAGTGCTTCCTACAATCATGCAGAGGAAATGGGACACACCTGTCCTGGAAGACAAGGCCACCATCCTCCAGACCCCAGAATGGTAGATCCACTGACAGCTTGCACTGTGCACCTGCAGAAGCCACAGACACAAAGCCAGCCCATGAAAGCAGCTGGGAGGGAGGCTGTACCCTGCAAAGGCACAGGGACAGAGCTGCCCAAAACCATGGGTACCTACATCTTGCATCAGCGTGACCAGGATGTAAGACATGGAGTCAAAGGAGGTCATTTTGAAACTTTAAGATTTGACTGCCCTGCTGGATTTATGACTTGCATAGGGCCTGTAGCCCTTTGTATTGGCCAGTTTCTCCCATTTGGAATGGCTGTATTTACCCAATGCCTCTACCCTCATTGTATCTAGGAAGTAACTAACTTGCTTTTGATTTTACAGGCTCATAGGCAGAAGGGACTTGCCTTGTCTCAAATGAGACTTTGGACTATGGACTTTTCAGCTAATGCTGAAATGAGTTAAGAGTTTGGGGGACTGTTGGGAAGGCATGATTGGTTTTGAAATGTGAGGACATGAGGTTTGGGAGAGGCCAGGGGGCAGAATGATATGGTTTTCTGTGTCCCCACCCAAATCTCTTATTGAATTGTAACTCCCACAATTCCCATGTGTTGTGGGAGGAACCCAGTTGGATGTGATTGAATTATTGGGGTGGGTATTTCCTGTGCTGATCTTGTGATAGTGAATGAGCCTCACGAGATTTGATGGCTTTAAAATTGGAGTTTCCCTGCACAAGCTCTCTGGCTGCTGCCATACACGTAAGACATGACTTGCTCCTCCTTGCCTTCTGCCATGATTGTGAGACCTCCCCAGCCATGTGGAACTGTAAGTCTAGTAAACCTCCTTCTTTTGTAAATTGCCCAGCCTTACGTATGTCTTTATCAGCAGCATGAAAACAGACTAATACATAGTGTGTCTTAAAAATAAAACTTTTATATTAGATGAGGCTAAACAGTTGCTTACAGAAAACAGAAAAACAACTAAGAGGTTTTCATTCATGTTAATCCATGTGAGATCTCCAAATTTTAAGCACTAAAGAAAAAGAAAGAAAGAACACAAAACATATTGGATTTTCCCATGTCTATTTTCTTAGATTTTATACTTTCCCACCATACTAGAAGTTTTATGAGTAAAGGAATTATTCCTACTTTTTCTCACACATAAATACACACAGCACACTCATTTGAGAACTGCACAACATACGACAAGTCGTTAACTTCCTGGCTGATGTGCACATGGAAGTGTCTTTCAATGATGAAGATCTTAAAGAAAGATATTAAGATCTTAAGGCTTTTGGAGACAAAAAATCGGGTTTCAATTATGGTTCTGCCCATGCACTTGAGTAACTAAGTCATTTAACTTCTCTTGTATTTATTCCCTCAAAAAAAAAAAAAAGGAGAATTCTAATAGTGCCTACTTTTTAAAATTGTTAGAATGATTAAATAAATTTATCAATTTATCAATAATATATGCATATCATTGTTCTGGGGCCAATGCATGCCCTTAAATATAATGATAATGATGAAAATGATAACAGATTAATGATAGATTATGAAAGCTGATTATTTCCCATTATGCTGAAGTTAACAGCTGAACCTATCTCTGTAAGGATTTTCAAAAATTATCTAAATAGGAACTGAACACTTCTTGGTTTATAGGACTTGACAAAATCCAAGACACACTCGTATTATCTCCCTTGTGCTTCCAGCAACTCTGGGAGGCAGACAATTAGAGAGAGAATTTGTTCAGAGAGATTAGGTGAAAAGGTCAATACTATACTATCTCAGAGCAGCACTAAGCATGGGACACAGGCCTCCTGTCTACCACCTGGCCCTCATTTTGTGGTTTCATTTTCTTCTTCAATAATATTGCTTATAAACATTGAGTCAATCAGGGCTCAATGTTGCTGTTGCCCAAAACTTTGGAACAACAACAGGACTTTGATCAGCACCAAAGATAATGACTGTGCTTATTTCTACAAGACATCTTGATATGATTTGTTTTGGTGTCCCCACCCAAATCTCATCTCAAATTGTAATCCCCACATGTCAAGGGAGGGACCTAGTAGGAGGTGATTTTATCACGGGGGCAGTTTCCTCCACCCTGTTCTCGTGATAGTGAGTGAGTTCTCACACAATCTGATGGTTTAAAAGTGTGTGGTGGTTCCCCACCCCACTTCCTGCCACAATGTAAGACGTGCCTTGCTTCCTCTTTGCCTTCTGCCATAATTGTAAGTTTCCTGAGGCCTCTCCAGCCATGCAGAACTGTGAGTCAATTAGACTTCTTTTCTTTATAAATCATCCAGTTTCAGCCAGTTCTTTATAGCAGTGTGAAAAATTAAACAATACACATCTTTTCTTTCTGCCTATCCTAAGAGCTTCAGCCATATGCATGCCAGAAATGCATTAAAAAATTATGCCATGCTAATAACAATACTTGAAATATATTATAACTTTGCTTCTGGGTAGCATAAAGTACTTTATCACTGATAATATTTTCTTTATTTCCATTTACACGTTTGGGTGATCAAAACTAAACATAAATAGTGCTCTGGCTGAGGCAGAACCATGGACTTTCTAGAGATTGGTCAAGAGCAGATGGCATTTCTTTTGTGCACAGGGTGTTATGGAGGTGGGCAGGGCTCTTCTGGATGTCAGGAAAGCGTTGGCTTCCACAATCAGTCAGGTGACATCCAATTCATTTCAACAAACATTTTTTGGCCCCATCTTACCTGCCAGGTTCTGTGCCATTTGCAAATCCAGGAAGGAATTGCATAATCTAATCATCATGTCACTGCTTCCTATTCTAATCCCAAACTTCCCTTGCCTGGTGACAACATCACACAGCTGGCTGGCAGGATGAGGGAATGATTTGGAAGAGCCTGATATCTCTCAGTCCCATATGTGTTCTTTGGCCACAGTTTAAAATGAACATATTTCTTCCCTTTCCTTGTCCCATGGGGTGTGCACTATTTTTCAAAATCCACTTCGAATAGCAAAAGCAGGTTACTTGACTTTCCTAGGTTGGGCTCTGATTTTTGCATCTTGACTGAGTTCAGGTACATGTTGATCTTGAAAAGCTTTTCTTGACATTTTTCTATGCTTTAAGAAGGTGCCCTCAGTTATTCAGACTGTCTCCCTTGTCCTGGGTTCTCCTGTACCTCCCTACCACCTACACTCAATGGAAAATGTGGCTTCCTACTTTACCAAGATCATTGTGTGTCTCTTAAGGTCCCACACCTTATCTTTACTTACAATGTCACTTCCACTGCTCCTGTCTCTAATTCCTCCCCAGTAGTCTCAGTGAATGTGTTTCATTCCACAAGAAAACTAACATCTCCCTGAATAGCTCCCATTCAATTCTTTCTTCAGCAGAGTCATGTCATTCCCTCCACCTCAAGATCCCTGAATATCTAGGCTCTGTACTCCATCCTCTTCCTCAATCTCTGAGCATAATTAGCTAAAGTCCCCTCAAAGGAGAAGTGTCCTTAAGTCTAAAGACCCTCTTTTCCCTGGCCTGCCATGGCATTGCACCTTGCTGGGTCTCTTCCTATTTCTCTGACTCTTGGTTTTCTGTTCCCCTATTGATTCTGGCCTCAGCTCTTCACTGTTTCCACACTATTCTCACTCCCTTGTGTATTCATTCACTTGTGTCCTCTGTGAAGAGGACCTAATATCTGCTTGGCACTGATCTAGGTGCAGGACGGCAGCAGTAGACAGAACAAACAAGGCTGCTATCTATCACCAAGGAGAACCAGCCTGATGGGAGGAACAGAAAATAAGCAAGTACATATATTAAAAATAAGATAATTTTGGATAGTGAGAGAAGATATGAAGAACAAGAAACAGGGTGATGAGATAGAGAGTAGCTTCAGGTGAGGAAGGTAGCAGGAAACAAGCTTAGAGTGACCAGGGAATGTCACTCTAGGGTGAAGTCATTTGAGGCAAGACCAAAATGACAAGAAACCAGCCATAGAATGAAGAATGTTCCAGGAAGAGGGGACATCAAATGCTAAGGCTATAATAATAATGATGGGAAATATTAATAGTGGGGAAGAGTTTGATAACTATGAGGTACATTTCTTTAAAATTAAGTGTAATTGGAACATGGTGGACAAGACAGAGAGTGGTAGAAATGAGTGTGGAGAGATAGCCAGGGCACAAGGCCAACATTAGGCCATGGTGACAAGTCTAGATTTTATTTCAGTGTAGTGAGATGCCATGGAAGGGCTTTAAGCAAGAGAAGTTCCCATCTTTTAGAATACAAAGACTGTTCTGTCTACTCTTTGGAGAATAGAGCATATGGTTTCACCCATTAACTGTGAAGGGAGAATGATTATTAAATTGGGAGGCCAAGTCAACAACAATGAGAAAGGATTGAAGCCAAAATGGCAGAAAAGAGGAAGGGAGAGCTTAATTTAAATGATTTTAAAACTCTCAGAACAAGGCCAAGAGTACTTCAGGGAACTTAAGGTACTTGCAAAAGTGACTGAGAGTGACAGCCAAAAATCAAGGGAAACAGCAGGAGAATGAAAAGACTAAATGCTCCTATTTTCAATACAGGAGAGGGAAGAAGTGGTATATGAAAAATAGAGGTGAAATCCTGACAGTGACTATTTACAATGGGGTTGATAAACAATTAGAAAACAACATTATGAATATTAGCAATTCACATGAATAGACATAAGAAAAATTTTGTAAAGCTGAGCCAATTCCTGCTGTGGTAGTTGATAAAATTATCAGACTGAAAATATTTCAGTCTGTCTGTGTATTTCAGTCTTGGTAAGGCTTTCAATAAAGTCATAGAACCTCAAAGACGATAGGAACTTTAACATAATCTATTCCAAATTTCTAACCTTTACAGGTTTTCCTTCCTAAACATCCCAGCAGTTGTTTGGATAACAACTGCTTGGATGTAACGAAAGGTAATTTGTCCTACTTTGGAAAGGTTTGAAATGTATTGCTGAAAATCTGTTTTTGTGTTAGTGTAAGCCATTGATCCTATTTCTTTCCTGTGGATGACTAGATGTCTAATTCCTCTCACAGATTCCTTTTATTCTAAATTTTCAGAATGTCTCATGCTGTACATATAAAAAATAGGGAGCTATGTTTGGGTTTTATGATTGAGCAACTGTTCTAAAGAATTTTAATTAGGCCAGGTGCAGTGGCTCATGCCTGTAATCCCAGTGCTTTGGGAGGCCAAGGCGGGCAGATCACCTGAGGTCAGGAGTTTGAGATCAGCCTGGCCAACACGGTGAAACCCCCTCTCTACTAAAAATTCAAAAATTAGCTGGGTGTGGTAGTGGGCACCTGTAATCCCAGCTACTTGGGAGGCTGAGGCGGAATGATTGCTTGAACCTGGGAGGTGGAGGTTTCAGCGAGCCGAGGTCACACTACTGCACTCCAGCGTGGGCAACAAGAGTGAAACTCCGTCTCAAAAAACAAACAAACAAACAAAAATGTTAATTAGTAGCTCATTGTCAAGGTAGAATGAGGTCTTTAGAAGCAGGCCATAGGACTATCTCTTCTTTTTTTCTATTGGTTCTTTTTTTAAATATCCATGTGTGGATCATGTGATTGTCAAGCCTAGAGATGAAACAAGGGTAAAGAAGAGAGATATATTGGGTGATTGAATCTGAATTCAATAAAAGTATTAACACAGTGTGATAACTGGTTGAAACTAATAAATTTTAACAGCAATAAGTGCAAAGTTTCATAATAAAATTTCCAAAATTGCCTGTACAAGACACAATGACTCTGCAACAAGTCAAGTGAAGAATACTCAGGGATTTTAATTGAACATAAGCTGATTATGACTAAGATGTGGCTGTAAATGTATTTAACTAGTTATATCCTTCAAAGCAAATGTAGCCATAATTCCACTGGATTTATGCTGGTCAGACCACACAGGGACCATCAGTTCCTGTTCTGGACGTCACTTGGAGAATCATGCTGAGAAACTGAAAGTCCTTCTGAAAAAGCAGCCAGGGTGGTACAGGATTGGAAACTACTAGAAAATACATTGGAAGAAACTAAGGAAGAGTAGCCACAAACAAAAATGTCTTAGGGCGGATGTGAGGAAGCATAGCTCTTTTAAAGAGAAAACAGCATTAGGGCCACTTAATGGAGTTTGGAGGGGGAGGAGGAGTGTACGGAATTCAACTGAACATAAAGAACTTCCTTAAGCATCAGAAGAGGTGAACTTGTGATGTAGAAAGTTCTCATCACTAAAAAGATCAAGGCCAGGCGCGGTGGCTCATGCCTGTAATCCCAGCACTTTGGGAGGCCGAGGCGGGTGGATCTCCTGAGGTTGTGAGTTTGAGACCATCCTGACCAACATGGAGAAACCCCATCTCTACTAAAAATACAAAATTAGCCGGGTGTAGCAGCGTATGCCTGTAATCCCAGCTACTCAGGAGGCTGAGACAGGAGAATCACTTGAACCCGGGGGACGGAGGTTGCGGTGAGCCAAGATCGCGCCATTGCACTCCAGCCTGGGCAAGAAGAGCAAAACCCCGTCTCAATAAATAAATAAATAAATAAATAAATAAATAAATAAATAAAATCAAGTCCATTCGTCCGAAATGTTCTTGGGGGAAGTCACAAATTGGAAAAGCGGTTGAATTAGGTCAACTTTAACTTCCCATCCAAATTTAACACAGTATACATGCTTCAAGGCCTAGTCCTCCAAACAGCACAGAGTTTATGGCCTGGTGGCTCCCTGCCCAGGAAGATCCGACTGGGGACATTCTGTTACTCTGTGAGATGTCAGGAGGGAGCATTTCCTGCTTCTGGTCCACTCACCGTCAGCTGTTGCTCTGTTATTCCATTTTGGAATATCAGCGTTAAGCTTCCCCTTTTGGAAAGAGCAGAAGAGGAGAAAAAGGAAGCTGAAGAAGGGCTCTTGGATTACTCTTTTACTTCAGTTCCAGGCGTTCCTAATCTGTTATGTCAATTTGAGTTTATAGTTGAATGTAAAGTTTCAGGTTTCCCTTCCAGAGATGGGGCGGGGGCACTCAAACAGCTGCTAGGACTAGGGAGTGGCTAATAGTTGGAAGACGCCAAACACAATCTATCTGCTTTATTAAAAAGGAGTAATTAAAGGAAAAGGGAGAACTGCAAAGAACCTGGGGAAGGGAAGAGGAGTCCTCTTGGGCCCCCCTCCCCTTGCGCTGACATTTGGATCACCTCACTGAGTGATGAGGTGAAGACAGGAACAGGTGCGCCTCATCCCTACCCCATTTGCCCTAAACAGGGATTATCTTGCTGAGTTTGCTGTGTCCGGGGCCAATTAATCAAGGCTAGACAAAGGATAGACAGCGAGAACTGGAAGGCATGGGGTCTGGGAGGCGAAGCCAGGAACCGCGTACGGCGCGCCTTGCAGATGACATCATTGCCTGAAAGAGCTCTGGCCCTTCTCTTCCCGGAGCTACACCCGGCAAGTCCGTGCGGGAGCGGAGTGGGTTTGCCTGGAGGGCGTGAGCCGAGGGCGGCGGTGCGCCCGAGCTCGGGGGAGGTGCGGAGGCGCGAGAGGGAGACCTGGAGAGACCAGCGAGCGCGCGAGCAAAGATATCCCGGCTGGAAGTGTCTGCGCCGCTCCCGGCTCCGCCCCCGCTCGGCGCGGCGCTGGGCCTGGGAGGGGCACGCCCATCAGGGGGTGGGGAGTGTGCACTAGGGGGAGGGTCCGGGGCGGTGGTGGTGGCGGAGAGCCGCCTGCGCATGTCAGGGCTGACAGCACACACGGCCTGGGGGCCTAGAGAAGGGTTGCTGATCACCTGCCACCCAGGGTCGGGGCCCCGCACCATCCGGGGGCGAGCTCCCGGGAAGGGGCTCCGCCTCTACACCCACCCCCCAACCTCTGACATCGCCGGCCGAACGGGAGCTGCCGCTTCCTTCCCGGCCCCGCTGCACCTCCCCAGGGAGCCGAGGGCGGGCGTGGACGGGACCGACGTGGAACGCATTCTGTAGCCCAGACGGGCGGCCCCGGCGGCTTCGGGAGTGGGGTCACGCCCAGCTGGAGAAGCAGTTAGGGCGGACGAAGCAGGAGCCGCGGGGCTGGGAGGATTCCAGTCGGAACGCAACCGATCCTGGGGAGGCGAGAGGTGAATCAACCTGGACCCTTCCACAGCCTGGCTGCTAGGCCAGCAGTGCGACTCCCTTCCGAGCTGAGCTTACCCTGGGCGCAAACGAGCGAGGCAGGGGCGCGAGTGGAAGCTGGAGTTCCGGGGTGGGCGGGGAGGCGACTGTCCGTGGTGCTGAGCGCCGGCGAGAGCGGGCGCGGAGCGGCTGATCGGCTCCCTCGAACTGGGGAGGTCCAGTGGGGTCGCTTAGGGCCCAAAGCCCCCACCCGGCTCCAAAAGCTCCCAGGGCCTCCCCAGGCACCGGTGCTCGGCCCTTCCTTCGGTCAGAAAGTCGCCCCCTGGGGGCAGTTCGTCCCAAAGGGTTTCCTCGAAAGAATCTGAGAGGGCGCAGTCCTTGACCGAGGGAATCTCTCTGTGTAGCCTTGGAAGCCGCCAGCCCCAGAAGATGCCTGCCTTCAATAGATTGTTTCCCCTGGCTTCTCTCGTGCTTATCTACTGGGGTAAGTACCAGCACCTCGCCATGCCGGATGCAGGTAACAGTAACAATGCTAACAATAATAACACATTGATGTCGTTGGTGACAGAAAAGAGCTCTGGCTGGCTTGCCTCTGTGCGTATCTGCCAGACATGGAGATGGCAGGGGTTCCATGAGAGCTGGGATTTTGAGATGGGAAAGGCGCCTCCCCACCGCCCTTCCCCGCTATTCTCCAACCTCCTTTGGTGGTTCTTCCGCCCTTCCTCCAGTTTCCTGATCATTCCAAAGTATTTTTTCCCTTTCCCTTTGCTGAAAGGAAATGCAGTCACGTTCACGAATAAAAACCTCCTGTGTGGTTACATTTTATTTCTCATCAAGGAGTCTATACTCCTGGAAAGCTTACTGGGTCTTCAAATTCGTTTCTGTATATTAAAAAAAAAAAAAAACCATAAAAGCTGGATGCATGAATTTTGAGAGTGAAAATACTTTAGTTGCTCATCATCTTCTTAATTTTAACAAGGAATGGGAAGAAAACAGCCTTCAGCCATTTACTGCTATATATTAAATAAATAGGCAACTGTGAAATGCATCTTTCTTTTTCTTCTTCTTCTTTTTTTTTTGGTTTGTTTGTTTGTTGCATGAACCTGTGGAACTAAGATGCTTTGGTGTTAGGGGAGGAGAGCTGGGTTTTTGCCTTCAAAGGTGAATAGATTCTTGCTTGTCAGCTGTGAGAAACTGAGGTGACCTTCCCCCTCCAAATAAGGGAATCTTACACTTGGAACAGTAAAGGCTGAAGAGAGTGTCAGAGACGGTCTTGGAGTGCCTGAATGTGTGTAAAGGGGATTGATCTATGTGATAATGTCTGATTGTGTGATTGAGACAATGTTTTACTGTATGTAAATATATTTCAGTGTCTGGATGTGTGCACTAGCATGTGTGTGAGCATGTTGGCATAGACATCTGAATGCATGGGTGAGTGTAGTAGTATGTGTATGGCAGGGGTGGGGGTGGTAGTTCTGGGCATGTCTGCCTTGGTGTCTATGATTAGATCCTCAGATAAAATATAGGTTCTCTTCAGCAGACAGATTGCTTTACATGATCTTAGCTACCTTTCTCCGTGCAAAAATCAATACACAGGGTAATTGGACACAATTGTACCCACCTGCCTCCCTGAAACGAGGCATGTGAGCTTATGTTCCCATGGTTGGCATGAAACTCATCCTGCCTATACGGTGGCAGACATGCTGATGGGAGCTGCCTCTTTGCTTTAGTATTACTTTTTCAAGCCTCCAGGACTAACTCTAGCTGCCAGCATTATCTGGATTTTGCATGTGACCAGAGGCAGAGCCAAGCTTCCTGTCAAAATGCCTGATGAGACGGACTAGGAAGGTTGAGGAGGGAGGTAATGTCAGCCCCAAAGGCGGACTCATCACCAGCCATCCCCAGTAGAGTAGACCAGACCTGGAGATGGAGCAGCTATAATATGTTGCCAATGATCTCACCTGCCTTGAAGATTAAGGCTGAAATTTTCTCAGGGGAGGCTAAGGCTGAGGACACGAGGCTTAGAAGATGTTAGCCTGGCCAGATAAAAAGAGCGTCGGTAAAGCTGAAGTTGTGGATAAGGGTTGGAGTGAGACTCTGCAGAGACTTTCTTCCTGAACTCTAATCTAAGATTTTGAGATCCCTGCCTGAATTCCAGTGGAGGGAGAGAACATGCTATCATCCAAGAATCTTTTAACTAGAACTTGTGCAACCTGCATTGGAGTCTCAGCTTTGCCACTAGCTTACTATATAACAACCTTAAAGTGCTATCTGGTTCCTTCTGTGTAATGTTTGGAAGTTGGCACGGGTGATATCTAACATCCTTTTCAGCTCCACAGATGAATGGTAGAGAAATCTTTGAAGAATATTGCTAGAATTGACAGAGTGCCCATCCCCTCCCCGACCCCAAAAAACTTTGGAAGAAGTGTACACAGTATGCCCATCTTTGCCCATTCTCAGTTTCTTTGCAAACTGAGTGTTGTCTCACCAAACTGAAAAGCTGTGGAAGGGAAAGAGAAGTGGTTCAGGACACTTGGTTGTTAACTGTAAGAAAAACAGCTTCCCTTCGCCAGGCGCAGTGGCTCACGCCTGTAATCCCAACAATTTGGGAGGCCGAGGCGGGTGGATCACCTGAGGTCAGGAGTTCAAGACCAGCCTGGCCAACACGGCGAAACCCCATCTCTGCTAAAAATACAAAAATTAGTCGGGCATAGTGGTGCGTGCCTATAATCCCAGCTACTAGGGGGACTGAGGCAGGAGGATTGCTTGAACCTGGGAGGTGGAGGTTGCAGTGAGCCAAGATTGTGCCACTGCACTCCAGCGTGGGCAACAGGGCGAGACTCCATCAAAAAAAAAAGAAAGAAAAACAGCCGCCCTTCACAGATACAATTTCATTTGATTTGCATGCAATTCCAATATTGAACAATAATGCTGGGTTAGATGTGTTCCCCCTTCCAAAGTTGATTTTTTAATATGATGTACAATATGAAGGGAAAGAGTCTTTCCATTTACTTTCTGCATGCATGAAAAAAAGTTTCCTTATTTCCTTTGTTAAAGCATGTAATAATTTTTATTTTTTAAAGAGATTTAAAAAATAATACAATACAATAAATAATTAATACAATAAATAATTAATACAATAAAATAATAATAATTGTATTAAAAAAATTAATACAGACGATGTCTCGCCATATTGCCCAGGCTGGTCTCTAACTCCTGGGCTCAAGTAATCCTCCTGCTTCAGCCTCCCATAATGCTAGGATTATAGGCATGAGTCACCATGCCCAGCCTTTAAAATAAATAAATAAATAAAACCCTATATTTGCCTGTGCATCACAGTTTACAATGTAATTTTCAATACATTGCTTGTTTTGGTCCTCATGTCTATCCCTGAGGTAGTCAGGGGAAAGAGTGCTATTTCCAGTTTAGAGATGAGAAAATGAGCTCGGGGAAGGGAAAGGACTTGCTAGAGAACCCTTGTTTTCTGATTTCAGTCTTCCAGTGCTCCTTCTAGCACCTCTCATGGACACATGTGCTACTATGCACAATCGCCAGGAGGGCACCTGTCCTCCCATTTCTCTTCTGAGCTACCGTCCCATCTCTCCCCAACACCATCACCTGTCCTAGGGCCTCACTCACTAGCACCTAGTACCTTCTCTGCCCTTCTTCTCCAGGCCTGCCCTTCTAGTTGCCCTGTGTGTTTTCCTCTCTTCCCCTGGTGATCTTTCGTGCATCCTATTCAAGGCCCTAAGTGACCAGCTAAATTGACAGAACAAGTCACGTCAGGGTGTCAGCATCTAAAAATAACCTCATTTATTACCCCTTTTTGGAAATTGTTTATATTCTAATCAAATTTTTCATTATCTCAGTGCAAAGGAAAGCATTCTAGAGCAATCTCAGGAGGAAAAATTGGGCATTGTCCAAAGAAGAGAAAGATTTGAGGGTATCAGAGAAGCTGGTTCATAATTCTTTATTATCTGCCTCATGATAGATGGATGCTACTACTCCCTAGTGAAATATGATCATTATTAATAATCATGTTTTTCCTTCTCATAAATTTCTTCATTATTATTATGGGAATTGAAGAGAAGAACAAAGGTCAAATGATTTGGTCAACATTATTCCAAGAGTTTGTTACTTTTAGTCAGCAATGTAGTTTGAGCTCCTGCCATATTTACAGCCTTCTTTGAATACCTAGAGGGTTTCATAGAAAGAAGGGCAGTGGTGGACTGGGTGCTGTGGCTCATGTCTGTAATCCCGGCACTTTGGGAGGTCAAGGTGGGTAGATCACCTGAGGTCAGAAGTTTGAGACTAGCCTGGCCAACATAGTGAAACCCTGTCTTTACTAAAAATACAAAAATTAGCTGGGCGTGATGGCAGGTGCCTGTAATCCCAGCTACTCAGGGGGCTGAGGCAGGAGAATCGCTTGAACCCAGGAGGCGGAGGTTGCAGTAAGCTGAGATCATGCCATTGTACTCCAGCCTGGGTGACAAGAGTGAAACTCCATCTAAAAAAAAAAGAAAGAGAGAGAGACAGAGACAGAGAGAGAGAGAGGAAAAAAAGAAAGAAAGAAAGAGAAAGAAAGAAAAAAAAGAAAGAAAGAAAAAAGAAAGAAAAGAAAAAGAAAGGAGAAAGAAAGAAAGACAGTGGTGTGCTGAAGACTCAAAGGATGGAGAAACAGACATTACCTCTTGAAGCAAGGAGCAGCAAGTCATACTGCAAAAGGCAAGCAAACAGAGGTGGGGGAACTTTGTGGCCATTTTTCAATGTACTCTTCAGGATCATACGAGCAGAGTTCTCATGCCCTGAAACTAGATTTTGACCAGAAGGGAAGGAGTGGGACTTGCTCTATGATGATACCTTGGATTATTGTTGCCTTAGGGGCAACCAAGAAAAGAGAGGGGCTACCCCACTTTCTGCCATACCCCATTTGCCATCCTGACTGCTTTCCCTCCATTAACTATAAATGAACTAACTATGCTTCTATCTCTGCCATCCCATCTACTTGTTCACTAGAGCACATCACCTCTCACCTTTTCAAAGATGTTAATCCAGCAAATCATTTTCTTGCATTTCATTTCTTTCAAACTCCACCAGCTCTACTGTCATCTTCACCAAAACAAAATCGTCTTCCAATCCGATCCCTGTACCAGACCTCTTAACTGTTTTGATTCCACCCTTGTCCCTTTCACTTCATCAGTTTATTCCCAACACAGCATCAGATCATATGATCTTGTACAAATTAGATCCCATCATTCTTCCTCTCAGAACCTTCTGCTGCTCCATGCAAATGCCATAAACTCTAAGCAAATGCCAAGGTTCTAACATGGCCAATAAGACCTGCTGTGATCTGGCCCTCCCCATCCCTCCTACTACTTCATCCCCTTCTATTCTCACGTTGTTTGCTGTAATTTCCACATTGGACTGTTTGCTGTCTGTTGAGCATGACAAACACACTCCTTTGGGCCCCTTGAGCCCTTGAGTTGCAATTTCCTGTGTTTGACATGCCTTCACACAGATATGTGTATAGCTTGTATCCTCATTTCTTTTCTTCAGCGCCTGCTCAATGATACCTTCTCAGAAAGGCCATCCTCCAATGACCCTGTGCACACACTCTCTCCTGTTTTATTTTTTCTCACAGCACTTTTTACTATTTAATGTTGCTGTTTTCCCTCTCCCTCCATTGGAATGTAAGCTCCATAAAACAGGGATTCTTTTCTTTTGTTCTCTGGTGTATTCTTCGTGCTTAGAATAATGCCTGGCACCCAGAAGGCACTCAGTATATTTGGGAAATAAACGAAAGATAGAATAACATGAATAATGACATTTGTACAAAGCACATTCATGTAAATTAATCCATAAAATTCTCATGATAAACCTACTAGACAGATGTAACTTTCAGCATGATGTCGATGAATAAACTGAGTCCAGAGAGATTACATAGTACATCAAACCCAACTCTTCAGTTGCCAGATTCTATCTTCACCCTGCCTCTATAATTGTAACTGTGCATTCCTTGAGACTTCTTAGTCCACTTCTGAGTTTGTCAACATGAAATGAATGAATTTATCTTTGCCAGCTCTCATTAAATATGAATGTGCCTTGAGGTTCCATACTACACGGAGTTCTTGCTGCATACGCTCTACCCCTCTGCCCACTCACAAACTTTTGCGCAAACCACATTTCCTTTTTGTTTAATCAGATCTATAATCAATACTTCAGACTCATCATATGCTGAAGATGTTTCTGATCAGTTCTCCCTAGATGTGAGTCCTCTCTCCATTAACGTGGCTCACCATCTGCAGAAGCAATAGGTCCTCTTGAAGACTGTCAGATAAGACTCACCCAGCTTGCTGGAGAGTTGAAAACCCAATTACATTTATTTTACCTTGATGTTTACAACTTTAAGTTAATTCTAGTGCCACTAGTTTTTAAACTCCATGTTTTAAAATAAATACATTGCCTTCTAAGTCAATCAAACACAGTTTTTGGACTCAAAATTAATTTATGGCAGTGTCTTATTAAGCTCTAAATAAAACCTTCCTCTGCTTTTAGGAAAGAACGCTCTGCCAGGAGATGAACAGGCTGACCATTAACAGTGGACTAGTTTTTAAATGTAGTGTGTATTATTTCTTTTTTTTTCTGGGGGTTCTGTTTTTATTATTAATTCATGAAAAAGTAGCATCAGAAGGGATCTTCAAAGTCCTAATATAAGAATCTGCGGTGACCATCATGTTGTTTTTATTTTTTCAAGAGATAGGGTCTTACTCTGTCAACCAGTCTGGAGTGCAGTGGTGCCATCATAGCTCATTGCAGCCTCAAACTCCTGGGCTCAAGCAATCCTCTTACCTCCTGAGTGGTTGGGACTACAGTTGTGTGTTACCATGTTTGGCTAATTTTTATTTTATTTTATTTTTGTAGACTCAGGGGTCTCACTATGTTGCCCAGGCTTGTCTCAGACCCCTAACATCAAGCAATCCTCTCAACTTAGCCTCCCAAAGTGCTGGGATTGCAGGTGTGAGCCACAGCACCTGGCCTCGTCTTACTTTCAAATATCCCAAACAATGCTGTGTACACTCTCTTAGCATTTAGTTATTTGCATTTGTGAACAGCTCCAAAATCATAAAATTCTTTCTTTATTGCATTAAACTTATTTTTTTCTTATAACTTTTAGGGTTGGGCAGAATCAAATTTCTCTTCCATCTGCCAGCCTTCAAATATTTGAAGACAGATATGTTCTGTGTCCAAGCTAAGCAACTCGAATTCTCCCATTTTTTCCTCACCAGACTTTATCTCCAGATCCTTCACCATCTCCCTCACCTCTGGGCATGCACTCTTTGAACAACTTCCTTTTTTAAAATGTGACATCCTGAACTGATCATAATAGTCCAGATTTGTTCCAAAAACAGTGCCGAGAAACTACGCCTCCTTCCTCCTGCGTACTGTACATCTGTTAATGCAGCTCACATTTGCGCATGTTTTGCTGGCAGCCTTGTCCCGCTCAAGTTATTCTGAATTATCAAGCTGATATACTTGCCTCCTTTTAAAAAACAGACTTCAAGTTTCTAGAGGGCAGAAACACTAAGTCTTAGACCTCTGTGTGGCATGCAAGGTGTCCCACAATCTGACCCCGCTCCAGATTTTAACTTGCCTTGCTATACTCCTCTGCATAGACCATTGTTCCAGCTTAGTGGTCCGCTCGCCATTTTCTTCACTGCTGCTCCAACCTCCACCATGTGTCAGAATTACCTACAGTTTTCACACAACACAGATACAATTACATCTCTCCACGACTTTAAAACATTGGATACCTCACACTGGAAGGGACACACAGAGGTCTTCACAGCATGGGCCCTGCCTACCTTTCTAGCCTCATGTTTCACCATCCTTCTCTTCCTTTCTCCCCAGGCCAACTGGGAGTAACTAACTGCCTGTCTTCTAAGAACAGAATATATCATGAGTGTGTTACTTGCTGTGGTCTGGTTTAATCCTAGTTAGGAATATGTGTTCCCTATTGGATTATAAATGCATTTAGGGCATGGTTAGTGTTTTATTCATCTTTGCATCTCTAGTCTAGCATCAGACCTGGCAGAGAGTGGATTTTAATGAGTGGTGGTGGAATGAAGGGGGATGGATGGTTGCTGGGTAGGTAGATGCCCTGTCTCCCATTTGGGCTATAAGACTTAGAGAGCAGGGCTCAAGTATAATGTACGGTGCTGCATCTCCACTGCTTCCAGGGGAAGGATTTCAGTCAATGTCTAGATCATCCAGGTCTCCTCCAATGTGTACACGTTCTGAGCCTGTACATTCAGGGAGCGCAGGTGAAGGTGTAGACATGTGCACGTGGCTTTTTTCAGGTTGGCCTCATGACTCTTCCTTCTCTGTCTCTCTTCCCTCCCTCCTTCTTCTCCAATGTTTCTCTCCTGTGCCCCTCCCCCACCACCTGCTGTTCCTTCCCTGTCCATCTGTCCTCTCTGCAGTCAGTGTCTGCTTCCCTGTGTGTGTGGAAGTGCCCTCGGAGACGGAGGCCGTGCAGGGCAACCCCATGAAGCTGCGCTGCATCTCCTGCATGAAGAGAGAGGAGGTGGAGGCCACCACGGTGGTGGAATGGTTCTACAGGCCCGAGGGCGGTAAAGATTTCCTTGTATGTTAGACTGCTGACTCTGGCCTTTCTTCTGCTGGCCTCTGCTGTTCCCAGCCTGGCTCCTGACAGTCCGGGGGATGCCAAGCTAGCAAACACTGGCTCCTTCTCTTCCAAACACTGACAGATCCTCAGCAGATAACTGACAGCCTTAGTGAAGCCCCAGCTTCTGTGAGAGAAAGGGCACTGGGCCAGCTGCAAGCACCCTTGATTATGGGCTGGAGGAAGCAGAGGAAAGAGATATGCTATATTTAAAGCCTACTATGTGATAGGCGCCCTACCACACATTTTGCAGGTGTTTTCATCTAATCTTCTGTGCCATCCTATTATATGCATTAAATTCATAAAGAAATTGGAATAACACAAAGCATCATTATGTGAAATAACAAAGGTTAGCTCCTTTAACTCCTGCAGTCCCATTGAAATAGGAATGACAGGGATGACAAAGAGTGATCCAAGGGTGACATTCACCCGGGACACCCAGCACAGCCACATCAGTGAGTCAATTATGTCAAACAGTTCTCTCGTGGATACTTGCTGTGCCGAGTCTCCTAAGTGGCTGAACCCCCAGACTTATCCATGATTTGGAAACGAAGAGATTCGCTCCTGGCAGAGCTGGGAGTCTTCCAGATTCTGCTCCTGCACCATAGCCAGTGTCAGTTCTGGGTGGTTGGTGCCAGTGGCAAAGTGGTTGTATATGTGTGTGTATATATATATATGTATGTGTGTGTGTATATATGTGTGTGTGTATATATATATATATATATATATATATATATATATATATATTCTCTCTCTCTCTCTCTCTCTCTCTCTCTCTCTCAACGGGGTCTCCCTCTGTCACCCAGCTGGAGTGCAGTGGTGTGATCTCGCTTACTGTAACCTCCACCTCCCAGATTCAAGCGATTCTCCCACCTCAGCCTCCCCAGTAGCTGGGACTATAGGCACCACCACCATGCCCAGCTAATTTTGGTATTTTTAGTAGAGACAGAGTTTTGCCATGTTGGCCAGGCTGGTCTCAAACTCCTGACCTCAGGTGATCCACCCACCTCGGCCTCCCAAAGTGCTGGGATTCCAGGTGTGAGCCACCGTGCCTGGTCGGCTGTCATATATTTTGAATACCACCTTGGAGATGACCATTATTTACTCCTTCACTGACTGTGGAGCCAGGCCACCTGGGTTTGATTCTTGACTTCACACTTATTATCACCTCTGTGTCCTTGGACATGTTGGTCATCCTTTCTGTGCCTCGGTTTCCTCATTTTTAAAGTGGGGATATAAAGCATAGCCAAATTATAGGGCTGTTACCAGGACTCATGAGCTATAATTTTTAATGCATTAAAAATAGTTTCTGGAATATAGTAAGCACTGGTAAATGTTTGCTAGAGAAAAGATAGACACAGAAATGAGGAAACTGAGGCTCAAAGAAGTTAAGTTAATAACTAAGACAGCTTTGACTTGAGCCAGGTGGTCTAACAGCAGATACAAGGCCCTTTTTACGGCACTGCTTTGCCTTCCTGGGGGCAAGTTTCTCCTCCACAAAGATTTGTAACAGAGACAATGGAAGGGCGAAACTGGGTTTAGCTTGCTCTTCTTTCTCACTATCCTAAAGCCGAACCCATTTCTAACTCTAGCTTCTATGTGCCATTCTGATGCAGATTTGCAACCGTCTGGTACTAAGACTGGGACCAGCGGAGACTTCCCAGAGCCTGGCTCAGGTGTGACAGTGACACGTCAATGAAGCTGCAACTGAGGCTAGCCCCCAGCTGCAGGAGGCTGGATGTCTTGGCCAGATGCAAAGGCCCCCAGGGCCTTCAGGCCTGGTCATGTACCAGTGATAGCTGCCCACATTGCTTCCAGGCCTGCCCAAAGTGAGGAAAAGGTGGATCAGAAGAAGAAGAAAATGAAAAATAAAACGGCAACAGCAAAACATCCATGGAAATCCACAGCAAGGCTGTCTCATAGAAATGTTTGTGATGGTGGAAACCTTCTCTATCTGTGCTGTGCGATACAGTGGCCACCAGCCACATGTGGCTATGAATAATTGAAATGTGGCCAGTGCCACTGAGGAACTGAATTTTACATTGTATTTAACTTCTAAGAAATTGAATTTAAGTAGCTACATGTGGCTAGTGGAGACTAGAATAGCCAGCACAGCTGTAGAGAGAGAATGGCACATAGAAGCTAGAGTCAGAAATGAGTTTGGCTGTTATGTCAGAGGGTGGAAGTGTTGAGGAAAGAAATTTAAAAGATGATATTTTAGTTAAAATTCAGTCCAAAGCAAAAGATGTGACGTGTGCCTCTCTGGTGATGGCTCTCTGCTCATCTGCCATGCTTCAGCATCCTGGGCCTCCTTCCTGTGGCCTGGCCCAGACTGTCCTACAGCCCCTGATGAGTACCAGCACAGAGAGTCCAGTTTTAAAGCCAGGGCTTTCATATGTCTTCATTACTAATGAATCTGCCTGTCTTGCTGTCTCTACCTTGTTCTCTTGCCAGCGGCTCTGGGACACATCTTACTCTCTTGTTCTCTCTATCTTTTTACAATCCTGTCTTTCTCTCAATGTCCGTCTCCTGGGCTCCCATACTCTTCTCCCGCCTGCCTTTGTTCTCCCTCTTTCCACCCCTTTTTTTCTGCCAAGCTTCTTCCTACACGCCCGTGGCTGCCTCTGTCCTCACCACGTCCACATGCCCTGATGCCTGCTGCCTCTGCCTGTCCTTCCCTGTCTTTGCTCCCTTCCCTACCCTCCTCTGTGCCTCTTCATCCCACCCCCACATTCTGGGTCTCCCGGTGGCATTGTCCCCTCTCTTCCCTGTCCATGCACAATTCTGCTCCTTTTCTCTGCCCTGTCCCTAACTCGGCTTCCCCCCACTGCCATCTCCTTTCCTGGCCCTACCCTCTTCTGCTCCTCTATCTGCAGATTTACGAGTATCGGAATGGCCACCAGGAGGTGGAGAGCCCCTTTCAGGGGCGCCTGCAGTGGAATGGCAGCAAGGACCTGCAGGACGTGTCCATCACTGTGCTCAACGTCACTCTGAACGACTCTGGCCTCTACACCTGCAATGTGTCCCGGGAGTTTGAGTTTGAGGCGCATCGGCCCTTTGTGAAGACGACGCGGCTGATCCCCCTAAGAGTCACCGAGGAGGGTGAGGCTGAGGCACAGGGTCTCTAGGGCGTCCTGCTCTCTGTGGACAGGGAAGGGTAGGACAGCAGTTTTCCACGAGTGAGGCCCTTAAAGAGTGCAAAAACCCATGTATTTGGAATGGTGACATCTAAAAATGTCACCATTGACCCATCTTCTTCTGGTGGCCAGCTTCCTGTAAATTCCCTAAGCAGCTTGTCTTTCTGTGCCTTTCCTCAAAGCAGAAAGGCTTGGAGATGATAGAATGAGCTCTTCCTGGTCCCTTAGAGAAAGAGGCTAGCCTCCATGAGGCCTAAAGCTACTGATTCAGCTAGGCCTTCTTCTTTGGCCTATGTTGAATCCCTGACTCAGTGGGCTCAGAGAAATCTCATGAGGTTACCCGGAAGTCATCTCTCCTTCTACCTGTAAGCAATACATGCCTCTAAGCCAGGGGTTCTCAAACTTTAGCAAACCTCAAAATCTCCTGCAGGGCTTTTTGGAAGCCAGCCTTTCTGCTTTTGTCGGTGGAGCCTGAGAGTTTGCACTGCGTGACACACTGCCTGGCGGGCAGTGCTGCTGCTGGGACCACACCTTGAGAACCTCTCTCTAAACCAAAGTTTGACAATCTTTTTTTCTTTTGTCTTTCTTCACAGTAATCACACGTGCAACCTCTTCCCCATCTGTGGCATCTCTTATTACATAAATTCATTCCCTGCTGGGAGAAGGGGACAGGTTGATAGCTCTCTAGTCTTGTTTAAAATCTTTGGACTCCTACAGCTAGTTCCGTGTTCGTGAGTGGGAAGGCCTTTCAGCAGCCTAACTCAGGTGTTTCTGTTGCAACCGGAGTCCTGCATCCTGAGGGGGGAGTTCCAGCCTTTCTCAGTCTATCTCCAGCATTATCACTGCTAGTGAGCAGGCCAAAGTGTGGGGCATGAAGGAAAAGATCAAGTTAAAGACAGGGCTCTTCCTAGAAAAAAGGATCCAGGAATCCCAACCTCCAGGCCACAGGTTTATTCATTTTTTATCATGTCGTTGTGATAAAAATAATGAAGCGGAGATTCAGTCCTCAGAGTGAATGAACAAAGGAGAAAGAGACATAACGGATCAGACGATATGACTAAAATGGAAGGTAGGTCAATTCTGAAAGTGCAGAGGGACTCTCAGGGCTCCTGAATCCAGACCTGATGAGTCACTTCCCTGCTCGGAGCCCCGCTCCTCTGGTGTGAAATGAAGGGGTTGGCGGGGGGCTCTCTGAGGTACTCCCCTGTTCTGAAGTTCCTTTATCCCCCGTTTGTTACACGCCTTTCCTCTGGGGGGTGGGGCCCTGGCGCCCTCTCCTGGTCACCATCTGGAACTTTTGGTTGGTGCCCGCCAGACCTTAGCACAGTGCTCAGCCGTCTCCACCTCTGCTCTCTCGGGCTTTTGCCTCCAGACACCCTCGTGCATAGCTGGTGGGAAGTGTGGCAAGGCTGAGCTAGTTCGTCTGCCAGGTACCAGAGCAAGCCTCGGGTAAAAACAGAAGGAAAAACAAGTTTATTATCAGAGCCACAGAGCCTCGTGGATGGTCGGGTGTGAAGGAAGCGTGGATATCATTTATTTAATCCAGGGCCTCTGGATAAAGGGCAGACATCAGAATCGCCCACATTGGCGTCCTCCAGATGTAGACACCTCTGCAGCACCCTTGCAGGTGTGAGATCGGCAGGGGTGAGTGAGGTCATATGCAAGTTGATGACTCCCCAGGTGATTGGAGGGTGTAGCTCTGGTGCCCCTCTTTTTGTGGCTGGGAGAACAGAGTTCTCTGCAAGAGCAAGGGGCTTGCTCAGGGACGTGCAGCAAATTCGCGCTGGAAGCAGGGTGAAAATCCAGATTGTTCGCCTGTCTGGAGGGCTTGCTTTCCACTGTTTCTTTCCCCACCCCCACCACCCCAACCCCCTGCCACTTTTTCTTTTTTGCCTCTGTGACATCAGATACTCCCTGCCCTCATCTTGCTCAGAGCTACGCACCCACCCCACCATGACACCTGCCCATCAACCCCACATCTCCTCCATTCCTGTGGTCCCACAAGGTCTCCCTGGTTCTCTTTGTTCAAGTTGGGTTTATTCTGGCTTTGGCTGTCACCTCCTGGCCCTAAGGCAGAAACCTGAGGCCTCTTCACCTAGAGGTAACTAAAAATACTGAGGACAGCTTCCTGTATTGCCATTTGTGGGCTACTGCATTTTGAAAGAGAGAGCATGCTTTAAGCCAAACAAATCATAAATAATGCACGAGGTGGTAGCAAGGCGGTGAGATGTTTGAGCTGTACGGCATTCTCATGTGCCTCACGCTGCATCTATGACCTCTAGCTCCAGTTGGAAACCTGGGTGATCCTGGAGCCTTCGGACTGCTCTCTGGGCTGAAAGTTATGGCAGGCTGTGCTGTGCTCTTAACAACCAAGGACTTGGGGATGACTTAGATCCAATGGATAACTGCAGATCATAAATCTGACTTGCTGTTGAGAGCTGGCAAGGGGAGAGGTGGCTACAACATTTCTCCCACTAGCAAGGAGTAGATATATCAGGATATCTGCCATGTAGTATGTTTTAATGGTCCTTTTTGTTGATCATGAAACAAATAAGATAATATTTATTTTCACTCATTCAATAAGTACTTATTGAGCACTTTAAATATTCTAAGATTTATACAGCAGGCAGATAATCCAGAAATAAATATGTTCTCAATAAGCACACAGTCCACAGAAAAGAAAGATAAGCACAATACAACTCTTATAACAGATGGATGAGAAAAGTGCATGGAGGCCAGACGCGGTGGCTCACGCCTGTAATCCCAGCACGTTGGGAGGCCAGGGCAGGAGGATCACCTGAGGTGAGGAGTTCGAGACCAGCCTGGCCAACATGGTGAAACTCCGTCTCTACTAAAAGTATAAAAAATTAGCTGGGCATGGTGGTGGGTGCCTGTAATGTCAGCTACTTGGGAGACTGAGGCAGGAGAATCGCTTGAACCTGGGAGGCGGAGATTGCAGTGAGCCGAGATCATGCCACTGCACTGCAACCTGGGCAACAAGAGCAAAGCTCCATCTCAAAAAAAAAAGAGAAAAGAAAAGTGCACGGAGAAGGTTGTGAATAGCTCCGCATGAGAAGTTGGGGATGGTTTCACAAAGGAGGGGACCTCACAGGAATCTAGAACTACTGCGAGACTGCAAAGCAGGAGAGGATATTAGCACAGAACTAGCCGTGGGTGAAAGACACAATTCAGGAAGAGGGAAGAGGAAGAAAAGTTCACAGATTCTAACATACCACAGTGTGTAGCAGAAGTTTTTCTGGCCAACCAAATGGAAATGAGGTGAGAAAGCCCGGATTGTGAAGGCCCTTGCATGTCACGTGAACAGAGTTGGGGCTTCATCCTAAGGGGAGTGTGGAGCATTGAAGAGTTTTCAGCAGGGAAATGGCAGGATCCTAACTGTGTTTCAAAAGTACAGCCCTGGGGACAATGCGGTTGATACACTAAATCCTCCAATATTTATGTTTGGTTTTGGATGACCTGGAAGGTCTTGTTTCTAACCCAGACTTGTAGAGAACATGCGCATATCTCATGGAGGCTGTCTTTGTTGGCCCTGAATGAGTTTTCCAACGCTCTCTCCCCAGGAATACCACCCTCCACCACCGGCAGCTCAAAAGACAGAGGCAGTTGAAATAAGGCATGTTCCTTACATCTGTGTAGACTTTTAATCTCACAAGATGTTCTGAAATACATTAGATAATGTAATATTCACAAACCCCTGACTGGTGTTATTATCCTCAACCTACAAATTAAGAAACTGAGTCTCAAGTAAGGGAAATGGTTGTTTACACACCTGTAAATAGCAAAATGGACAGCCAGCTCTAGATATCTCACTTTGAGGCCAGGATTCCTTCCACTGCTCGGCTACTTCTTCCAGGCATCCCACTCCCTCTTCCCTGGCTCCTGAGCAGCTGATGACAGTCAGTGAGAAAGCCAATGGGCGGGAGAGTCAGGATTTGGAATACCTTTGACATCTTCTTGAGTTTCTTTACTCAGTCTTTATTTAAGCTGTACTTAAAAATATGGCTCCAATGACGGCTCTAGGTTTGCTGGATTTGCATATTCTGAACCTCATTCTCTTTCTTTCAGCTGGAGAGGACTTCACCTCTGTGGTCTCAGAAATCATGATGTACATCCTTCTGGTCTTCCTCACCTTGTGGCTGCTCATCGAGATGATATATTGCTACAGAAAGGTCTCAAAAGCCGAAGAGGCAGCCCAAGAAAACGCGTAAGTCCAGAGATGCCAAAGTAATAATGAAAGCTAGCACCTTCAGAATGCTTGCTCTCACAGGTGAGGTGCTAAGCAGTTTACATTCATCCTCCACCCTCTTCATGATCACTGCTTAAGAGATAGGCACCATTATTATACCCATTTTACAGATGAGAACACTGAATTTCGGAGAGTTGGCTTAAGGCAAACTCTTAATTCATTACGAAAAATTAAACATTTGCTTAATTCAAACATCACTTAGGAAACAAAGTGATGTTTGAATTCAGGCCTGTTGATTCTTGGCCAGCACACTTAACCACTAAGGCAAAGACCATCAGCTGCTACCACAACCCGTTAAAGTAATATTATTATGGCTGGGCATGATGGCTGTCACGCCTGTAATCTCAGCACTTTGGGAGGCTGAGGCGGGAGGATCACCTGAGGTCAGGAGTTCAAGACCAGTCTGACCAACATGGTGAAATCCCGTCTCTACTAAAAGTATAAAAAATTAGCTGGGCATGGTGGCACATACCTGTAATCCCAGCTACTCGGGAGGCTGAGGCAGGAGAATCCCTTGAACCTGGGAGGCGGAGGTTGCAGTGAGCTGAGATCGTGCCACTGCTCTCCAGCTTGGGTGACAGAGCGAGACTCCATTTCAAAAACAACAACAATAAAAGCCCAAAAACACAACAAAAAAGTAACATTATTATAACCGTTCTGTAAATGCCAAGCCGACTCATAGCAGCTTACCAAGGCACACAGATGGTAAGAGGAAAGGCTGAGATTTGAACCCAGGTCTCTCTAGTGCTAATGTCCATGCTCTTTCTATCTCATTGAACTGTTTGCTTTATACCATGGAGCTCCTCAGGCCATCTGGGCACTGCCCTTTGCTAGCAAAGGAGCTCCAAGCAACATGTTATTTCCCCTAGAGCCTGGCAGCGCTTAGATGTCCAGAGTGGGGACTCTAATCCTCTAAAGTCCAGCCTGTACCTTAGCCATTTGCTCAGAGACTCTAGTCACTTGAGGGTGAGCACATTTGAGAAACGGTGGGGTCTGTAAGAACAAAGAGTCTTAAGAGATCATGCTGGCTGGTTGTCTGGGGAAAGGAAAGATAGAAAAAACCCACAGATTTCTAGCAACATTGCTGAGGCAAACCGAAAACAGTCTAGGCTATTACCAGTTAGAAATGTTTGATAAAGAAAGCATCATTTTGGCCGGGCGCGGTGGCTCTCGTCTGTAATCCCAGCACTTTGGGAGGTCGAGGCAGGCAGATCATGAGGTCAGGAGATCGAGACATCCTGGTTAACATGGTGAAACCCTGTCTCTACTAAAACTACAAAAAATTAGCCGGGCATGGTGGCGGGTGCCTGTAGTCCCAGCTACTCAGGAGGCTGAGGCAGGAGAATGGCGTGAACCTGGGAGGCGGAGCTTGCAGTGAGCCGAGATCACGGCACTGCCCTCCAGCCTCGGCGACAGAGCGAGACTCCATCTCAAAAAAAAAAAAACAGAATAGAACAGAGAATGGAGGAGAGACAGTGTTCAGAGACAGAACGGCTGAGGGAGGGATGACTCTTCAGATTCAAGAAGCATAATATGCCCTGAGCAGGATGAATAAAATACATCTACACCTAAACACCAAGCATCTTTAAAGTGATAAATGGCAGCTACTAAGAGACCCTACAGCAAATATCATCTATGTGTTGAAACCTCAAGTGCCTGTAATATCAGGGACATATCAAGGAGACTGCCTCTCCCTGTTTCTATCAATATTGTGTTGGAAATCCTAGGTGAAGACCAAGTAAATACAAGGAAGAAAAAGACTTGGAAAGGAAGAAACTAAATTATCATTATCTATACCTACTATTTACATAGGATACCTAAGAGAATCTACAAAAATACTATTAGGACAAGGAAGAATATTCCACAAAATTGTTGATAGAAATCAAAATATAAAAATCACCTATATTCCAGCAACAAATTTAGTAACAAATTTAAATATTTAAAATATTAAAATGCTTTTAAAGTTACAATAGCAAGAAGTACTCCCCAGTTCCGGGGATAAATTTGACAAAAATATACAAGACATTTAAAGAAAAAGTTAGAAACCTTTACTGAAAGACTTTAAACGTAACTAGATGGAGAGTAAAACCTCACAATTGTAAACAATTTTCTCCCAAATTGATCTTCAAATTCAATGAAATCCCAATCAAAATGCCCATTAGATTTCTCAAAGAACTTAATAAGCTGATATTAAGTCACATGGAAGGCTAAGTAGCCAAAAATAGTCTTAACCAAGGGACAGCCAGATAATAAGTGTTTTAGGCTTTGCAGGCGCCATAGGTCCCTGTCATGTATTGTTCTTCTATTTGTTTGCAAACAACCATCCTTAGCTCTTAGGCCACAGTTTGCCCACCCTCGGTCTAAACCATTTCAAAGAAAGAGCAGTAAATTTGCAAGAGGTTGGTAGGATTTGTCTTATCGGAGATGAAGGTTTCCTTTGTTTTCTTTTTTTTTTTTTGAGACAGAGTCTCGCTCTGTTGCCCAGGCTGGAGTGCAGTGGCGCGATCTCGGCTCACTCCAAGCTCTGCCTCCCAGGTTCACGCCATTCTCCTGCCTCAGCCTCCCGAGTAGCTGGGACTACAGGCACCTGCCACCACGCCTGGCTAATTTTTTGTATTTTTTTAGTAGAGACGGGATTTCACCATGTTAGCCAGGATGGTCTCAATCTCCTGACCTCGTGATGCACCCGCCTTGGCCTCTCAAAGTGCTGGGATTACAGGTGTGAGCCACTGCGCCCAGCCAGATGAAGGTTTCTTACAGAGCTATCAGAATACAGAGTTTGTGATACTGCACAGGCATACGAAATGGACAAACAAAACAAAAAGCCACCAATCAGGTTAATGCATGTAGGAAAACCTGATATGTGAGAGAGATGACGTTACAGTGATTGAAGGAAGAATGAACTGCCCAGTAAGTGGTCTAGGGAAAATTCCTAATCTATATAGAAACAAAGAAAAACACAAAACAAAATTAGATTCCCCATCTCTCATACTAAACCAAAATAAATTATGAGGGGATTTAAACACAAAGTAAAATGTCAAACTTGAAAATTCCATTAAGGGAATATAAGAGACTCTCTTTATCACCATGCAATAGAGAGGATTTCCCAAATAAAATACAAAAGGCACAAATCCAAGAGGAAAAATAATTTTGATCACATTATATGTAAAGAATCAGCTGTTCATTAGAAGACTCCATAAGCAAAATTCCTAGACAAACAAGAGATTGGGAGAAATTGTCAAAACATGAAAGCATCAAAGGAAAATCAATGAGAAAAAGACAAAGATCTCAGAAGAACTGGAAAGCAGATGAACAAATTTCAGAAGCAGAAACCCAAATAGCCTGTAAACATGTGAAACAACTATAAAATATAATTTCACAGCTGTCATTTTGACCAACATTTTATTTTATTTTTGAGACATGGTCTCACTGTTGCCAGGCTGGAGTGCAGTGGTGCAATCATGGCCTCGACCTCCCAGGCTCAGGTGATCCTCCCACCTCAGCCTCCCAAGTAGCTGGGACTACAGGCACGTGCCACCATGCCAGGCTAGTTTTTTGTATTTTTTGTAGAGACAGGGTTTCACCATGTTGCCCAGGCTGGTCTTGAACTCCTGGGCTCAAGCAATTTTCCTGCCTTGGCCTCCCAAAGTGCTGGGATTAGAGGCATGAGCCTTGGCCAACATAATAATCTAACTAAATGCTGAAGACAACCTGGATAAATGAGAAGCTATACACTCCTGGTGGGTGTTCGTGTACATATATGGGGGAAATGATTATTTTAATCTGCAGAAAAGGTTGTTTTTCTCTTGAGAAACACAGCAGAAGGAAATGCAGAGCTGTTCTGTAGATCCTTGCTCCTGTGCCCTGCTCCTTCCCCATCTTGTGTTCCCACGCTGGGCACTGAAGCTCTGATTCCCTTTCCCTGTGTCCTCTATAGGTCTGACTACCTTGCCATCCCATCTGAGAACAAGGAGAACTCTGCGGTACCAGTGGAGGAATAGAACAGGAGCAGTGTGACATGAGGTGACCTACAGGAACATGGGAGGGGAAGGCAGATGTGGATGGCAGGTTGTACAAGTGACTTTGTTGCCCACAACTGAAGTGACTTTAAATTTGGTCCCTTAGGTCACTGTCTACCCTGCCTGGGGTCCCCGCCCTCAGGGTAATTCTTTAAGTCAGAAAGCTCTGTATGATGTCAGCGCTTCGGAAGGTGAACTGCTTTGACCTGAGTGTCGAGGCAATCTGAACTTGCCCATGGTAACAGAGGCACAGGATTCTCCAACTCCCTTCTTTGGTCAAAGAATTTTTGGGCTGGGCTGGGCTGGACTGGGTGGGAAATTCTCAGTGAGTTATTTTATCTTTGGTAGGTGGCCTGAACACCTGAGGGACTGGACATCCCATGTTCAGCAATGTCAATGGCATCAGGAGGGCGCCCCAAGGGCCCCATCGCTTCCCTTCATGCATCCATTGTTCTGTTCATTCATTCATCCATACATCCACCTGCCTCTGAGCTTTCACCTCTGACTCCCTAACTCCATCAGACCTCTACGCACCATAAGACTCTGCCAGAACTGAGAAGCCAACATTTCTACATAGACTCAACCTCACCCTCTCCTAGTTTTCCAACAAGACACTCCAAAGCCAACTGGATTTCTCCCCTGTGCTCCAAATGACTTTGTACAAGTGCTGGAGTTAGCACCTCCCTCTGCCCTTAACTGGCTGGAACTGGTTCATTCTCCATTACTGCAAGAGAATGGAAGTCTTAATAGAAGGAAGCAGGAGTGATTAGTTCGGGTTAAAGCAAAAGTGTGTCATGAACTTGGATTCCCTGAAGTCAGTTTTGTCAGGTTCATGGCCCACTTTGCTACAGCATCAGAGTGAAGCACGCCTGTCTAGGTTCTCCAGTGACAGAAAGATCCTGAAGCATGGACTAACATGCTCTCTGGAGCTTAGTACTCCAGAGCTAGATCCTGATGGGTCTCTAAGGTTCCCTCCAAGAAGACAAGGACAGGAGACTTGGGAAGGACCAATGGTAATTTAAGTGGCTCTTAAAAAGTCATGCAACATGTTTCTGGACACGTTCCTGATCCTATTGCGATAATGTATGTGTGCCCTCCCTGTGGGCACACCACCTGGGCATTAGGACTGAAATTCCTGAGTTCTTCCTCTCAAAATTTCTGTGCACCAGTATTATTCCTCATTTTACATACAGGAGGCAACTAAGACTCATACAGGGCTCAACTGAATAAGAGGCTTAAGAGGATAAACTGGAGCAGAAATAAGCCTTAGGTGCTGCCCAGTTTACACTTCCTGGGATGGATGTTTTTGTTTGTTTTGTTTTTTGTTTTTTTTGTTTGAGATGGAGTCTCACTCTGTCACCTAGGCTAGAGTGCAGTGGTGTGATCTCGGCTCACTGCAACCTCTGCCTCTTGGGTTCAAGCAATTCTCATGCCTCGGCCTCTCCAGTAGCTGGGATTACAGGTGTGCACCACCACGCCTGGCTAAATTTTGTATTTTTAGTACAGACAGGGTTTGACTATGTTGGCCAGGCTAGTCTTGAACTCCTGACCTCAAATGACCCACCCACCTCAGCCTCCCAAAGTGCTGAGATTACAGGCGTGAGGCACTGCGCCCGGTGGATAACTTTGTTTCTGAAAAGACTGACATTGAACTTGTCTATGGCAATGCTTCTTTCACAAGCACGGACTGGGCTGAGGTCAACTCTGATAGATTCAGATGACTAGAAATTGGCCAAAAAAGCAGGGAGAAGAACATGAGGTAGACTTAAAGAACTTCCTTTATGTAAAGATCTGTGACTCTGAAATATCCTCCAAAAGGAGAGTGCATCTGAGACTGATATTTAAACTAAGAAAAATGTTTAGTCTGAGATGGATCATAAGTAAATGAGCAGTGTGAGAGGGGAGGGATGGGTAGGTGCTTTCCAAATACTTCGCCTATGAATGCATAATTTTCAGATTTTTTTCCCCTAGATTTTGAGGGAGCAGAGAAACTGGAAAAAACTTTAGTCAATATCTCGTGTTTCATTTTAATTAAGTGACAGGTCCAAGTGTGACATCCTTCAGCACCCAGGGACAAGAGAGGGGAAAGATGCTTTATGGAATGTAAGAAGATGAAGGTGACTGGGATTCAGCGAGAGAGAGGTCCCTCAGACCTGGGACCTCCCTTTATAGGGAAAGACCATATTCCATAGGTTTAGGGCTTTACCTTAAAAGCTCATTTTTTTCATTCTTCCATCCCTAGGAAAGTACTTAAAACCAGACTTTTAAATTTTTATTTATTTATTATTATTTTTTTGAGACAGATTCTCACTCTGTCTCCCAGGCTAGAGTGCAGTGGTGCAATCTCAGCTCACTGCAGCCTCAACTGCCCCAGGTTTAAGCAATCCTCCCACCTCAGCCCCCAGGTAACTGGGACTACAGGCATGCACCACCATGCCTGGCTAATTTTTGTATTTTATGTAGAGACAGGGGTCTTGCCATGTCGCCCAGGCTGATCTTGAACTCCTGGGCTCAAGCAATCTGCCAGCCTCAGCCTCTCAAAGTGCTGGGATTACAGGCCTGAGCAACTGTGCCTGGCCCAAAACCAGACCGTTAACACATTAAAGAGTCTGATTTTGTTGAAGAAAATATTTGCAATAAATTCAAGACTCTTCTTATTGGTAATTTTCCACACAATCCCTCTGAAATAAGGGAGAGGATATAGACCTTTTTAACTTTATAGTTAGAAAAATTGGCCTCAGTGTGAAATTTTTCCAGTCCCATAGCTCATGGATGCCACCAGCTTGCGGTAGTAGCAAGATGCTTACTACCACACCGTTTTCCTCGGTGGCCCAATAGCTCGTGTATCTAAGTTGAACCCGGCAGTATGCATGATTGCCTTTTTCTCTTCTTTTTAAAAAAACCCAACTCAGATGCTGCTTGCGTGGCTTTTAATGAAGCTGAATGGTATCTATCACTTATTTATCCTTGACAGGTTATCTTCCCCACTCTTCCTTTTTCTAACTTCTCCATTCTTCTCATTCTTGACACTTTCATTAGAACTATATGGTTTACGAAGTATTTTCACTTAACTATTTTATTTCTTCTCTATAACTGGTCCTGTGAGGTCACATTACAAAAGAAGAAACTGAGGGTCTCTGAGGTTAAGTAGCTTTACTAAATTATAAGGAAACCTAGCTGGTAGGTAGACAGCAAGAATCCAGGTCTTCTGACTCCTCTTTCAGTTCTCTTTCCACTTAGACCATAGCTGCTTCCTTTTCTTATTTTTTAGCTTCCATCTAACCATTGCCTATCTTGCCTGTCCTAATGTTCTCCATCTTCTCTCACCCCTAATCCCACTCACTGCTTCTCTACCACTTTGCTTTTTGGTGGATGCTAGCAATGTGCTTTGAGAGTCAGTCCTATTTTGGTTCTCTTTCTAGTTGGTTTGTACATCATTATTTCTCCTGAATTGCAATTAAACTCCTTCCTGGGAGATTTGATAATGACTGTAAATCAATAAGGTACTGTGATCACCAGCCTACTTCCAATCTCCACCCACCTCCCTGTCTCTTCCCATAATCCTACGAAAGACCCAGACTAGATGTCTGTTTCTCTGGAAGCTTTATCTGGCATGATGTTGCTTATTAAAGGGCTTAGAAGAGTTCTCAAGGGCTATTAATATCACTTTAGAAACCCCATCTGTTGTCTTGGTGCTGGATATTTCCCATGTCTGATCCTCAATAACACAATTCACTAAAGGCCAAGCTTGGCTCAATCTGATTTTCCCATTCTTACTACTTCACAGCCATGAATGTGATTGCTCAATCCAGTTGGCCCTGAGAGCACCTTGCCCTGCTGACCTTCACTGTCACCTCGGTCTTGAATCAGAGCCCCAACCCAAACACTCCCTGCCTGTCCCTACCCCAGCCTTTATTCTCACCACTTGTTTAACGGCATGACCTTTTAGTTTCTCCATTCCCAGACACCCACACACCCAGACTTCCTTCTGAGTTGCAGGTTTCTCCTTAGATGTCCAACTAGAAATATTACTAGGAAAGTTACTTTTCAAAGCAGGAATGTGCTGGGAAGTAGGAGACAGCAACTCCCTCCTCTCTCCCCAAAATTATTGGATCAAAAAAGAAATTCCATCCATCTCAGAATCTGTGAGTCCTCCTCACATAAATCTGAGGGAAAAGGCTGTGTCACTGCATCTTTGCAGGAAGAAAGAGAAGCAAGAGCTAGACACACTTCAGAATATATCTTAGTTTCCCCTTTCCCAGTTTAACATGAAAATGAAAAAAGAAAAAAATGAAAAACAAAAACAAAAGAAGCCTTCCTCTCACCTCATTTTGTAAATGAAAAATCCCTAATTCAGTGAATTCACCTAGTCACTGCAAATGTATCTGAATAGTGCTTGGTGTGCTTGCCAGTCTGATCATCCACTCATTCTACTAACATCTTTTTGCACCCACTCTGTCAAGCTCTAGCCTAGACCTTTAGTGTGCCATGCAGTCACAGGTCTGAAAAGCAGCATCATCCAAACCTTACTTAATCTCTAAAATCTCAGCTGGTGGACAGCTCATGATTAGTTCAGCCCACTTCCTCCCCCTTAGTTGAGTTTGCAGCAGGACGCAGGAGATAAGCACTTCCAAGCAAGTCTGATTTATATATCAAACTCGGTCTCCATCCCAGGCCAGCTGACCCTCAGAGCCAGCAATGCTCTGTGCTTCCTCCCTGCGTCACGGCTTGGCAAGAGCTGCCTCTGCTGAGCAGTGTGTGTGATGGAGACGGAGGCCGCTGAAGGCCGAGTGCTTGCAGGCTTGTGAACTGCCATCGAACACAATCCAAACTCTGGAAATGTTCCTGACCACCTAAGCCCTCAACAACGTAATGCCTGTATGTGCTGTTTTTCAGTAAACTCCTTGTTCATGTCAATAAAGTATCCCTGAAAACCACTGTCTCTGGTTTTGCTCTACTTACTAAGTGTGTCTGCACCATAGACTATGGCTTCCCCCAGCACCCCAGCCTGCTTCAAATTCCCATACCCAATCTGTGGATATGCATGAGAATGAAAACCATGTAATAGCCTTACATTAAACACACACTAAATGTGTGATCTAGCCTCTCCGCTTCCCTTTCCTCCTCTACCCCAATACAAAGGAATACAAGAGTCACTTATGTTCTTGCCTGACATCAAACAAGTTTCCTTACCAGGCATCGAGGAGCTCCCTGCAAGGCTGACCTAATGAAGGGAGGAGCCAATCTGGCTCTCAGCTCCACCAGTTTAGGTAACATAAAAGAAGAACATGGAGCAGTCTCTCAACATTCATCTTCCTGGAAGTGTTAAGGCCCGAAGAGGGAAAAGTTCTATAAGAAACCATCATCGGGATTCACAGTCCACCACAATCTCCTGCAACAACAGTACTACTCATCATAAGATTAAAAATCGGCCGGGTGCGGTGGCTCACACCTATAATCCCAGCACTTTGGGAGGCCGAGGCAGGTGGATCACCTGAGGTCAGGAGTTCAAGACCAGCCTGGCCAACATGATGAAACCCCATCTCTACTAAAAATACAAAAATTAGCCGGGCATGGTGGCAGGCACCTGTAGTCCCAGCTACTCAGGAGGCTGAGGCAGGAGAGTTGCTTGAACCTGGAAGGCGGAGGTTGCAGTGAGCTGAGATCATGCCATTGCACTCCAGCCTGGGCAACAAGAGTGAAACTCCATCTCAAAGAAAAAAAAAGGTTAAAAATCATCCCAACGCTTTGGTAAGCTGAGGCAGGAGGATCACTTGGGGCCAAGAGTCTGAGACAAGCCTGAGCAACATAGTGAGACCCCATCTCTAAAAAAAATATATAGCCTAGCATGGTGGTGTGTGCCTGTAGCCCCAACTGCTCAGGAGGCTGAGGTGGGAGGAACACTTGAGCTCAGGAGGTCAAGGCCGCAGTGGGCCATGAATGCACCACTACCTCCAGCCTGGGTGACAGTGAATCTCAAAACAAAAGAAAATATTTTAGTATAATACCAGCAGCCATACCAAGAACGATGTGTGTTTTAAATGTATTATCTCTGAAACACTGAGGCTTGGAGTGACAGATGGGGCATAAGGCCACACAGTTGGTAAACAGTGATGCTATACTTTGTACTCAGGTCTGACTCCAAAATTTATCCATTCCAGTTGATCAGGCGGCCTCCCTCCCTCCCGTGAGAAGGTGGATGGCTGCGTGTGTGCGTGTGTGTGTGCGTGTGTGTCTATAAGCGTGCCTACAAACACATGCCTTCAGGACTTGCTGTGAGCCTACTTGGGAAGACCAGAAACATCTGAGGTGACGAGCATTCATAGATCAAGCAATAAACACGCACACCATTTATTATTGTAGTTCAATACTTTTTTCTTTTTAATTCATACTGTACTTCCATGGCTCTAGCTACTTTACATTAAGATTTGGCTGGGCAGCCTTGTGTGTTTCTAGGTACTAGCAGTAAGTTTTCTGACCTTGCGCACAGCGCCAGGCAAAGTACAGTTATAGATCCAAATACAGATGGCCAGACAACTCGACTGCACTCGACCCGTGTTCTTTCCCATAGATGGCCCAGTGCAGGTGTTGGGGCTGCTCCCTCTGCCTCACCCCACTCCACCCCACGTCAGGATTATCCAGGGGCCACTATGGCCTCTGACCCATCCCTCCCCACCTTGGAGTCTAGGTTGAGTTGGGGAAAAAGCACCATGGGTTTGGGAAGATGGTCTGGTCCATGCAGAGAGTGGTCTGGCCCTTGAGTGCAGGGTAGGAAAATGTGGGGAGCCACAAGCTATTGTTGGCAAAAATGGCTGTTTTGACTATGCAATCTCAGCACGTGGCACCCAAGCCCCAGGCCGATGCCCCAGACAGAGCCAGCTGCCTTGCCTGGAGCAGAGGCCACCCTTTTGCTTCTGCAATGTCTTATTGTATTGAGAGAAGCAAGGAGGGCTGAAGAACGACAATGTTCTTTAAGCCTTCAGATGTTGGGGAGATCGTCAGCATCAGCTCCTCCTGGCCGGCAAGGTGCTGCTCATCAGCTGCCAAGACTCCAGTCCTGGCTCCAGGGCCTGTTGAGGATCTCCAGTCACAAGACCCCGGAGCTGTTGCACAGAACATCAAAACAGGGAGCTGGCTGGGCCCTTCACAGCCATGGCCAGAGCAGAAGTGAGGTAACAAGGCTGGGCAGAGAGGTGGGAAGGGAGCTCTCTAAATAGTGTGCAAGTTTCTGCTCTGCACTATGACAGCAAGCAGGGGCCTTAAAAGATGGCCTTCCAGGAAAATGCTCCTCTCAGACCCAAAATGCATCTTCTAGAAGAAAACACAGAGGTGAAGAGGATTGGGGCCAACCTGCTGGAGGTTGGGGGAATGAAAGTCAAGGATGTCAAGGATGTCAAGTGGTGAATGGGATGATTGTCCCATAGCCTAGAGACAAGTGGCGAAGGTGGGGAGAGTCAGGAAGGGGCCCCGGAGATTCCTCCTGGAGGAGGCAGGCAGGGTATGAGGTGTAGGGAGGCCAGAGCCCTGCCATCTGGGGGAAGGGAGAAGAGTGCTATTTCTCCTGGGGGCAGTAGGAGAAAAGGGCTGGCTTTGGCTGCCCTGAAGAGCTTAAAGAAGTGGCATGGTATGACACAGAAAGTACCCTTCTGGGACCACAAGCATCCAGAAAGATACTTCCCCTAGTCCTTTCTCCAGGATCTCATCTTAGGGATACTGCCTGGAAATGTAATAGGTATAGTTCAAGTTTGGGTGGGGGGCAGGGACACGGAGAGAATCCACTTCTCACAAAGCATTCCTCTTGAGCTCTCTTTGTCCTCCCCATGTCATTCCAGGTTCTTAGTGTCAGTGTTCTAAGGCAAACCCAAGGGTTTTAGCCAAAGCTTCATACTAAATCCAAACCCTATCTTAACAAAAGAGAAGTGCTAGAACCAGAAGTGGCTACTCTCCACTGTTTCTTCTACCAATAAAGAGGAAGGATGGATAGATGAAAGGCTGAACAGACCCTAGAGATAGAAGATGAGCTCCATTGAAAAGAATGTTCTTCTCCCAACTTAGAGAAAGTCCAAAGGAAGATCCCTTCACAAACTAGGCCAAAGAGAAAGAAACCCTTCTAAGTGAATACTGAGCAATACATCAAGCTCGATCTCTCTCTCTCTCTCTCTCTCTCTCTCTCTCTCTCTCTCTCTCTTCCACTGGGCCTCCCCAGCCCTCCTAGCCACCTAAAGAATAAATTTTAATCACCCTGGGTCTCCTGGGAATGCAGACACTGCCCTACCACACCTCTAAATACTGGGAAGCTTCAGCCTCTGGGCTTGTTCCCTCCTGGCAGAGCAATTGAGAAAGTCCACCCAGTCTTCCCAGCCTCTGGCCTAACCCCCAAGATGATGTCAAAGCTAGAACCTACCTTAAAGATGATCTAGCCCAACTCCCTCCTGTGACAGGAGGATACTGAAGCTCAGAGAGGGGGAGTGACTTGCCCAAGGCCACAGAGCTTAGTCAATGGAAAAGTCAGGACCCAGGCTCAGGTCTCCAAACCGTCAGTGCAGTGCTCTTACACAGAGCTTCAAGCAGCTGATCTTGCTGGCCTGAGATGTAATCCTCTTGTCCCCAAAGAGGTGGATGAGGAAGGGAGAGAGTCGCACCATGATTAGCTTGTCTGAGGCCAGTCTTGTCAATTCTTTCACAGTAAGCTGTAATGGAACTTTAGATCCTATAGCTGTTCTTCACCTTGTTAGAAACTGCAAATTCTTTAAAATTGAGTGCAAACTCTCAAACATTTTACCACATAAGTCATTACAGAAAGACTCCTGTGTGTCCCCAGTAAACTAAAACGAACAATAAAAGCACTGGCTGGAAGAAGTTACATAAGAAGTAGTGATGTTTTGATGCTCCCTTGTAGACAGCAACTAGCCAGGCAAATGGCCAGGAATACAATGCTATTTATTTGTTTCACTCCAAGACTTATCTGCAAGGGTGAGTTAAGATGTCTTTCGCAAGCTATTGACTAAGGGGGAAGAGATTTTGTTTGGGAATGAATAGAGTTGTTGGTTTTTTCCTGGTATGATAGTCAAAAAATTATTGGAACACAGAGAGCCTACAAGAGATCCATGATTCTTAAAGGACATTCCCTATGTGCACACATTGTCTAGTGGGTTCAAATCGCTAAAAAACCAGGAGGGCTCTTCTGACATACTCAGTACTGCCCTCTCTGCCACCTTTTCCTCCTGGGAATGGTCCTGAGAGGTAAAGCAGAAGCAGAACAACTCCCTGCGGCCAGGTCTGCTCTGTCACTTGACTCCCAACAAAGAACCCTTTTTAAGTCATCCCAAAGGTCCCACCGTGGCACCTTTAATAATTAAATAACTTAAGGAAATAATTATGTATGGAATAAATTCAGGAATCTACAAGTTTTGCATTCAAAACTTTCTGGGAATAGTTTTGGCTTCTGGCTGTGCCAAGGGGGAGATTTCCAGCAGTCTGCACCATGCCTCCTTCTTTGGCTCAGAGCCCATGAGCCTTGATCCCTACCAGTGTCCCTCACCCAAAGGCCTGGACAAGAACTGAACAAGGACCCACTGGGCTGTGGGCATAGGCACTCTTCACAGGGATTACATGAAACTGCATTTCCTCCCATCTCCTCTTCTAGGGGAGGAATATCCACTCTAGCTCATGCCCTGGAGCCTCCTCACCCTCCTCCCTTGGAGGATCACCTGGGCATGGACCTTCCTGTTTTCTGATCCTGCCCTTAGGGAAATACCAAGGCCTTATTCTCACATGGAAAAGTCAAAAACTGTAATTGCCACAGGGAATTAAAGGCCATTCTAAGAAAAAAATACAACTTTATCTTTGGGGTAGATGAGTGATAAAATCTTCTGTCTTTTGGGCTGATGTTCTGGGACATCTGGGACATCTGGGGTTTCTTCTGCCCCTGTGTCAAGAAGCCCAGGAGAAGAATAAGCAAGACTGAAGACCTCTGCATGCCAAACTGGCTATGACTCTTTCATGAATCTCCACAAGCTCTGCCTGGAGCTGGTGGGACTCTTTTGGTCATTACATGAAGAAACAGTAGTTAGTGTATGAGGGATGATGAATGTGCCCAGAGGGCCCCGTGAATTCAGATAAATGCATGGTGCTAGTGGGCCAATGCTGAAAAGGCCCTGAATGTCTCACTCTTTGAAGCTAGTGCCTTCTACTTCTTAATGATCTTACACCTCTGTGGGGCCAGAGACCAGAGCAGGATTTGTACTCCAACCCCCGCCAGAACCCCCATTGCCAAGTCTGAGAAACTCAGGATTGGGAATGGCTCCCGTAGGGCATAGATTTCACTTGGCCTTTTCCTGCCCAAACACATGCACCTTTGCCAAATCCTTCCCTCCAGTGGCTCAGATGCTTTTTCTATGTGCAAACTGTCTCAGACAGTCGTCTCCACTGGCTAATGTTGGTTCGTTCAAAGAGCAAATGAGGCTGGCAACCCATCTTGGTGCTCACCACTCACAGTGTTCTGTGGGTAGACCCTGCACCCCGGACGTGGCAAGGGCCTTCTCTCCCTCTCTCAAATCCTGGAGGGCCCAGCACACCCTGACTCATCCTGGAAATCACACTGACAGCTCTAAGTGAAGGCCTCAGAGCCACAGACCTGACTTGCTTAGAAGCACTAAAAGAGGTTTAATAAGGTCGAAAACGCTCCACCCTGGCTAATAAACAATGTGCTCTTAGGGCACAGAGAAACAATAGGACTTTAGGCACTAAAAAGTGACACTTCGCCCAGATCCAGCCTGGGAGAAGACCAGAGAGAAAGCGGGTGGGAAAGTAAGAAATTCCCAGCCCTTACTGGGTCCACACCCTACACAGGTCGGAGGAAGGTGCAGGGGTGATGGAGGAGAGTATCCTTCAGAACACGAGTCTCGGGAGCCTGCCACCACACAATGCAGCCTTCCTAGCTTTCCAAGCATCCTCTCCATCTGACACTCAGTACGGTCTGGATCAAGTGGGCGGCCAACCCTAGGAGTTTAGACTGGGCTCCCTTGATGCTTCTGTGTTCCCAAGAGAATGCCTGGGGAAGCCTGGGGTAGGGAAGAAAAGATTCTCTTTTATTTTGGAAACAAATCAAAAGGGGATTAGGGAATGAAGCACCTTAAGCAATGCCGTCTTAAGACTTCTTTTTGAGACCTTAGGGTCTTCGCAGGCATAACTTTGGCTCAACATTTCCCTTCTAAAAGCCAAGAATGGCCAGCAAGGGAAGGGGTGGGGAACAGAGGGTGGGAGGAGGGAGATCAGGGGAGGTCGGTGCTGAGAGGCGGTTCCTGCCCTCCTCAGCTGCTCCACCATAAGAAAACGCTGCTCCGGCCAGCACAGGGCGCGGGAGGGCCCGCTCCTTCTCCCTGGTACATAGGCATTATCTCTTTTTTAAAATCTGTATATAATATATATATTTATATTCTGTATATATATATATTTATATATATATATTTATATGGTCTATGTACATGTATTGCACAGGCCTCTTGCAGCCACCCTGTTCCTGCCTTGTCAATGATAGCGATTCCTCTTTTCTTCACTTTCCGACGTGTAGTCGCGGGACCTGATGCCGTTCTGAAGGTTGATGAGCGAGTCCTTCATCTGCAAGACAGAAAACCCCACCCCAGGCCTGGGTCTGCGCTTTTAGTGGGATTCTCCACCGAGCAGCCCTCTCCCCACACCCGCCTAGGGCAGGCCTCCAACCACGCCATGGGGCTGAAAAGAGTCGGGCACCTAAAGCAAGGGTGGTTCTCAACACTGTTTCAAACAGAAAGGGGACAGTCAGGCTGGGTGCAGTGACGCACACCTGTAATCCCAGCACTTTGGGAGGCAGAGGTGGGAGGATCACTTGAGGCCAGGAGTTTCAGACCAACCTGGGCAACACAGAGAGACCCCATCTCTATAAAAAATTTAAAAATTATAGCCAGGCTTTGTGATATGCACCTGTAGTCCTAACTACTCAGGAGGCTGGGGTGGGAGGATGGCTTGAACCCGGGAGTTTGCAACTGCAGTGAACTATGACTGCACCACTGCACTCCAGCCTGGGCAACAGAGCAAGACCCTGCCTTTTAAAAAGAGAGAGAGACAGAGGGGGAAAGGGAGAGGGAGAGAGAAAGAAAAGAAAAAAAGAGAGAGGAAAGAAAGAAAGAAGAAAGAAAGAAAGAGAGAAAGGAAGGAAGGAAGGAAGAAGAAAAGAAAGAAAGAGAAAAAGAAAGAAAGAAAGAAAAAGAAAGAAAGAAAAGAAAGAAAGACAATCTAGCATGGGGAAGCCCTTGGGTAGGGCTTACTGGGTCTCAGTGCTAGATCAAGAACTCTCTTGAAGTGTTCAACTGCTACCAAGAGCCTCTCAGGCTGTCACTGACTTGATCTACTTGTTTCATCTGGTTTCCCTGATGATCCTTAATATACCACAAGCCTGTCTTTGTACATTGAGCCACATTGTTCTCCCCGCCCAGGAATCTTTGTGCTCTTGCCTATTCCAGTGTCACCCGTCTGCTAAGGCTCAGAACAAATCCAAGCTTTCTCCAGCTCCCAGTCATCCCTCTCCTTCATGGTCTCTCACACAGCACACTCAGGCTCTGGACTGCAGTCATCTTTCGTTGCTTGGTTTCATGTTTGCTAGGACTAGAACTGTGTCTAATCCTTCCCTTGTGCACCCAGGGGCACCATGCAGAGAACTGAGTGGGTTCCTAGTAGGTATCCACATCAGCAAATTAACATTTTTAGGTCATAGACTGCAGTCTAAATGGGAGACTAGAATGGAACCTGGCAGGAGAATTGTAAAATGGCCCATCATACCATCATATATTTAAATATTCACATATTTACATACTGTCTCTGGGTAAACTGCTGTATTACAACATAAGACAACATTTCTGGGGTAAATGGTTACGGATTTAGGGAAAGTCTGGTCTCTCTGCTTAATCTACCACTTTCTTCTCTCTGGTTCATTTATATCTTGTGCTCAAGACAGAGGAGGGGGCCATTCTGTTATTTTAAAAGTTACTTTTAAAGGGATTGAAACAAAACAACTCTCTTAATACTTGTAGGGTAGAGTCCACTAGGCTATAAATCTGACAGCCCCAACCCCCAAGTTAAAGGGCCCCATTCTGAAATAGAATTGTAGAGTTGGAAGAGACCCCTGGGTCATCTAGTCCAACTGCCCCAATTTAATCTATAAGTTCTTTATCCATCATCATCTAGTGATGATGATGAACACTTTCAATGTTGGAATCTCAGTTCCCTACAGTAGCCTGTTCCATTGCTGGACAGCATTAGCCACAAGTTGTTTGCATTTGATGATGAAGAAAAATTACTTTCTTAAACTTCTAGCTCTAGTTCAGCGCTCTGGAGTTTTCCAGTAAGTCTAACCCTTGACATGTGTTGGCCTGGGTGTCTGAAGGCCACCCTGTTCTCCTCACCCTCGTGTTCCCTTCTCCTGGGTTTGTCTTCAATTCCATCAACACTTTTTGAAAGGGTAGGGCTTCTAAACTCCTCACTAAGCTTTCTGTCCCCTTTTGGTTTAAAATAAAAAATGCCCTCCTTAAGTGTAGTGACAAAGCTAAACACATCCAACTGGGTCTTGATAGCTGCATTAAGATTCTTTTCCCTTTTTTTTTTTTTTTTTTTTTTTTGAGATGAAGTCTCACTCTGTTGCCAGGCTGGAGTGCAGTGGCACTATCTCAGCTCACTGAAACCTCCACCTCCCAGGTTCAAGCAATTCTCCTGCCTTAGCCTCCCAAGTAGCTGGGATTACAGGTGTGCGCCACCATACACGGCTAATTTTTATATTTTGAGTAGAGACAGGGTTTCGCCATGTTGGCCAGGCCGGTTTCAAACTCCTGACCTCAAGTGATCTGCCCTCTTCAGCCTCTCAAAGTGCTGGGATTATAGGCGTGACCCACCACACCCGGCCTCTTTTTCCTTACTTAGAGCTAAGACCAAACAATGCAAGGAAACAAAGTTTAATATTAATGAGCACCGCCCACATGGCATCAAATCCTGATGACAGTTCCATGAAGCTATGATTACAATTCCTATTTTATAAATGAAGAAATGGAAGCTCAAGGTCCCTTGCTCACGGTCACAAAATTAGTGGCAAAGCTGGGATGCCGTCTCTGGCTGGTCACAAAACATCAGAAAGGCAACTCTTTAGGGAGAGAAGTTGTCATGTAGCAGGATAAATCCTGAGTCTATTATTTTCTAATTCTCTTGCACAGCAAAGGCAGATTCCTGCTCTCTAGGCAACCACATGGAGGCATATTTTATGATACTAAACTATTCTGGGGAAGCAGGAAGCTCCCTCCCCCAAGGAAACTAGGCTAATTATTGATTTTGCCTCAGGATGATTTGCCTAAATAGTTGATCTAGTTTTGCGGGGGGGAATACAGGCAAACTGTACGACAAAGATGATGCTATGAAAAGAAGACAAAGTACAGCCATCTTCCCAGACTATCAGTGCAGTGCCACTGACTGTCAGAGGAGGGGGCGGTAAACATTTGAAAAAACTCAAAGACATGCCCTCTGGGAAGACAAATCTCTGTAAAAGGGCTGAGGGGGTTCTCTGTTTAAATGCCTGTCAGATGGTTATGGGTTACCAAAAATAAAAATAAAAAGAGTTCTCCTTCCACCTAAACTACAGCTTTCCTGGTGCAAATTCAGTGGGTCATTTTATTGTTCTTATTTTTTAGAATACACCTGCATTTCTAGCAGCCCACTCAAGGAAGGCTTTCCATTTAGAACAATGCATGGCCTGGAGGAAGAATGAATTGGAGGGAGAAGTCTGGAGGGTGGTGATAGAGACGAGGATCTTTCTCACAGCATAAGGGAAGGAGTCCCCGCTCCCAAAGACCAGGGCAAGCAGAGAAGGTGGGGCATCTCACCTGGTCAAGGAGCATCACTGAGGATTTGATGATTTCCCTCCATTTTTGGAGCTCAGTATCGTGGTACTTTTGTTGGGACTCTAAGAGCTGGGCCCATTCTGTCTGAGACTGGGGTAACCTGTGGGGTAGAAGAAGGGGTACCCCAGCAGCTGGAGTTATGCTCAGCGAACTGTCCTGGGCTCCCAGACCCCTAAAGGACAGAGAGTCACATCAGAGTGCTTTGTCCTCTGCTCACTGCCCCCGGTTCCCCTGTGCCCCAGATCAGAAGTGGGCTGAAACTATAGGGAGAGATTCTGAGTTTCCCTGTGGGCTCATCCCAGAGGGATGGGGAAGGGCAGTGAGGCAGTCCCAAGGAGACTGGGAGACAGGTATCATGGCACTGGGTGGGATGAAGGTGGAGGTGAGGGGACGAGGCCAGGATTACCTTTCTTGGAGCCTTAGACCCTGCCAGGCAGTGAGGGTCTGCGTGGTGTATTCCAACATCCAGAGTTTGTAGAAGAGCATCATGTTAAGGATGACCAGCAGCACCAGACTAGGAAGGAGACGTGGGGAAAAAAACATCAGCAGTGAGATGTCACCTGAGCCTAGGACATCCCCCATCCCAGAGGCTGCTGTCCCTGACCGGTGGGCCATCCAAAGCATTGCAGTGAGTGACTGAGCTGGAGGGATGGAGCAAGGGAGAGAGAGAGAGAAGCAACCTAATCTGGATGGGCCAGGATACAGGGGAGAGCCATGGAGAGGGGCATGGGATGAAGGCACTAGAAAGGAGAGATGCATAGGCACCCAGAACCTGGGCACCTGGGGGAAGAGAGGTACGGTGGGGAGGAAAAGAGATGAGGGGGTAAAGGAGAAATCATAGAGCCAGTACCTGAAACAGATCCTAATGGGAGCAAGGAAGAAAAATGGGGAGGAGGCAGAGGTTAGAAACAGGCAAGTGTGGGGAAGGGGAAACCTGCACTGAAAATCAACCTGGGAGTGAGTGAGAGTATATGAGAAAAAAATACTAGAAGCAAAGACACAATGGATGAGACGACCCAGCAAGGACAGGGCACAAGAAAACAACAGACAGACTCTTAGTATTTCCACGGGTGCTAAATTGAGAAAAGACTCCCCCTACCAACCCAACCTTAGGACCTAACTGAAGGGTGAGACTGAAGGAGGAATTCCAGTGGGTCCCTAGCTCTGCCAATGATACCTCTTACAGATGTTAGCAGAACTTCCCGCAAGCTGCAAAGTTCCCTGCCTCAACCTGATACCGGCTGGCAGGGATCATGCAGACAGGCTGAGGTTTCCCAGAGTCTGGGTCAGAACTGGTGAGAGACAGGGGAGGCAAGGATCATCCAGGGGCTGGAGGGGCTGTGGGGAGTCATAGAGAGACTGCAGAAATTCTCTCCTTCTCTCAGCCTCACTGGCTGCCTAAACTCACTGTATAACAAGCTCATAGGATGAAGAGATGAAGACATCATCATGGGTAGAGAGGATCCAGAGACACACAAAACTGGATGCAAACCCTGGCTCACCACTTAAAAATCTCTTAACTTTTGATCAAGTTTCCTAGCTTCTCCAACCTAGGGACAGTAATACCTATCCTACTGGGGTTGTTCTGTAGATGAAAGGGAATATATTGTAAAATATCCCGGCACACCACAGGCCCTACACAAAGGGTAGTTCTTATAATTAATGGGGGAGAGGTAGACACACATAAGAAAAGAAAGATGACAAAAAATGAGAAGATAGGCTGGGCATGGTGGCTCACGCCTGTAATCCCAGCACTTTGGGAGGCCAAGGTGGGTGGATTGCTTGAGCTGGGGAGTTCAAAACCAGCCTGGGCAACATAGCAAAACCCCATCTCTACAAAAAAATATTTTTAAAAATTAGTCAGGTGTGGTGACATGCACCTGTGGTCCCAGCTACTAGGGAAGCTGAGGCAGGAGGATTGCTTGAGCCCGGGAAGGGGAAGTTAGAGTGAGCTGAGATCATGCTACTGCATTCCAGCCTGGGCAACAGAGTGAGAACCTGTCTCAAACAAACAAACAAACAAAAAAAAAAAAAAAAGGAAAGAAAGAAAAACAGATAAAAGAGAGATGGATAAAAGACCAGCGAAGAAAGAAAAGCTTATGCTATGCCTTAGGCTTTTCAAAGCTTATGCCTGTGCAAGTGGTACCGTGTGTGTCATCCGTGCTTCTGGTACTGTGGAAGGTAGTCTTCCTTAAACTGACAGCCACAAATTTCTGGGGCTGCTGTGTTCTCAGGCCTCTCTGAGTTGTCCCCAAGGCCTTTAAAACTTTTATGTTGAATTTCAGTGCCACGGTCTTTAATTTTATCAGCACTCACTGGGTCATCTGAACACCCGCCTCTTTGGCACAGCCTGCTCACGATCTTGGTGCCTGCATTTGGGTTTATGTTTGCAATCCTCTCTGTGCTAAGTGAAGGTCAAGGGATACCCCTGTGTGCTGTCTAAGTGAAGCCTGCGCAGTTGTCGAAATAGAGAAAGGAGGTGGCTGAGTCACACTGCAGCAGGCATGTGGGGGCAAGAGCCTGCCAGACACAGGGCAAGCTGTGCTGTGTCAGCCCGTCCCACGTGTAGGCTGTCGGCAGACACTTGGCCTGGATCCTGCAGCATTGAATTAGAGAGTCTGATCATTCTAAACTTACAAAACCCAAAAGTTAGTTAATAACATGCTATACAATTTGCTCAGGGGTGCAGGCCTTCTCTACTTAAAGTCAAAATGCAGAAAGAGCTTAAACACAGAACTAACTTGAGGTTACAGTGCTCTACAAACCAAAATCCAATACAAGAGATTTAATTTAACAGAACAATGGCATGAATCACATTAAATCGATGTTGCTAAGTGTGACTTTTACTAGTTTTACAGCTACTTTTATTTACTTATTTATTTATTGAGATGGAGTCTCACTCTTTCACCCAGGCTGGAGTGCAGTGGCGCGATCTCAGCTCACTGCAAGCTCTACCTCCCGGGTTCACGCCATTCTCCTGCCTCAGCCTCCCGAGTAGCTGGGACTACAGGCACCTGCCACCATGCCTGGCTAATATTTGTATTTTTAGTAGAGACGGGGTTTCACCATGTTAGCCAGGATGGTCTCGATCTCCTGACCTCATGATCCGCCTGCCCCAGCCTCCCAAAGTGCTGGGATTACACGTGTGAGCCACCGCGCCCAGCCAACAGTTACTTTTGTTTTTAATTTTGTAAAAATATCTTCGTTTCTTATGCTGTCATCAGAAGAATTTTGCATTTACTTTTATTTGACATATTAAGGTTGGTGAAAGAGTCCACCTTATGTTTCTCATGGCTTTCCCTCCTGTAGTTGGTCCCCAGGACCGTCCTAGACCTTGTCTTCTTTGTCACATGCTATACTCTCTATGGATGCTTTCATTCACACCAAGGCTGTAATGTTATGGATAATTAAGCAGTGACTGCAGCCTACACTTGTCATCTGAGCTCCAGGACCACATCAGCAGAAATCTGTCACCTCTTCCTGGATAACCTATGGCACCTGAGACATACCTGGAACTGTTAATGTCTTCTTTGGAAATGCTTTGCTAAATTCCAGATGTCTGTGAATGACACAACCATGTATGGTCCCTCGAATCAGTAGCGCATCTTCCTTCCCTACCTCAGCCTCCTGAGTAGCTGGGACTACAGGCGCCTGCCACCACGCCTGGCTAATATTTGTAGTTTTAGTAGAGACGGGGTTTCACAATGTTAGCCAGGATGCTGTCCATCTCCTGACCTCATGATCCGCCTGCCTCGGCCTCCCAAAGTGCTGGGATTACAGGCGTGAGCCACCATGCCCAGCCAGCATAGCATCTTTCTATGCAAGTTACTGTGCCTACTGTTTTATAATGTCATAGCAATTATTATAAATAGTCTACATTAAAATAAGCATCCACTTTTCTTGTATTGTAGGCATTGATTTTGTCTGGCTACCCTGCCAACGTGTGGGCTCCATGAGTGCACAGTTCCAGTGCCTGGCACAGAGCAGACACCCAGAACATCTAATGAAGGAATGAACTCCTAAAATGCCCTCTAGCATTTCTCTGTTAGCATTTAACCATCTGTGCAGGAATTTCAAATGTTCTGTCTCTCTCACCCACTTGAAACTGAAACCCTGAAGGGTATGGATGCTGCATGAAGCATTTTCTTCTGAAGGCCTAGCATACAGTAAATGCTGAACAAAGCAGAGAAAAAGAAGCGAAGAGGTAAGCAACAGGCAGAGCAACCAATCCAGACAGAGAAGACTAGAGGATAAGGCAAAAACCAGGGCAAACAGTAAGGGTGCTCAGATGCTTCAAGAGACGAGGGCTGGGGCACCAGGCTGGAAAGGGAAGGTGGTGAGGGCAGGATAGGAAAACCTAGAATCCCTTACACACAGCTGATAACCAGCAGCAGCTTGGACACGCTCTGCAGGTGGAAACCGTTGGGGGTGTCCTCCGGGATATGCCGCGTCTGTGTGGAACCTGTGGGGAGAATTAAAGAGACCATCACCATGGTGACCCACAAGTCCAACAACTGCTGGTGGGGACACTGGTCAAACAGCAAACATCAGAGACTGATGGAAAAATGTCCATGACACTGTGACAGCAACGATATGCGGAGACTGCCAGCTCTCCAAGAGGAGAAGGTAAAATCCTCAAGGGCAAGGTCATGGGTTGGGTCAGGTCATCATTGAACAAATGAGAAAATCAACAGGCCCATGTAGCTAGGATACACAGGCCCAGGACAAAGGGATCTTCAGCTATGGGAGAGGATGTGGCATTGGGCTAGGACTAAAGACGGCTGGCTTCTGGGTCTGGATCTATTCCTAGTAAGCTACATGATGGAGGACAAGTCATGTAAGCTCTCTGAGAGTCAGTTTACTCAAATGCAATGTCAGTCAGAAATCTTAAATGCAAAACACGTAACATGGAAGTGCTAGGGGTAAAGCTAGGCGGCATGCAGAAGGCTGGCACTCTTCCCCCACTCTCCCCTCTTCTTCTGCCTCCCCTGTCCATATCCAACTCAATTAGTTGGTCTCTAAGGCCCCTTAGAGTCCCAGGTTTCCAGGATTCAGCAAAGACAAGGATGTGAATGGCTGGGTGGGAAGAGGAAGAAATATTAAGGGAGTCCACGGCCTGAGAGGGCAAGCCTGGGTTGGCCCATGCGGGTTGAAGTGAACGGGGACTGTCTTGGTCTCCCTGATCTTTGTGTAATGAGGTAATCTCTGTGGTCTGAGCTGTGGGATCTCCTTAGTGTATTTCCCAAGAACTTGGAAGCTTCATACTTGAGCCTATGCAGGTAGCCATGGAACTAGGGCAACACGAAAGCATAAACACTAAGGCAGCTTTTGTTAATTAGAGCACACATATGGGTTCAGCTGGGGCTGAGGAACTTAAAGAGCAAAGAGAAACAGAGCATTGGGAGCCTCAGATTTAGTGACTTACGTTCAAATTATATACAAATTATAGCCAAGGTGCAAAATGAGTGTGCATGTGTGTGCCTTGGTGTGGGCATGCAGCTCCAGCCCAAAGCTTAGTCCACCCGACCTGTCCCCACCTGGCACACACCTGCCACATGTTTGATCCTGTGGCCCACATCCTCATCTGTGGGCGTGGTGACCGGGCTCATCACCTCTTCCAGGTGAGGGACTCGCAGGTGGGCATGGGGACGCTTCCTCCTCCGCACCGTTGTAGTCTTGCTGGCCTTCTCTTTGGGAGATTGTCTGTGCATCTCAGCCAAATAAGTGCTCTCCGTTTTGGCCAGCTCGCTCTCTATCAGAGACAAAAGGACCACAGGAGAGGCCACCTTCAGCCCTCCAATGCAACTCTCTGCAGAACCATTTTCCTATTCTGTATTCTGGGAAGTTGGTTGGGTGGGTTGAGGATCCTCAGGGATGCCCATGAGCCTCAGGAGGTACTTGTGGGACCCAGCCCCAGTCAAACCCTTCCTCTGGGGTTGTTCAACATTGCAAGGAACCATATGTTCCCAATATCTGCACCCTCATGTATACAATTTGGGGCATACACGTCTTAAATAGATGCATTCACAGGCATTTTACAAATACTTCTCGTCACAGAGCCACCTATATCACTAGGTCTGTGGTTCCTTTTGGGGTGAGGGGTGTTTTATAGATCCCTCAATGATCTCTTAAACATCCTAGACACAGTCTAGAAAAATGCACTTGTCCACATACATGCCAAATTTGGTGTCCACTTCTGAAGCAGGTGTGGGTACCTCATGAAACTACTTCACCTTTCAGTCTCTGCCTCTATTCTCAATACCATTCCCCTGAATGGTGGGCGGCCGCAGTGCAGTTTACCATCTCTGCAGCCCAGCTAGCAGCAAGGATTGCAGTGCTCACCTAAATGGCGGAAGTAGTCCTCCAGCCCACTCCAGAAGTTCTTCTCGATGAACGTTTTCACTAACCCCCAGGGCTGTTTTCGATAGCGCAGCTCTGTGGAGACCCTGAGGAGCAAGCCAGACACAAGATCAGTCATTTCCTGGGTGGGCCTGCCTCTGCTGGGAAAAGGGAAATTCGGAGTTAAGGCCAGATCCGCTTCACATTTGTACTAAACTTTACAAGTTAAAAGGTCCTTCCACATCCATCTCACCCTCTGAAGTCAGTGGAGCTGGTGGATTTATCCCCATTTTATAGATAAGAAAACTGAGCCGTAGGATATTTAAGCAGAGCAAAGGCTAACAACTAGGGTTCTGACTCCAGAGTTCTCTTATGATGGCACACTGCCTCCTCTCAGGGGTCTCACATAGGGCCCAGCAGCCTGCCTGCCAGGCAAGGGGAAGCTCTGCCTGAGGTTCAAGTCTTTTGAGAAACTGACACTGAAAGAAAGTAAGACGGCTCATCCTTTCATCAGGGTCATTCTCTCCTTCTCCAGAGACTTTTAAGTCTAAGTCAAGTTCTGGGTTTTTATCACTTTAACCTTTAAAAGTATGTCATCCTGGGCAACAGAGTGAGACCCCCATCTCTACAAAAACAAAAATAATTAGCCAGGGTCATGTCTGTAGTCCCAGCTAATGGGAGGTTGAGGTGGAGGTTGAGGCTGCAGTGAGCCATGATCACACCACTGCACTCCAGCCTGGGGAAGAGAGTGAGATCCTGTCTCAGAAAAAAAAAAAGAATATCATCTGCTGCCAGCCCTGGCTCCTGCCTCTCCACTGCACCCCAGACCTCACCAGCTCTTGCTCTTTTCCAAGCATTCTTGCTCCCAGTCACTGGTCACACTTCTGTCCATACCCCCTGCAGTATCAGCTCTTTTCTCTCCTATGCAGCAGCCCTGCTCTTTGCCTCCCCCTTAGGTTCATCTGCATCTGTCAATAGATTCTCCCAGCTAATCCATCCCGCCCCATCCCGCCCTGTGACTAAGGCTGCCAGCCCAGCCTCATCCCCCTCCTCAGGGATGCCACCTCCACCCATGTCCAGATGGGAGAATGCCTGTACTTGGAGACATGTCACTCCCCAACTCAACAACCGCTGACTGCATCGTGGATGGGCACCTTCCTATAATGGTCTGTTCAAGTTCACCCAGCTACCTCTGCATGGCTGCAGAGAAAAGATGCAATTGAAAGATCTTCTGAGGAACCTGGAATTAAGAAACCTAGGCACTGTGGAGGAAAGGACAAGAAGAGAAGGGAGAGAGAAGGAAGGGAAATTAAAGAAGGAAGGAGGAAGAGGAGCAAGGCTGAAGGAGGAGTACATGTTCAGGAGGAAGCACAGAACACCCAACCCCCCAAAAATTACCAAGAGAATGAAAAAGATGCAGGCCCTCTTTTTTAAGAGATAGGGTCTTACTCTGTCTCCCAGGCTGGAGTGCAGTTGTGCAATCATAGCTCATTGCAGCCTTGAACTCCTGGGCTTAAGCAATCCTCCCACCTCAGCCTCCCGAGTAGCTGGGACTACAGTACACGCCACCACTCCTGGCGAACTTTTATTTTTTTTCAGACACAGGGTCTCACTACATTGCCCAGGCTGGTCTTGAACTCCTGGGCTCAAGCAATCCCTCCTGCGTAAGCCTCCCAAAATGTGTGAATATAGGCACGAAGCACAAAGGTCCCTCTTGATGCGCACTTCTTGAAGCCCAAGAGATCTCTGTGCGACCTTTTACTAAACTTTCATTTGAACTACATCAGCGAATTTTTGGCTCCTTACAACCAAAAGAACTTGGTCTAAGGTACAGGTAAACAGTCTGATGATTTTCAAATGGGTGTGTGTCTTGCCTTTTCAATTAGACTACAAGTTTCTTAAAATGTCAGGGTCTAAATGTCTTCCTTCCTTTGGAAGCACTTCACAGTGCCCAGAACTAATTATTCACTAATAAGTGTTCTCTGGACTCTGATACGTGCAGGCCCAGCTGGGTGCTGGGAATAAAGTGTAAGTGGAATGGAATTCCTGTCCTCGTGGAGCTCACTGTCTAACACTAATGGCAATCCACGCAGCATGGTGGACAGAGCACAGGTTTACAACTCTAAGATCTGGGTTTCAGTGCTTACTAAAGACATGACTCTTGGCAAAGTTCCTGAACTCATATGAGACTCAGTTTTATCTGAAAAATGAAGATAAATCCACCTCTTTGAGTCGTTCTAAAGACTCCAGTGAATGTAGGTAAAGCGCCTACACTATACTGTATAAGCCACAGACAACCAATAAATAGTAGTAGCTATACAAGTTTTACTAACAAGATGTAGAGAGTGGAGAGAATAATTAACTCAAACAGAGTGGTGGGTGAGCCTCATAAGGCTTCGGAGAGAAAGTAGAATAAAGAGAGTCAGCAGCCAAGCACTCCCCACCTCCTCCTTCCCCGTCAGGAGCAAATGAATGTTCTCTAAGGTAAGGACCCCCGTCTGACCGCACTGGGACTTCCACACACCACACCTGAGTCGGCTCTTGTTCCGAGCCACACGGGTGAGCGTGTAGCGATTGATTGTGTAGAAGTAGTCATGGTAGGGCACGTCGTGGGTGAGGACTTCGGCATCTATCACGTAACATTCACTCTCCTGGCTCGCCTTGTACATGGTCTGCGGGCAGGAAAGGTCCATTGGACAAAACTGAAGAGGAGCAAGAAGCTTGGAAAAGCACCTTCTCCAGCCTCCCCAAGCCCACCCCACCCCACGGCTTCTGAACAGGAGAACCAGGATCACTGGAATCAGCAGCAACTAAACAAGCAAGACGCCACCACCGCTTTGGGGCAAAATGACACTTGCGCCCTGAAACTTCTTCCTGACATCTGCCCTTAATCCTTCAAGACAGAACACAGGATTTTCCAGCTCGCTCTTCTGTGCATCCGCGGCTCTGCTCACCTGTGTCTCCCTGACAGTGGCAGTTTTGGGAGCCAGAGGGTTGGTAAGGGTGATGGTGTAAAGAATCACTCGGCTCTGGTTTCCATTCTCCTCCTTTTTCCATGGATGGAAGATGATATCTAAGGGTAGAGGAGAGCCCTGGAATGAGGAAGGGAGGGCAGAGCCCTCTCCCCAATCCAAGTTTCCCCTCCAAGTGACCTTCTGGACTGTGCTTACTACTGCCTGGCCCCCAAAAGGAAGCCAATGGGAGCCCGAGGGCCGGGGGGAGGGTGGGAAGAGGAGGAGTAGCCGAAGCAGAAAGAGGCTCATTGTAGCATTGTCAAAATTCTACACAATGCTCCAGAATGCTGATTGTTCCTGGGGCTGGGACAGGAGGTCTTGGGGCCACCTACGGGGGTGCTGGCAACACTGGTGTTACTGTGGCGAGGGCCTAGGGTCCCTTGGGAACAAGTCCTCTCCTCTAAGCCATGACCTCCCCGTGCCCTCAGCGTGCCCTCTCCTCTTGGCACACAGGATCGCTGATGCCCAAATGCTTTGTTACAGCTGGATGCTTAGAGGTCCCTGCTGTGGGAAGAGTTTGGGGGAAGGGGAGGAGGCAGAAGCACAGAGGGTCAAAGCATGAACCCCCAGATCCTAGATGTGAGGCCCGGCCTAGCTCCTTCTTAGCTGCATGAGGTCAGGCAAGCACTAACAGTTTGAGTTCCAGCAGCCTCATCGGTGTCCACACACAGGGTAGCTGTGAGGTCTGAATGAGATAACGTCACGTGCATGGCATAGAGTGGGTGCTGCCAGCGAGTGAGAGCCACTGTGCTTTACTAGATGGTGAGCCCTGTGAGGGGAGGGACAGGGTAGGTCTTAGGGGCCGGCATCGAGTGCCTGGTGTGTAGTGGGAAAGGGTGAAGCTGCAGGGCTGGTGAAAAGGGAGGGCAACAGGGCCTGAAGGAGCTCCCGAACCACAGAAGGCTGGAGAGAGGGTGTCTGGGCCCTGAGGTGGCCGAGGGAAGGAGGGTGTGTGGAAAGAAGAATAAGGAAGGGAAGGAAGCAAATGTAGAGAGGGAAGAAGTGAGGATGAAGAGGGAGGAATGGGGGGTACAGTCCCAGCAGAACGGACCAGAGAAGCGCCGCTGCTCCATGAAATCCCGCTGGAAGGGCGAGTTGGTGAAGAGGAGGTCATAGAGCTTGTCCACGCTGAAGTTGAAGACTTCATTCACGTACTGCCGGCCACTCAGGTCCTCATAGAAGGCCTGGACCTCTCCTGCACAGAAGAGAGGATCAGGAAGTAGACAGTGACAGCGGAGGGGGAGGGGGCCCCAGGGACATCCTCCAAGAGCACTTAGGTCTCTGGCTAATATGAGCACAGTCAACAAGGGTATGGAGAGGACACGGAGCAGGACAGCTGAGCTCGTGGGCATGGTTTATGACTTTGCTTTCGGTCTCTTTCTTTTGCTGGGATGCACACCATTTCCTTTAGCTGACACTACCCATTCCTTCTTTACAAAGTGTTTGGGAATGTACGATTTGCTTTTACACTTTCAAACCTCCCTAATTCAGTTGATCTTAGACTAAAATTCAAATAAATGACTACTTCTGGAAGTTGCCTAAACCCAAAGAATGGGGTTTTGAGAGTCTGTAAGTTAACTCTAATCGACAACAAATTGTAGTTGTAACCCATGGCATAGGTCTGTTCGAGGGAACGTAGACTAATCTGGAAGAATCAGTGTACAGAACTGCTGCTAAGGCTGGGGCTGGTCCAATAGGCTGTGATCCCTAACTACAGTTCCATAAGACAGCCTATTTCTACCATGATGTCAATACCTACTCCCCTTTTTAAACTTAGGATTACAGCTTCATCATATAGCAAAATAAGAATTCAAATCAGAATGAGAGGCACACAGAGCAAGGTGTGGGAGGGCTCCAAAAATGGAGCTTCCTTCAGTCTCAGGGATGCAAAGCCCTTCTGGCACATCACTGTGTCCATATACAGAAGATTGCCAGCCAGGGAATTTCACCTGTAATCTGAATTTTCCAGCTGCTACAGGAGGATGCAAATGAGGATACAGGAGAGCTGCTAAAGCCTCAGTGCTCCCCCCCGAACCCTTGGCACCCCTCAGTCCCTAATTACTGCACCTGCATGGGTGGGTATGTGATCTCAGGAGGAGGCTGCCATTTCTGGCACCCCTAGGACCCTGAGGAAACCAGAGAACTCTGAAGTACCCTGTAGGGGTCAAGTCCTATGACTGCACAGATGGGTACTGCACAAGTGCAGCGCAGCGGGTATTCACACCTTAGTTTATGTGAAAGGCACCCTGGAGTTAGGCAGTATCTAACCCATGCAGTCACTTGTGCCAACCCTGGACTCTAGATGGGGGTGGGTAAACCAACCAAAAGTTAGAAAACCACTGCAGGTGGCCCCTGGGAGAGGTGTCCACAGATCCACAAGTGAGCACCGTGCTCATATGCTCACCAGTCATAACAGACCACTCACTCAATGGAGGAAATCCATCAATTGATTTCATGAATGCTGAGAATTTGGCTTCTCTCCATGGAAGGTAAGCAGCAGCATGTTCCCAAGGGAGGTTCTAGAAGCTAATCCTATGCAGGCATGAAGTTAGAAGCTACCTGCTTACAAAAATTAGAGAAACAAGGGAGTCTCCAAACCCTATTTGACCCAGCAACACCTTTTCTTCTAGCTGGGCCTAAATACCCCATGCAGCAAAAATTGCATTAACAAGTTTCGCAGCTATCTTGAGGACGTTTCTGTTAAAATCTAATTATTTCCAGGGAGCAGCTGACTGGCACCTTCCTTGTGGCTTATAAACATTGCCTAGACTTGCGTGTCTGTGAGGGTCAGGGTCGCAAGGCAAGCCAATGTCAATAGGGGGAACATTTAGTGACAAGACTAAATGACAGAACAAAGCATTATCTATGGGAGGCTCCTACAGCAAATGACTGAAAACAGGGATGTAAACTAATAACAGGTACCTTTTGTTAAGGAAGCTCTGCTCCCATCTCTCCACCAGGAACCTAGAGACTAACTACAGTCCCCACATAGAGATCTCCTTTTAGCCTTCAAAACAGAGCAAGGGCCACTCCAGACCCATTTTCAAATGCCCACCTTCATCGTGTGTGTCGGAAGAGTCACTGAGCTCAGTGGGGATGTCCTCATTGTCATTGAAGTCCAGTGAAGGGGAGTTCACAGGAGCGATCATCTCAATCTTCTCCCCCATGATGTTGTCAATGGCGAGCTCCTTTTCCAGGGACCCGTCTCCCTCCAGCGCCTCTTCCTCCAGGGGCAGCCCATCAAACTGGAGCCAAGACAGAGGAGTCACCCACCAGGGAAACCTGGTCTGGATCTATTCTCCAAAGGGAGATTAGGGATGCAGCCTTGGCAGCTCTCATACTCCCAGCTCAGCTGCTCAGGAGCGAAGTCAGAGTCAGGCTCCAAAGCCCTTCCCCAGAGCTGCCACAGAGGATGGGCAAACACAGTACAAGGACTACTGCACTTCTCACGCTCGCCATTCCAACAGCACAACAAGCTCCCCAAATGCACAGAGCTGGTCCCCACAGGCCCAGGCCCTTTCCTGGAGCCGCACCTGCACCATCCTGCAACAAGGTCAGCCTGCCTCCAGGTAGTACCTGTTTATCCTAAGAAGCTCGAAAGGCTTCATAAGCATTTTTTAAAACTCATTCTCTCATTAGCCCTGGAAGGGAATCGATACAACTCTTTACATTTTAAAGATAACCTCAGAGATGGAAAATAAAGACCAGGTATCCAATGAATAATGTTTTCATTCTGAAGGCAGGTGGTCTGATCCATAGCCTACTGAAATACAAGGCTCTTTGAGGGAGTCCTTTCCTGAAGAACCCTACCTGTTCTTCTGCCTGCCAGCACATGCCCTGACCCTCTTTCCTCATCAAGGTTCTACCTCCTCTATTAACAGAGTCCCACAGGACAGAGGTTCTCTTACACATTTTTATGGCTTCCATAAAGTCTACCACAGTGGAGAAATAAGCCACAATACGTATACTCAACAAATATCAACCAAATGAGTGGATAAACAATTAATTGTTCTATAGTTCTATATTCATGCATGACTTTGACGTCAGATCAAGGCAGTGAAAAAATACCTGGAATTGTTCTCTACCAGAAGGGCTGATCAGCAGCAGCCCAGCACAGTGGGCTTGAAATGGTTTTCATCTGCTCAGAAGTCAAACCCAGTCTTGTACCCCAGGCACCTAGCCCCAGCTCTGGACCCCGGGCTATGCCACTAGAATACGGAGAGCCCATCTGCTCCAGAATGCCTCCTTGAAGAAACTGACAACAATGTAACCAATCTCCTCTCTACCTGCTCCCCAGATTGGGTTCCCAGTGAACTATGCTAGGAAACGCTGGCCACAGGACTGGGGGTAGAAGTCAAAGGCTGACTGCCCATACCGAGACGGGGGCCTCACTGCTCCCTGTGGATGTTAGTGTGCTGTTGGTGATGGATTTCTTGGGCAGCTGTGGACTGGCATCTGGCTTGGTCTCTATGCTGCTCTTGGATGAGCTGTCATTCACTTCATTCTCTTCCACAGGGATCTCTTCACAGTATCTGAGAGGAGACACCAGTGAGTCCACATTACCCTCAGTGGTTCAAGATGGCCAACTATTCTAAGAATCTCAGACCTTTCTATCCATCCATATCTATGAGATTTCCTGCTTCTTTGCTTTGTGTATGATCTTCCTCTAACCAAAAATCCCCTGCCTACCCCATTGCTCTTCTGAAATCTCCTTCATATCCCACCCCACCCCTCCCTGCCCCCCATGTAAAATTCCTGGCTGCAAACTCACCTTTCCTAGGCAGCCTCCTTAGAGTTATCCCTACCTAACTGAAAGGATTATTTGTCTTAAGCTATTTTTTTTCCATGGGTGCCCATCCTATTTGAAGCCTCTGAATCAAATATCTGGGTTCTGAGCATGCATTTCCTTTCCCAAACGGTGACGAAGACAGGACTCTGGACATGAGCGCTCCTTAAGTGGCATTGCCCAAATTCTTGATGATAACTAGAAAACTTCCCTGCATTATACACCTAGAAAGAAAACCTCCTTGAGATGAAGGTGGGTGCTCGTCGAGGAACACTTCAGGGATGCCGCTGTAGCCTCCTCTAAGGGAGCAATCATCAGCCTATCATCATCACCATCATCTGACCTGTACTTAACAAATCCAGATGCTTGACAACTCTCCGGAAATCCTTATGTGCATTTTGGAGATAACCAAATGGGTATTCATAGAGGTTAAGCGACAACACTATTATTTCGACTGAGCCCAGACCTAAGCACAACAGACATTCAATGTTCTTTTCTTGCTTTTTTCCCTGTATGCCTCTTGCACGACCACCAAGCTTGCAGCTAGCTACCCTTCCACCCTCAAGCATGCTTTGTGCCAGTCTACAGGCACATCTTCCCATCTTGCTTAACCTATCGACAGCATGTGATACAGTGACAATACCTTCTGCTTCACTTCCTTCCCGTGGCTGCCAGGATAGGAAACCTTCCTAGGGCCTTCCTCCCTCACTGCATGTGCTTTCAAGCTCTCTTCAGCTGCTTCTTTCCCTCACTGAGTGCTCCCAGGCAGTCCTTGAACTCCTTTTTAGGTTCACCGAGTCACTTGAAATTTCAGCTAGTCTCATGACTATCCACTAATAATTGCTGCGTTTATGGCCTCAGCCCAGGCTTCCCTGTGCACTCCACACTCCATATCTAAATGCCCACTTGGCATCTCCATTTAGCTAACAGGCATCTCAATTTCAACTTGCCTAAAACTACCCTCCTGATCTTTCCCCTGAAACCTGCTTTGCCTACAGTACTGTCCATCTCCGTTTGGAACAATGCCATCCTTCTGGGCAGTAAAACCGAAAAAATCTGAAAGCCACCTTTGGTTCCTTTCTGTTCCATCAACATATCCTTCAAAATCTATTCAGGAACTAAACACTTATTGCCACTTCTCCAAACAACCACCATCCCTCATCTAACTATCTAAATTACTCACCAGCCTCTTCACGGGTTTCCCTGCCTCTGCCCTGGTTCCCCTTTAATGTATTTTCAGTGCAAAGACCAGAGTGATCCTGCTGAAATGTTAAATCAGACCTTAGCAATTATCTTTGCCAAACTTTCCCATCCCACTCTCAGTAAAAGCCAACCATAAAGATGGCCAGGCCCTTAGGCTCTGCCCCCTCGAGCTCCCTGACCTCACCTGTGACCACTTTCCCTCCTTCATTCCACAGTTCATTCCATGGCTGCACAGGCATGTGTGCTGTTCCCTCTGCCTGGCAGGTTCTTCCTGCAGGCACTCGCACGGCTGCCTCTGGGCAGCCGCCCTTGGCCTCACTCACCCCATTGTGTTGAAGTCGTCGTCAGGGGGCACGTAGTCCTCGTCATCACTGGTCAGGCCCAATTCGTTCCCATAGCACTGGTGAACAAAGTGCCAGAGCTCCTTGGGACACAGAGGCTTCAGGGGAGAAAAGGAACGACTGAGCCTTGCTCCCTCAGGTCCCCCGACTCTGCACAGAGGCACTGAGCCGGGCTGGTTCCCCTGGAGAAGAGGAGAAACTCCTCTCTCCTTAGCTGAATGAGAGGCGAGCCACCACCCCCATCTGCCTTGGGGGTCTCAGCAGGACACCAGTCTTCTGCCTAGGAATGTGGACTTTAACAAAGCCAGGAACTGGCCTTTCAGTGCCCAATCCCTCAACAGAGGTTTGTAGAACGTGACCAACTGGCTCCCAGAGGATGGTAACTGTCTCACCTTTTGCTCTTATGGAAAAGGTCCAGCACTGAGTGGCATAAACCCATGTGACTCTGGGGCCAAGGGGATCCCAGAGCTTCTGATTAGCACTCTGAATGAATGCCCAGAGGTCCCCTGACCCGGTGCCCCACCACACTGCACAGAAATCTCCTCTTGTATTAACTGTGGCCTTACAGACCCTACTGGATCACTTCCAAGAATGAGGTTCGACCTCAAAGGTGGCCCATTCCATAGCTGGACAGTTCCTATGGGTAGAGTCTTACGTTCCCACAGTTTTAGGAACCTTACAGGTCATCTCACCTAAGCGTGTGACTACCCAACCTGAGGTGGAATCTGTTTGCCTGCAGTTCTATGCATTAGTTCCAGTGTTTTCTTATTTCACCGGGTGCCTATGTGTCCTCCCAAAAAAACACTGTTCTAAGAAAAGTTTGTTCTCATTGGGTTCAGAGTCTCCAGAGAGAGGCAAAGGGATGTCAAAGAACTAAGATCAGAGGCAGAGACCATGAATGAGTCTCAGACTGGGAGGAAGGGGAGAAGGTGGCAGGGATAAGTGTGTGGAAAGGAGGGCAAGGGCATGAAGAAAAACAGAAGCAATCATTATCTTTAAAAAAAAAAATCCCATTTCAAAAATGTTTGCACCGATAGACTTCCTAAAGAATTTGGGTGCAGCACACCAACATGGCACATGTATACACATAGAACTAACCTGCACGTTGTGCACATGTACCCTAAAACTTAAAGTATAATAAAAAAATTTAAAAATATAAAAAATAAAAATTGAACAATATTCCATTGGGAGTAAAAATAACAATAATAATAATAATAATAATTTGAGAGCTCCCAAGCCCACAGTTTCAGGTATGGTTTAAGAAGCAGGCAGCTGGCAGAGTACAATGAGCTAGGATTCCAGCTTTCTGACTAAGGAGAAGTGCCTGGAATGGCAGATTTGGGGCCCTGACTCTAGGCTGGCAGAGTTGGGGGCCGCAGCTCTCTATGCTGGACCTCATAGTGCCTGAGGGAGGTATCACCTCCTTCTCTCCTGGACCTCCCCCTCCTATCTCTGGCCTTTATGTGCAACATCCACCCTGCCTGGGACAACATTCACCCTGCCTGGGACACATCTGCCTCTCTGCCAAACCATATACTGCCCTGCTCCACCCTTTGCTTGCTCTCTGCAGACTTCTCTGACCAGCGCCACCTGGCTTGGCTTGGCCAACCACGATCAGGACAAGCACAGTTAGCAGACTCTCCTCGGCAGGCCCAATTCTTACAATTATTTGTGAGGGCATTTGCGAAGCATATGAATGACCCTGTGTCTTACTTAAAAATGACAGCAGCTGTGAACTGAAAACTCAAACCTGCCAGTAGAGACTAAAACACATAATCATTTTACTATTACTGATGGCAAGTGAAGGCAGAGGACCACAGCTCAAATAAGTTATCAGGAGTGATACTAGGGGTACAGACTCTCAGAAGAGAAGAAACTCTAAATAATAAATCCACTCAATTTTCTTATGCAGCCATTTGTTTGGGCTAGAGTCAAGGCCAATATATGTATATATTTAAATACACCCATGTCAATCATACACACACACACACACACACACACACACACATAAAAATTAATCCTGGGGGAAACATTATGTGTGTGTGTCGGTGCGTTTTCTCCTACATCTCTTTCTCTGGCTTGGAGACAGTTTCTCAACATCCAACTGCATCTGAGTGGGAACTTTTTTTTTTTTTAATTGAAACAGGGTCTTGCTCTGTCATCCAGGCTGGAATGCAGTGGCGCAATCACAGCTCACTGCATGAAGGGGTGGCTTCATCTGTGTCTCTTCATAGTTTCATTTAAACACTCAACTAGTCAATTCGTGGTGGCTGTGTTAACTACATTTTCTGTACTTTAAGTTGTGGCATCTGGGGCCTTGCTGACTGGGGAGGGACCCATCAGGGTTAGCTAATTCCTAGAGAGAGGAAATAACTCATCCAGGAGTGGGCCTTTCATAGTAGCCAGCCCATCCAAGGCTCATATTCCCACCCTCCCCATTCTCTATTATAGCTTCCAAGCTTCCAGGCAACTTAAGACAGTCCCTACACCTGCAGCCTGCCAAAATTATTCAAACTAGCCAATCCTAGACCTGCTCGGCCTGCTTGCCCTGCCTCCCCTACTCCTTCCTGCAAAAACTACAATAAAGGCTCTGCCCACTTCTTCCCCTTTCCCTTTCCATCTCCTGACTGACCCTGGTGCTTCCCTGGTGGCCCTCATCCTGCTGTGCTTCCTATTTCTGGGGGTCTGTGAATTTAAGGACTTCTTTCTTCAGGGCTGCATGCATTACCATAACTGATTAGAGAAAATCCTGAGACATTTCAAAGCAGTGGAACTGAAGCCCCTGAAGACAATGAGTGCCTTACTCCTGGGGGTGTTGAGGCCATTCGTGGGAGATTATATGCTACTTTCAGGACTCAGGCCAATACCATCAGTGGGAGAATACTATCAGTGGGGGATTCCCAGAACCCTGAGGAGACAAAGGCTTCTCTAGAGATAGCCAGTCCCACAGTAAAAGCAAACTCGGCCGTACTTACCTTTTCAAGGAGAGCATTCTGCCAGAGCCGGAACATCATCATATATGTCCTATCCCGGGCCCCAAACGAAGTGAAGAAGTGCTAGATTGGAAAAGAAAATAACAATAAATATCTGTTGAGTTACAATATAATTAAGAGGGACATGGTCCTCCATCCTTTAAGAAAAGATACTGACTTCATCCTCAAACACTAATGACTCTCAGTTACCTGTGATCACGTACATCCGCTTTAGTGATGGGGTCAGCACACCAGAGGCCTGGGTACCTGATACTGTTAAGTTCCCAGTGTGACAAAGTCCTTCCACTCTTACCCACACTTTCCTCAGTGCTTTTCTCCCTGTTTTGAAATTCTCATCTCCATAAGAAATGTCCCTCACCCACCTACTGGAACTGGGTAAGGGGTGAGCTATGAACTAGCCTAAATGGAAGGACAAGACAAACCCACAATCTACTAATCTGCCGACCTATTTCATTCATTCAACAAATATTTGAGTATTAGTATGTATTAGGCACTAATCTACATGTGTGAGGGACAAGAAACAACACAGAAAGAGATCCTGCTCTTGTGGAGTTTACCCATTAAACAGACAGAAAGAAAGTAATGAAGATTTTACTGATCAACCACAAGGTGGTCCACAAATGCTATTTCACTTAAACCACACAAAAAGCCTTAGATAATAAACAAAGCTGACAACTAATAAAGGGTAACAGGCTGTTGAGGTTAGGCAACTTGTATAATCAAGAAGCTGGTTAGTGTCCAAAATATAGGTCAAACCAGGCAGAGCGCCATGGCTTACGCCTGTAATCCCAACACTTTGGGAGGCCGAGGTGGGTGGATCACCTGAGGTCAGGAGTTCGAGATCAGCCTGGCCAACATGGCGAAACCCTGCCTCTACTAAAAATACAAAAATTAGCCAGGCGTGGTGGTGAGTGCCTGTAATCTCAGCTATTCCGGAGGCTGAGGCACAAGAATCACCTGAACCCAGAAGGCAGAGGTTGTAGTGAGCCAAGATAGTGCTACTGCACTCCAGCCTGGGTGACAGAGTGAGACTGCGCCTCAAAAAACAGCAACAACGAGAGGCCGTGGTGAAGGGAAGATGGAGACAATACTGGAGCAGCAGCAGTGCTATCATGAGGAGAAGGAATGGCTCATGGATGTCATGGCCAAAGAGATGCTCACTAAAAAGTCCATGCTCTGGGACCAGATCAATTCTGATCACTGCACTCGGGCCACGCAAGATAGGTATATGGAGGTCAGTGGGAACCCAAGGGATTTGTATGATGATAAGGATGGATTACGAAAGGAGGAGCTCGGTGCCATTTCAGGACCCAAGGAATTTTCTGATTTCTGTAACAGACTCAAGCAAATAAAGGAATTCCACCGGAAGCACCCAAATGAGATCTATGTGGCAATGTCAGTGGAATTTGAGGAGCTCCTGAAGGCTCGAGAGAATCCAAGTGAAGAGGCACAAAACTCGGTGGAGTTCACAGATGAAGAGGGATATGGTCGTTACCTCGATCTCCATGACTGTTGCCTCAAGTACATTAACCTGAAGGCATCTGAGAAGCTGGATTATATCACATACCTGTCCATCTTAGACCAATTATTTGACATTCCTAAAGACAGGAGGAATGCAGAGCATAAGAGATACCTAGAGATGCTGCTTGAGTACCTTCAGGATTACACAGATAGAGTGAAGCCTCTCCAAGATCAGAATGAACTTTCTGGGAAGATTCAGGCTGAATTTGAGAAGAAATGGGAGAATGGGATCTTTCCTGGATGGCCGAAAGAGACAAGCAGTGCTCTGACGCAGGCTGGAGCCCATCTTGACCTCTCTGCATTCTCCTCCTGGGAGGAGTTGGCCTCTCTGGGTTTGGACAGATTGAAATCCGCTCTCTTAGCTTTAGGACTGAAATGTGGCAGGATCCCAGAAGAGCGAGCCCAGAGACTATTCAGCACCAAAGGAAAGTCCCTAGAGTCACTTGATACCTCTTTGTTTGCCAAAAATCCCAAGTCAAAGGGCACCAAGTAAGACACTGAGAGGAACAAAGACATTGCTTTTCTAGAAGCCCAAATCTATGAATACGTAGAGATTCTCGGAGAACAGCGACATCTCACTCATGAAAATGTACAACGCGAGCAAGCAAGGACAGGAGAAGAGCGAGAGGAAGACGAAAAAGAGCAAATCAGTGAGAGTTAGAGTGAAGATGAAGAGAACGAGATCATTTACAACCCCAAAAACCTGCCACTTGGCCACTTGGCAAACCCATTCCCTACTGGCTGTATATGCTTCATGGCCTAAATATCAACTACAACTGTGAGATCTGTGGAAACTACACCTACCGAGGACCCAAAGCCTTCCAGCGGCACTTTGCTGAATGGCATCATGCTCATGGCATGGCATGAGGTGTTTGGGCATCCCAAACACTGCTCACTTTGCTAATGTGACACAGATTAAAGATGCTGTCTCCTTGTGGGCCAAACTGAAATTGCAGAAGGCTTCAGAATGATGGCAGCCTGACACTGAGGAAGAATATGAAGACTCAAGTGGGAATGCTGTGAATAAGAAGACATATGAGGATCTGAAAAAACAAGGACTGCTCTAGTGTTCAGGGATGTAGCTCAGCTTTGGGGCTAGCCCAGGCTTCCCTGAGATCTGCTTGTTCTATTTCTCCCAACCAAATCCTCTTAAAGACCTTTTGCTACTTAGTTTCATGGTCTAGCATGCAACTTGTAGAAACAAGGCAGGCTGGCAGAATGCAGGTTTGAGATGTGTTTTATGTTTTATATTTAAAAAGATTCTGCAAGAAAATAAAACCAGACCTTGTTCTGAAGCCCAGGGTTATGGACTAACTCAGTGCGTCTGGTCTTAATGCCTCCATACCTCTTTCTCACCAACTTCAGAAGTAGCTGAGATTTAATGGGCACCTGTTATGCTACACATCATGGCAGGTAAATCTGACCTGAGCTCTTTCCCCACCCTCCTTTGTTGCTACTTCCCTGAATGAGTATTACCCCAGGATGAGGTCTGCCATCAGCTTAGTTAGCCATTGATGCAAATACTAGGGAAAGACTAGGAGGATGAGCCAGGGCTGCTACTAAGGACTAAGTGTGGCACCAAGGTTTGCCTTTATAGTTCCATAAAGAAAGGAGTTGGAGCTGGGTGCAGTGGCTTGTGCCTATAGTCCCAGCTACTTGGGAGGCTGAGGCAGGAGGGTTGCTTGAGAACCAGCCTAGGTAACATAGTGAGAGCCTGTCTCTTAAAAAAAAAAAAAAAAAAAAAAAAAAAAAAGGCATAGTGGCATGCACTGTAGTCCCAGCTACTAAGGAGGCTGAGGCTAGAGGATCCTTTGAGCCTAGGAGTTTGAGACCAGCCTAGGAGATATAGTGAGGCCCCATCTCAAAAAAAAAAAAAAAAAGGAGTTGGACTCTTTGGAATTGGCCTGCAGCCCAACATACAATGGAACTAGGACCAGCAGTCACTTCACCTGCTTGCTAGGTCAGAATGAGAGACTTTGATGGGTCTGTCTACCTGTTTCTTCTACAAGATCCCTATGACTGTAAAAGTAGCTAATATTCACATGTTCTCCAAGCCCAGGTAGCCATGGTAGAGTTGGGTAGAGTTGAGCAGCTGCCCCAGGATCCAAATCTAGTGTCTGAAATGGAAAGAACTAGGGCAGCCCAGGAAGGCACTGATCTGCCTTATAAGCACAGTCATCTGAAAGTCAGGCCTGCTGCAGGACAGGATCCCCCAGAGGCCCCATTTGCCTCTCAACACTCAGGCCTTCAATTGTTTTTTAATAATCTACTTAAAACAAAAACAAAAGCAAAAAACAACAACAACAACAAATATAGGTCAAACCAAACACTATCTGACCCCAAAGCCTCCTGGCTCTTGCCACTGAACTGCCTGAGTCCAAGGGAACTGTAAACTTGGCCTTCAGCAGAAACCCAGTCTACCCCTAGCCTTGAACCTCTTCATCTTCAGGCTCTAGTGAAAAGTTTGTTCTGTCCTGAATTTTATCCAACGTATTCTCCCCATACTGATAAGGACAATCCATTTTCTATCAGACTCCCCATCCTCTTGAGAGATAATCAGCTAAGCTGATACATAATGACGACTTCTTAACATTTGTATACTGCTTTACAATTTTCATATATGTTTTCATATATGTGATATTATTTCAAGACTGTGTTAAATAGGTATTGCTGGCTCCATTTTGCAGGTGAAAAACTTAGGCTTAGAGATATTACCCAACACGCTTACTGTCGATGGACTCAAATTCAGGTATTCTGGCTCCAGGTCCAATGTTTGGCCACTCTATCCTCCCGCTGCTCAGCCTCCCCCAGCCTGTCCACCCAGGAGGTGCTTCCTGGAATCTGCATCGCCCTTAGCGCCTCTCATCCCAATCCTATTGGCTTCCACATTCATGCGATTCAAGAAAGGGCAGAAATACAAGAGTAGGAGGAGTAAGGGAGGATTAGAAAGGCCAGAGTTAGACTCCACTTACCTTTTCTGAATCAGTGCAAACTTGGATGGCATTGGGAATGAGGCGAGCTGTTTTTTCTTTAGTCATGGAACAGATGTCTTTCAAACGGACTGTCAGCTGGCATCCAAGAGGACAGAGAATGGGCAACAAGCAAAGTGGGGCATTAGTAAGTCAGGTAAACAGTGTTCAGGGGGCGCCAGTGTAGACAGAGGCAATCAGATCACATATTTATAACCCTGGAAGAGGCCGCATTGGTGATCATCTGGTTTACCCCTTTATTTCACAGTGGGCAGACAGCAAAGTGGGGACTGAGCCTTGTCTACAGCCATGAGTATCTTGATTCTTGGGCAAAGAGCTTTCTAATTTCTATACAGTCTGCTAAATGTGCAGAGGTCCTGCCATTATTTGCCACTTACAGAAACACAGAATATTGGTGCAGGATGTGGCCATATAAATCATCTAGTTAGGCTGGGCACAGGGCTCACATCTGTAATCACAGCACTTTGGGAGGCGGAGGCGGGCGGATCACCTGAGGTCGGCAGTTCAAGACCAGCCTGACCAACATGGAGAAACCCCGTCTCTACTTAAAAAATACAAAATTAGCGGGCGTGGTGGCGCATGCCTGTAATCCCAGCTACTCGGGAGGCTGAGGCAGGAGAATCGCTTGAACCCAGGGGCTGGGGGCAGGGGCGGAGGTTGCAGGGAGCCAAGATTCTGCCATTGTACTCCAGCCTGGGCAACAAGAGTGAAACTCTGTTTAAAAAAAAAAAAAATCATCTAGTTAATCTTTCTCTTCCTTAGTATACGAGATGAGGAAATAGAGGCAAAGAAAGGACTAGCCTAAAATCACACCGCTGATTAGTTACAGAACCCAGAAATTGTGCAAGCCGGTTCTTTAAAGTCCCAAGGCCAAAGCCCTTTCTACTTGACTATGCCTCCTCCTGCAGTCACTCATGCCAAATATTTGCCTGCATTTGACAAAAGCAAATGTTCCCAGTCCTCTCTTCCACACCCAAAGGGGAGGGAGGGAGGGGAAGACATGGCAGAGGAGACCTGATTATTGGGACTTAGAATTGAATATCTTTCAAGACTCAGGCATGCTTTTGTTAATTACGCAAAGGCTTGGGAAGAGCATGAAGTCAGCAAAAGGAAGAAAGCGAGGGCAGCTTGCTCAGCCATAGCCAAGGAGACAGCCCAAGGGAGCATGCCCAGGTCTTTACCAGAGTTTCCCAGCGGAAGATGTTGCTGTAGAAGCAGATCCAATTTTCAGAGAGGTAGAGTCGGCCCTGAAGGAGAATGTCTCTTTGGAGTGCACATGAGTAATCTGTGGTAGGAGCGGAGGTAGGGGAGCTCAGAGGCAGGAAGCATTTTCGGCAAACCACTGCAGAGTAGGCATGTCATCCCTCCCACCAGCACTGGGGGAGCCCAATGCCCACCACGGACAAGGGGTGCCAGACACTTGAACTAGCAGCCAAGGAAGTCCCTACCATCTCATGATGAGGAGCATAAAGGTGGTGTGATGTGCAACTGCCTAGAGGCAGATAAATAAATGTGAAGGCAAAGTGGGCCAAGGAAGCAAGAGGTGGAAAAGACCAACAAAATTCAACTAACTTCCCTCCCCAGTCCACAACTATGCTAACCCCTTCTGCCACTGGGCCAACTGCAGAGATAAAAATGCCAGTGACTCACTCCAGGTTGGGCTCTTGAGGCTGCCACAAGCCTGATACTCAGCCTCGAGCCCTGACAGCTGGGGCCAGGGGTCTGGACAGCCTCTCTCCCTGTTCCCTTGCTTACCTGGGTTGGCTTGAGGCCTCTAGAGAGAAGCACCCTGAGTGCTATGCCGGGGGCTCCCCAGACTTCCTTCCCATCCCCTCCCAGGTCACCCAACTCACCAACAATGAGGCGCTCCGTGTCTGGAAGCTGCTTAAAGAGCTTTCTGAAGTCTTCATTTCTCTGCTTGTAGGTGGGGCTTAACACCTGCGTGACAATAGCCAAGGTTAGTAGGATGTACCCCGGTTCTGTGGGGTTAGGAAGGAAGGGCAAGATGAGGAGCACTTGCTTGTGTGTTTAAAAAGCAAAGATGAGGCTCTGCCCTCCCACAGACCCTAGGAGGCCAGGCTGAGGAACGGCGCCTCGGTGTGGAGAAACACAGTGGGGAGAATCTGGTGCTGGGAAACACTATGCAGCCAGGGCCTCCACCAGTGAGAAATGCCAGACACAGCAAGGAGGGGCTCTCGTTATATCCCGTAAGAGAAAGGAAGGAGGGACACCTCCAGGGTGCTTCCTGGTATCCACCATGCCAGCTACTGCTGTTCTGCCTTCTGCCAGCACCACCTTGACAGTGAAGCAGGGACCCAAGAAGGCTGCCCAGCCCCCCATGATGTTGCCCAGAGCACCTCTCAGAAGAAGGTGTTGTCGTGATTATCAGAGTGAGCACTTGGCTGTGTGGGAAAGACATGATTTTCTAAGAAATCACATAAAACCAGTACTGCAATAAGCGCAGAGATAGAGAATTAAAAAAACACAACGGGCACACGAGAGGCATCCAACTCCCCTCTCCATCCTTACATTATCTAAACCAATCCTTACAGCATCAAGGAAGAGACCAAGGCCAGAGAGAAGCCCCCTGCCCCAGGTCCTCAGCTGGTCAGTGTCAGATCTCATGACCCCTGGTCCTGTGCTCACTTCCCCCCACTGCAACATGATACCCAGAAACTGCCTTAGCAAATCCTCCTTGGAAATCCCATGAGCCAGCTGAATACACAGAAATCCTGCCCTTTGAGGGCTTACAATCTTGTTTGTTTGTTTGTTTGTTTGTTTGTTTGTTTAGACAGAGTCTCGCTCTGTCACCCAGGCTGGAGTGCAGTGGTGTGATCTCGGCTCACTGCAACCTCCACCTCCCGGGTTCAAGCGATTCTCCTGCCTCAGCCTCCCGAGTAGCTGGGACTACAGGTATGTGCCACCTCTCCCGGCTAATTTTTGTATTTTTACTAGAGATGGGGTTTCGCCATATTGGCCAGGCTGGTCTCAAACTCCTGACCTCAAGTGATCCACCCACCTCGGCCTCCCAGAGTGCTGGGATTACAGGAGTGAGCCACCGCGCCCGACCCGAGGGCTTACAATCTTAAATTTAAAAAATAAAATAAAAAAGAAACTAAAAAGAAAATACGTGCCCACAAATGAGGAGCACCGGGGGTGACAGATGAAATCAAGTGCAAAACCTGGGACGAGCCACGCACGGCCAAACGGAGACACCCACACTCCACCTGTGATGCACTGACTACCTACACAGAGACAGCACTGCTGACCCTCAGCCTAGGGTGTAGCCAATGGCTACAAAAACAAAACAAAACGACAACAACAAAAAACTTAGAAAACAACATTCCTCTGGCCCCTATATTAGTTTCAAACTGGCACTGAGATATGGAATCAAGATGGCCCCCTAGCCTCTTAGAACAGAGTCCACACACTGAAAACCCCAGCTTGACCACCTGATCGCCAGTGAGTTCTCATTATGCCTAACTGACCTTCTAGAGCTGCTATGTGGCTAACATGGAGTTATCATCACCTACCAAGCACAGCCATAAGCCATGTGCATGTGGCACTGCATCAGACCCCAGATTATTTTTATTATCCCATTTTGCACTTGAGGAAATTGAGAAACAGAGAAGTTAAGCAACTTGGAGTGGAATATGAGTGAGGCAGTCTGACTCAGTGCTGTCTGAGCCCCTACTCTGTGCTGCCTCTGGAGGGTAACTGCTCCTGGTCCTCCTGCCAAGAGGAAGCAGAAGGGCTTCCCCAAAAGAGCACACTCCCTTGAGAATGAGATATTTACCTGCTTTGCGGCCCCTGCTAGCCTTCCAAGCCCTCTACTAGGTCTTCATACTTACAGAGTTCCAGTGTCAGCCTGAGGAGCAGCCGACCAGGAGACCCCAAACACACTTCAGGTGAAACCGGATGTCAGGCCTCCAACCCCCTGAAGCCCCAAGTCTTCCTATTTCTAATTTCCTGTCCTAGTGCCTTCTCCCCCTTGCTTCTCACATATCCAGTAATAGCTCAGGTATCCACAGAGGTGGAGGTACAGGGCGTTTGGCCACCATCTCCAACCCGCAGGCAAATCGAGGGGGCCGCTACTTTCCTTAAAACAAAGCTGTAGCAGTGGCAGGGAGAGGGGAGAGTGAATCCAGCCCTGGCCTGCTAAGTCAGCCAGTCTGGAAACTCCTTTATCCAGGCTTCCCAACACAAGCCTATTCCACAAGGCTGTTGTGTGCATGGCAGGCTCATCAGTTGGGCATGCTGGGCCTGCCACCATGCAGCCTCTCGAAGCCAGGGACCCCAGCCCTCTCCCTCCTCCACCCCCAAAGGCGGGGCCTGGCTCACCTATTTCAATTTAAAATGGTCAAATAATTTCGGTTCCAAGATTGTCAAATCTGGGGCCTTCGGGTAGGAGAGCCAAGTGGCATAACAAGGGTGCAGAACTACCACAGAGACTCAGAGAAACTGAGTCACACACTCACGGCTGGGATTTCCTCAGATCCGTGCCAGCAACGGTGTTCAGCGGCAGCAGGTGCATGGCCAAGCTGCTTCAGGTACCACTGCAGCAGCTGGCTCTCCTGCTCCAGCAGAAGGCTCCAGAGGACCCCCGACTCCGTCAGTGATTCCATTGCCCAGCACGGCTGCCCCTCCCAACGACGCCTGGCTCCCTGAGCACTGACTCCCGACTGTCCCCACACGATGAAAACAACTGGTCTCCCCTGGCTTGACTGTGGATGGGTGGCCTCTGGTTTCTCAGCAGAGGGCCTGTGTGACTCTGACAGGTGTCCTTTCTGCTCCTAGAGCTGCATGCCCAGCATGAAGCTTCACAAGTGAGCCGAGGTGGTCAGCGTGGTTCTCAGGACAAGCTGGCCAGCCAGTCTCCCATGGCGGGCTCTGCTTTCTTCTCGGCTGGTCCACGGGCAGAGAGTAGCCCAGAGGTGGTGTGGTCACGCACCTCCACCTGGTCAGTGCAGACAGTCACCCCAAGGGTCCAGAGGATGCAGATGGCATGGCAGGTGCCCAGGGCCAGCTGGAGGTCCGGGAGGCAGGCCCCTGGGTGGACAAGCAGATTCTGCAGGACAAGGATGATCCACAGCCGGGTCCAGGGTCTAACCCCGCCAGTCACTTAGACGCAGCAGAGTGACTCATCGTTGGTCTGAAACTCCAGCAAAGGAACCGAATGCCCAGCTCCCCAGTCCTGGTCTGTCCCACAGAGTGGCACGTTTAATCAACCTCTACCCTGGGCGGGCACTGGACTATGACTCACAGCCCTCACCCAGGCAGAGCAGCCACCACTGGCTGCAGCAACAGGGCCTGCTCTCAACCCCAGCCCAACACACACCCCTTTCCTCAGCCCCTGCTCTGCTCGCCTGACCAGCAAACAGCTTCTTTGTTAGAGTCACCCGTGGCAGAGAGGGAGGGAAGAAGGGAGGCAGGGCAGGTGGGTGGGAAGAGCTGGGCCCTACACATGCTTCAAGTTACAGGATCTGGGTGATGGTCCCGGCCAATGTCCTCCAGTAACCCCCAGCTGAGCCTGGCCTCCCCAGCAGATGTTTCCTGCAATGGAAAGTTGCTGGCCAGGGCTCCACATGGAGGCGTGGAGTAGGGAGGGGAGGTGGCAGGGCACTGCTGTTAGGATGAAATCTGAAATGTGAGACTCAAGTTGCCAGGGACTTCTTGGAGACACTCTCACACCTCACCAACCCATCCATCCGCCAACTTCCCCAAAGCAGCAGTAGCAGCCTGGGGATTTTGCTGATCCAGTTTCAGACACGCTGGTGGTGGAGACGCTGAGATCAACAGCTTCGGGATCTGTCTGAGGCACCCTCTTCCTTCCCATGGACCCTATACAACCTTCAGCATTAGCAAGAGGGGGACCAAGCCCAAAAAGACCGTCAGATCTTCAGGTCAAAGTAGCAATACTAAAAGCACAGATTTTGGTCCTCAAAGCAGCAAAATCCAGGGAAATGAAAGCCAGGCCAATGGGGCAAGAAAGCCTCCAGACCAAGAAGCTAGGGACAGGGATGAGACAGCAGTGGGGTGGGGAAGATGTGGATTCCCAGGAAAAGTCAGACCCTTAAAACAAATGGGGCTGCTCCCTCACTCTCCCCAGCTCTGCCACCTTGCCAGGAGGGTCTTGGCCCGCATAGGATTAGGAATGGTGCTTTTGTCTTAGGAGTCTTGGTAATTTAATACAGCAGCCCCCAAACTTTACTGTACTTCAAAATGGCCCAGTGAACACATGTAAAAACGTAGATTCCAGGCTGGGCACAGTGGCTCGTGCTTGTAATCCCAGCACTTTGGGAAGCCAATTCGGACGGATCACTTTAGGTCAGGAGTGTGAGACCAGCCTGGCCAACATAGTGAAACCCCGTCTCTACTACAAATATATATATATATATATATATAAAAATTAGCCACACATGGTGGCAGGTGTCTGTAATCCCAGCTACTCAGGAGGCTGAGGCAGGAGAATTGCTCGAACCTCAGAGGTGGAGGTTGCAGTGAGCGGAGATCGCACCACTGCACTCCAGCCTGGGCGGCAGAGAGAGACTCTCAAAAAAAGTAGATTCCAAAGACGCTAATTTAAAGGAACCTGGATTCTCCCAGGTAAACAGTGTTGGAGAAAGTAGAAGAGTCTGACTCCTCCTGCAAACCCTCCCCTAACAAACTCCTACAACCCTCTCTAGATGGACACCCCACGGATGCAGACGCAGCTCTCCATTCATGGTGTAGCATGTCTCACTCTGTCTGAAGGACACCTCCAGGAAGGATCTATGCCTCAAACAGGTTCATATCTTCTACTGCACTTGCCGTGATATGTTTCAAGGACAGGTTGAGCATCCCTAATCTGAAAACATGAAACCCTTTGAGCCCCAACATGATGCCGCAAGCAGAAGACTCCACACCTGACCTCACGTGACACGCTGCTCATGTGACACATTCCGGTCACAAACAAAGGTTTGTAGGAATGGAACACAGTCAGCACTTTTCTTTGTGCATAAAATTATTTAAAATATTATATAAAATTATCCTCAGGCTATATGTATAAGGGATATAGGAAATAAATTTGGTGTTTAGACTTGGGTCCCAAGATATCTCATTATATATATATGCAAATATTCCAAAATCCAAAAAAATCAGAAATCCAAAACACATCTGATCCCAAACATTTTGGATAAGGGATACTGTATCAGGTGCTAAGAAAGTATTTACCAAGTGAATGCATTCCTTATCTACCTCTCAAAGGATGCCTGTTGACACTGCATCTTACATGTACACACGAAGATCCCTGATTCTATATGCTTGGCGTGTCAGTACCTGGTTGCTGCCAACACTCTCCCCAGCACACGTGCAAACTTCTCTTCGCCCTGCATGTCAGCCCTATCCCGAGCAGCGTGGCAGGCAAACGTAGCAAGTCCATTTTCCAAGGTGATCAGAATGCCTCCCTTGGGGTGACACCAGACCCCAGTATGTAGGCTGTAGGTAGCTCCAGGAGGCTCTGGATCCTTACAGTAACTACCCAAAAACATTTGAGTATTGCTACAGGCCAAGTGGCTGCCTGAGCTGTAAGGGGTGAGATAGAGACAGGATACGCCCTGTGAGATAAAGCCCTGGGAGATGAGTCCCGTACGCAGAAGGCTTTGTCTCCCCCACACCCATGCCAAGGGCTGGGCAGGGCTGGGTGAGAGCCAGCAGAGAACGAATTGACCCTGGGCTAAACATTAACTCTACGGCAAACACCAGGAGCTGGGACCAAGTGGTACCCTCTTCCCAGGGATGGCGAGAAGGAGGGGGTGGAGGAGCCCAGGAGAAAACAGATGGATTTCGGTGGGGCATTGATCTCAGCTAGGAAGAAACCAGTTAAGATCCACACAGGAAACTCTGACCTTACAGCCAAATCTGGATAGGCAGAAGGCAGAGTGGGACGGGAGACGAGGACGTAACTGAGCAAAGGAGGGAAAGGGAGACTGAGGCAGGCATGGGGGCTATGGAGAAGGGTAGAGAAGGGGTGGGGCTGGGCTGGGCTGGGGGCTCATCTGAAAAACTCAGGAAGGGAGGCAGGAAGACCCTTCAAGTTGGGAGTAAATAGAGAGGGGAGACAGACAGAGGAGGAGGAGCAGTGTCAGTCCTGGAGCAACACCAGGTTCGAGGCAGGTCTCCTACCCTCTCCGCTGCCCAACCCCAACACCCTGGATTCCATTCCTACAAACCTTTGTTCTTTTGCTTTCTCGCTTGTGCCAGCCACTCCCCAGGCTTGGCACTATCCCTCCCTCTCCTCCACAAAGCTGCAGCCCTAACTGCAGGTGCTTCAGGCAAGCAGGGTGCTAAGTCTCAGGCGGCTGCCAGGGTCTGGGCTCCTGTGCTCTGATCTCAGAAATGCTCCTTCTGGGGCTGCCATGGAGAAGACTGCCCGCAGGAATGCGCCAGGAGGCCAAGGAAGGAAACCCCTGTGATGTTATGCCCCGTTGGGGGCTGAGGGGGAGTAAATTTCACCCCTCTTGCCCCAGTGGCCCTGGCCAGGTTGCCCCTCAACTCTGCCCTTGGCTCCCTGCTGAAGGCAAAACCCTATTTCTGCTTTTCCCTCCATCTCATGTCTACTAGGGCAGCTCCCTTGATCTGAAGGCCCTGATGAATATGACTGGGGTGGTAGACTGGGGCTTCGGGGGTAAGGAGGAGTACATATAATTGGGCATGGGAGGACTCAGGGCACCTGTAGATGGCACTGCCTTCAAACCCCACTCTGGACCTGACACTCTCCTGCTATGGCCTCTCCCTGTGTCCCTGGGGTCCAGCCACTTGCCTCCGCATGACTCACTCTTTAGACCAAGCATGTCTGTCATCATGGCAATGGCTCCTCCCTGGCTGGTCATGTCAAAGGAAATGCTTTTGTCTTCTGCAGAGAGGCAGCAGGTGAAGGGGAGGCTGGGGCATGGACTGGTTGGTGGCTGGGCTTTTCCCACCAGACCCAGGCTGCTCCAGTGGGCCTGAATGCTCTTGCCACTATCAGCGATTCTGCAGGGCACTGGCCCTCACTGCCCTGACTCCAGCCAGGGGTTTCCTAAGCATCCCCAGGGCTGGGCGTTACAATGCCTTTACCTATCTGAAGGACGTCTAGTGTAACGAATGAGCCTCAGATATCAGAATGGCTGCAGCACTGACCCTGGGATCCGGAGAGAGGTTATAGAGGGACAGTCAGCAAAGCTGAGAAGGGGAGAGGGATCCTGCCTGAAGGGCAGATTCCAACCAGCCCAGCAGAGGCAAGGCAGGAAGGTGGAGCTCCCTGAAGGAACACAGAAAACCAGGTCAAAGCAGCAGGGGCAGGGCAAGGGCCTCCTGAAGAGGCGCAGATGACAGCTGTGGAGGGGTGCTGCGGAGAGGAGCTCGTTCAGCTGCAGCTCCTAAGGAGGCATCTGCACATGAAAGCACGGACATGAGCACTGCACACTGAAGGAGCAGGGTGCCCTGTCACCCGAGGGCGGACCCCCAGAGGGACCGCATGAGTCCAGGAGAGGACCGCCCCACACACTCCTCAGCAAAGAGCCCCTTGTGCGCTTGGCCTCTGAGAATGAATGATCTGAGCTAAGTGGAGAGTCAGGGATGTTTCTGTAATGCACTTGGGATGAGAGGGTGGAAGGTGAAAGGAGACAAGTGAGAATTAATAGAGGAAGAGGCAGGACAAGGCTGGGAAAAGAGAACATCTAGGAGGATGATGCAGAGTCGCTGAGGTCCAACAGCTTCTGCACAGACATGGTGCAGGTGGAACCATCAGAAAGCAGGACTCCGTCACGCCCAGCTCCTCCGCTGGCTCTCATATGTGTCATCCGAACCCCTGACTTCTGGCCCACCCCATCCTCCAGCCAAGAGACAGCATCTGCTTCTACCCCATCGCTATGCTGAGTACTCAGGCGGAGGCTAAGGGAGAAGGAAACAGGGGGAAAGGATGGCGGAAAGAAGGGGAGAAGTAAAGCCTGTTAGAATCAGACAGAGAGGGAAACCTAGCCGGGAGAATGGAAATCAGAGAAAGAAGCTAATGGTAGGAGATTAAAGGAAAGGAAAGGGGTGGAGTCAGAAAGCAAAGGGCTGAGAAGAATCCAAGGAAGCACAGGCTGAGACAAAACAAAAGTCTGAGCTAAAGAGCAATAAAAAGAGAAATGACAGATGAGAAGAGGAAGGAGATTAGCAACAAGGACAGGGGCTGGCCTGTCCAAACGGAGATGTCTGAACTAACAGGCCTGCAGCCACGTGGGTCCTGTTCCCCTATGGGGGCCTGAGTTTGTGCGATGCTGCTTAAAAAGGTGCAAGGGAGAGTTGAGTGAAGGATGCTGGGGTCCCCATGACAGCTGGGCTGCGGGTCGCTCCCAGGAAGCTCAGCACTCATCCCCCTCCCCTCTTCTGACGCCACAGGCCAGGAAACCTCCTAGAAGGTAAGGGGGTGGCTCAGAGATAGAAGTAGAGTGTGGCTTCTCTCCCACCCCAAGATACCTCAGCCCATAACTCTCTCCACAACTCAGCACAGCCCACCAAATTCTGCCTTGTTTGCGGTGCTGGGCAGGTGGCAGCCAAGGCTTGCAAATCAACAGCACCCAGGACGGGCTGGTCACTGGGCAGCAGGATGTTGGCAGCCACAGGGCTCGTGAGCACATGCCTGACTTTGAGGAACCGCCCAGCGCCAAGTAGGAAAACACACACAGCCCACACAATTGATCTGCAACCCTGTCCCTACATTAAACCCACACCTCTCCCCTCCAGCCCATCCCCTGGCCAGAGTACCCTCCTCAGCTCTGTCCTTCACAGCCACAGCTACTCCATGCCCATATCTCCTGCTGCAGCAGAACCTGGTGTGTCCGGGGAGGGGGCAAAGATGGCTTTCCCAGGATTCATCAGAGTTAGGTGTGAGGAGGGCAGGCTCAGAGAGGCAAAGAGGGTCATCTGAGGTCAGCCCCTCCACTGTGAAGTCCCCAAAGAGCAGAACACACGGCGGGGGCCAGCTGAGAGCCTCAGACAGCTGCTCTGCAGAGGAAAACGTCCAAATCCCACCACCCAGTTTGTGTGAGTGACAGGCGGTGGCCTCTGCCAGGCCTGCTTACCCCACAACAGTTTCTAGGTATGCAGCAGCTGCACAGGGCGCCCCAGGATGACCTAGACAGTGGCCCCACGCCACACCTTCACCACAGTCCCAAGCACCAGGAGGCCTTGTAGGAAGGGCACGCTTTTGCAGCTGTTGAAGGGGTACTTGGGACAGGGGTCAAATCCCAGCACATGGGTTGACTCTTCTATCAATGGGGGAAAGTTTTCTCGCTGCATTTGCCCCAAAATGTTAAGGGAAGAAAACTAAGTTCAGGCCCCCAGGCTGCCCCAGCACCAGAATTCTGTCAGGGTCTGGAATGGCCACTCCCTCCCTGACTGGTCTCCTCTTTTAGGGTTGACAGACCCTTGTCTAAGAGCCTAGGTGAGGCAGGGGATACAGCTGGCCACGCCTCCTTGGTCCCCTGAATGCAATCCTCCCTCCCCAAGGCTGCCCTGTCCTGCTGAAGAAAATAACCGCTGCAGCTGGTTTAGGAGCAAAGGGGCTGCCAAGGAAAGAAGCCCACAGGAAAGCCCAACCGCACCCCACACCCCTTCCCCCAACCTCCATTCCCCCTCCCATTTCTCAGGTACCCAACAAGAAGGGAAACAGGAATACTTACATTATACCAACTCTGGCTTTTCTGAAAAGAGAAAATGAAAGAGAAGGTAGAATTAGTCAGGGAAGAAATGGGGGGAAGGGCCAGGGGGAAGGGCACACAGACAGCGGAGGGTGGGCAGGGAGGAGGGGTCCAAATGCAGCTGAATGCTTCCCATGTGGTTGCTCAGGAGGGGTCCTCCTTTCTCAAGGCAGTTCCAGAAAGGAGGCCCGGGAGCAGTCCATGCTGGAAGCCCACCGCGGGCGGGGTGGCAGGCAGCGGCAGCACCAGCTAGAGCTCAACCGGAAGGGAGTCGGAGCCCCATCGCAAGGTTCTGATGGGGTGAGGGGCGCGCTGTGGGCATTGGAGACCCAGTCCCCAAATGGGCCCTGACCAGAAGCAAAATGCTGATGGCGGCCAACCCAGCCTTCTGCTCTAAGACAGCCCCCTGTAAAAGGCAGGGTGGGACACTTTCGAGGTAGAAAGGGGACTACCTAAAACTCCCTCCAACTGCACTCTCAGCAGGCGGGTGAGTAAATCCCTCCTGCGCCAAAAAATGGGCTGTACCTAAACTGCAATGGTCGGGGAGTGCCTGGGGGTTCTGCGTGGGGCAGGAGGTTGAAGCACATAATCACTAAGGGTCCATTCCAACCCAGTGGTGCCATAATTCAGAACAAGCAAAACAGACCCCACCCCAGCTCCAGAACTTAAGTGTTCTCCATTCCCAGACCCAGGAGGAAGGGGACCTGAATGTGTCTCAGGGGAACAGGAGGGATAGCTAAGATCGTGCCTTGTCTGTCTTCAAGCCCTATGGCCAGTAGTCCTTCATGTACATCCCCCTTGAAAGATAGATGGACACGCAGATAGACAAGCTTGTGTGCACATATACACACACATACTCATACACATACACGCACAAATACACAAGTACACACACATATACACAGACACACACACACACGCACACATACACACCACACACGTGCACACACACATACACACATGCACACGTGCACACCACACACATGCACACACATCCACACGTGCACACACACATTCACACACACCACACACACATGCACACACACATGCGCATGTGCACACACATTCACACAGACATGCACACATACACACCACACACGCACGAATACACGTACACACACATATACACAAACACATACACACCACCCACACATGCAGACATGCACAAATACATGTGCACATGCACACACACCACACATATACACACACATATACACACAGGCACATACATACACACAGAGACACACACATATACAGAGACACACATATATACACACATACATTCACACACATACACACGCACACACTTGCGCATGCACACACACACATGCCTAAGCTCCATCTCTCGGTGGAGCTTAGATTATTTTCAGTTTTAGGGATCGCTGGGTGGGGGAGCTTTGCTCACAGATCAATACCTTAGCTCCACCCAGAGGTCTGGATCCCCTCCACCTGGTGTTAAAGCGTCCCAACCCAGAAGGGCAGACAAGAGTAGCCATGGTCCTCGAATGTCTGCTGTGTCTAGAGGGAAGGAAGCGACTACGCACAAGGGTGGGTGTGTGCCCGCGGTGATGACCAGTGGCCATGTGATCTATCTCCCCCATTCCACCTGAACTCTGTAAAGACGGTCCACCTTCACCCCCCACAGTGAAACCAGTCCACAGAGGAGCTGGAGGGGGCTGAGGGGCCTCGCGTGGGTGGGGCTGCTTCTGAGCAGCTTCGTCCTCACACATGCCCTCGATGGCCAGGATGTGACTAGAGGCCAGTAGCAAGGCTCCCAGTCCCCCTCTGCAAGGTGCTCTCCAGGGTCACTTCCCAACCTGTCACCACGGTCCATCCAGAGGCCACACCCTCCCATCTTAGCCTCATCCCCACCTCCAATTCAGAGGTCTCAGCAGGTAAAGGGCCCAAATCCAAATATTAAAAACTATTTTTTCCTGACAAAGGTGCGGCCACATGGGAGTCCGGGACCTGAAAACTCGCCTCTAGGCATTGCAGCCAAGGCTACCCCCTTCTGGAGGGGGTGGATGGGGCAAGCAGGCTGCGTCTGGCGTCTGCGCCTAGGGATGGCTCACTTCCTGCGTCCTCACACAGAAGCCCTGATCCGAAGCCCACAGGGCAAGAGGCTGTGCAGATGTTCATTACAAAAGACACCTCCCAGCAGTAGGAAGGTGCGCTCTGGGAGCTGCCGGCCCCAGCAGCCCCACAGTCTCCTTGTGCTTCCTCAAATGCAACCCAGGTCACGAGATCCCTGCTTTACAACGGAGAAACCATCTCCCAAGCTCCCAGCTCCTCGTCTCAATGCCGTGACCTTCGTGTAAGACGCTGGGAGGAAAGGGGGCAACAGGAACATGGGCTGACAGGGGGACCCCGGATGCCTGTGACTCCTCCTGCACGGGGCTCCCTCCTGCCCCAGGTAGACAGAAGCAGATGGTCCCTTTGCATGGGCTGGCACATCGGCGCTTGTGCCTTCCAAATCTATGTGGAACAAAGTGTGAGGGTCACACACAGCCTCAGGCAGGGAAGCCAGTCCTGTCTTTAACCTGATCTGTGATGCTCTTATATCTAATGTTTGCTCTTTTGTAAAGCGTGGGTAAGAACATGTACTAAAGAACTGAAAAGAAACGTGAAACATACCAAGGAGTAGGACTGTGCTGAGGCTCTGCCCTGAACCAGCAATCTCCAGGCAGCTTCTTACCTGCTGCCACTGAGGGGCCACAGGAAAAATGGGTCCCCCCTCCAGCCACGTCCAAAGCAGCCCCCGAGCCTGTCCACTGTGGGCAGGGGTCCCTGAACTCTGCCCAGAGGCACATTCAATCCCCGTGGTTCTGCATTCCCGGAAATGAGTCCCAAAGGCTCTGCCAGACGGGAAGGACCCAGACCCACAGGGGCAGGGAAGTCAGAGGAGCTGCCGGCCTCTGGGGGTGAGAAGGGGCGTCCCTCATCCTCTGGCTTTAGTTTGCTGTAGCGCCCCTACCTGGAGGACCAGGCCAGAGGGAAGGAAGGCACAGAACCAGGGAGCAGCAGTGGAGCCTTCTCTGACAGCTTATAAACACATGGATTTGGCCAAAGAGGAAGAAGGGAGTCAGGACAAAGACACAGCTGTTGGGGACATGCTCGTTTCTATCATTTTTCCTAGAAGGTCTGAAGAGCAAGCACTTAAAGGAATGCAAGGCCCCTGGAAACAGACCCAGGTTACTGGGAGGTGGTTTCCAGAAACATCTCCCACCGCGAAGGCTCCGGGAGTCTGGAAGATTAAGTAAGGTGCGGGGTGTGGAGGAGGTAGGGGGGCAGGGACTAGGAGAGCTCTACATTTAGTAGGAGTTAGAAATAAAAAACAATTCTTACTTTGATCAGGTTAAGTCTGTCATACTGGAAAGAAAACCACAAAAATTAGATTTGAAAAAAAAAAAAAAGGAAAGTCAAAGAAGGGTCAGTGCCACAGCGCCAGCGCGATGCCCGCACCGCGGTGGGGAGGTGTGCAGCAGGGCGGGAGGAGGCGCGCTTTGCCGCACCTGCTGCATAGCGCCCTCAGGGCAGGTGGGAGAGCGGCAGAACGGCCCCTCGCTCCCTCTGGTGGCCACAGGCTGTCACTACAGAGCGGAAGCTGGGCGGTAGCACAAACTCATTGGGAGGGAAGTGCTGGGGCCGGACTGCACCTAGGAGGGTCGGCCTGGACAGCACAATGATGGATCCAGAGGGGTCGGGCCTTAGCGATCACCTGGTGCCATGCCTACATAGTAGCAAATGAGGAAACTGAGGCCCAGAGAAGGGAAGAAAGACACCGTGCATGGGACCTGACCCCAGGGAGAAGCAGAGGCACTGGCCAGCTTGCCCAAAAAATATAAGGCATGGTGTCCTCTAGGGGTGGCCAGGAGACAGGGAGTGAGGTGGACCAGCTACAACAATATCAGTAAAAACAGCTATGAAATGGCTTGCTGGGAAGACATGTGATTAACCCCAGAAGATGTTCCACGGGGAGGGGCATGTCCCCATCCCGCTACCAGAACCTCCTCTTTTTGCCGCACCATCTACTTCAGGCCCTGGCCTTCAAAGAACCTAATTCCCCTACTGGTTCTTGTGTTCCTCTTCTGAAGTCTGTGTGTCCTGCACATGCACGTCCCAGGCCAATGCAATGGCTCCCAGCTCCACGTGGGATGCTACAGTGTCCCTCCTGGCACAAGCCCGTCCTCTTTTAACTCCATTGAAAGGATGGCAGGGCAAGTGTCGATGGCAATGATCAGTGGGAGAATGAGGTGGGGAAGTGGGTAACCAATGTCAGAAAACTCAGAATGTGTCTGCCAGGGATGGGCATGGCGTCCACCCAATCTCCCAGGGGAAAGGAGACCTGCACTCACCCCAGCACCTCCCTCCTCAGTTCCTATGAAAAGGCCCAGTTTGGCCCCTGATTCCTGCTCAGCTCTCAGTCCCTTCATTATGTCTCCTTTTAGCATCTCCAAAACCCCACTCAGAATTCTACCTGGTCCCTGACGCCTGTCCTGGCTGCCCCACTCAAATGATTTATCCTACCTCGGAGCTTACAGAACATCCCCAACTACTCAAGAGCCAGGCTTAGGGTGTACAGAATCTGGATGGAAAAGTGTGCAGGAGCAGGGAGTGGGGAGCCTGATGCCCCTGTCAGGCCATATCCACCCTCTTGCCAGCTGAGCCTCGAGCACCCACTAGTCCCACATCAACCAGGCCAGAGGTGGGAGGCACTCAAGAGGGGGCTGCCACAGGGCATTTCAAAACCCCATTCCCAGATATCAGATATGCCTGCACCTGCCGAGCCGCTGGAGCCCACAGAGATCTCCTGCTGGCTTCCTCGCTCCAGGTAAAGTTCCTCCTTCCCTGTCCACAGCCAGGAACGGCCATTTAAAATCCTCACAGCCAAGATGTGCATTTAGTCTAAAGATCACAGACTACAGGATTAGCCGTGTCGCCCCTTGTGCTTCCCTTAGGAAAGGGAACAGCTGTTCACCCTCCTCCTCCCCAAAGCACGGAGAGACTTGGGACTATTATTAAGTCATCCTCGGCTTCCCCTTCTTCGGGCTGCATCCCACCTCCTTGCCCCATGGGCCTTGTTGTTCCACAACACCTATCGCTCACCCTCCACTCGCTGCACGTTCTCCTGTGGCCTCAGAATTCCTGGGCTCCCGGGAAAGACTCTGGCACTGGCCACATCTCTCCAGGTTCTGCCAATGTTTGCCAACCTCCAGGCATGGGCACCCCACCCTCTGGGAGAACAGCTTTCCCCTCTGATCATGATTCAGGATCCTAAGCACACCATGAACCCCAGTCTGGGCAGTGGTTAGAAATGCTAAGGGGTGCCCAGGTTGAGCAGCTCTCGAGTGGGGAGGAACAGAGTACGCAGGCAGAGCTCCTGAGGGCGTGGCTGCTGCACCAATGAACTCATCGACCTGAACCCCTGCCCCCCAGTCAGCGCAGCCCTCCTGCCATCCTCACTCACCACTGCTGGGCAATCCAGAATCAACCACCAAAGGGGAGGGGCCTGGAGTACAACCAGATGGGGTCTCCTGCCCCAAAGGAATGAAACTAACGCCAGGCAGGGCTCTGTTTCTCGACCGCACCATGTAAGGAGGGAATAAACTCCCAGCCAGAGGCAGTGTCCAGGGAGCAGGCAGACATGGGTGCAGGGTCGGGAGTGGGGGAGGGTCTGTTCTCCGACATCAGGTGCAGTGAAAATGGGCCTTCAATGACTTCCAAGCCAGCCTGCCGGGGGACAGTGGGGCCGGCCCTTCTGGGAAAGGGACCAAGCAGGATATAAGGGCCAGAATCGGCAGGGCCAGAGGGAGGGGGTGCTGAGCACTACAGACAGATCGACACTAGAGGGGAGATAAAAGGACAGAGACAAAAGATGGCTTACTTTTGAGAGGCGCTTGTGAGACTAAGACCATGCATGCAAAGAAGGTATTTGGGAAATGGTGGGGAAGAAGAGGAGAGGAAGAACAAGAAATCAAAAGACAAATTCAAGTGGGAAGCCAGCTCCCATGCCTCCCAGGGGTCCCCAACCCCTTCCCAGGCCCTGGGGGTCCCAGGGTGAAGAGAAGTTTCCTGAAGGAGACCCTGGGCAAAGACATCTCCTGCTCCCCAAAGGACCGAGGGTGGGGAAGACATCTCTGGGGAACCATAATTAGCCCAGGCCCCCCTGGGGCCTATTTTAGGCATATCCATGGGCCAAGGGCCCCGGTACTCAGGGGGCAGTCCTGACATCCTTGGGAGGATGGAAAGGCCCTGCCACCCTCCTCTCTGCCAGGTGAGTACCAAGTGGATTAGTGCAAAGGTAAGGCAGGAAGGATGGCCGGGGAGGAGGTTAAAAATAGCATTCTGCAAGGTTCCCTGAGGACTCTCCCTAGCAGTATAATGTCCCAAATAATGTTGCCTTCTACCCCGGCTCTAGGAACCAAATTTGAAAACGGTAGCAGGAATAAGCAGATGACCCCCTAATGATTCCCAGAGCGTCTCCCCTCCAAATCTAAAAAAAAAAAATATGAGCCTCCCTACCTCGCCCAGCCCACCAAGAATGCTTAGCGGGGAAGATATTTAACTAGGGTCTCTCCTGCCTGCCCCGCCTCACCTCACTGGATAATGACTGTCTCTGAGCCATCAGGGCTGTTCATCACGTGAGGACCCTCGCAGATGTTCTCCGGCTCACCACCCCAATATCGCTCCCCGCAGCCCCTGACAAGGAGGTACCGCCTCAACGGGGTCCCGCTCACCTTGGAATTCTTGCCGCCGCTCCGGCCGGACTGGGAGGAGCAGCTGCGCTGCACGCCCTGCTCCGGTGTGGACGGGGACTTGTCCGAGGAGTGATCTGAGCCCTTCTCCACCATGGTGTCTCCGTCCTGGTTCTGCGGGGTTGGCGAGCGAGACCGCTTCCGGAGGATGGGCGAGCAGGCCGGCGTGCTGCGGTTGGAGTTACTGGCAGTGCTGCAGCGGCAGATGGAGAGAGGGAGCGGGGTGGAAAGAGAAGGAGGAGGAAAGGCAGGCAGTCAGTGATCGAGGCCAAGGACAAGCCCAAAGGAGCCAGCTCAGGGAGCCAGGTGAGGGGCTGGGGAGAAACCGGGAGAGAGGGGCCCAGGCTGCGGCTTGCCGCACCGTAATACTGCCGTTGGCCACGGGAGGGCAGCAGTGCCCATGTGGACACAGACGCACGAGCCAACGGGCAATCGACATCTAGACATGCATCCGTCCATCCGTCCGTCCAACCTGTTATTGTTTGAGCCCCTATTATATGCCAAAAATTGTCTGGGGCATATAGAATTTAATACCTGAAAGGCTCACTGGAGACCATCCAATACAATCAGCTCATTTTATACATACTGCAAATGCAAAGCTTCTATATTTTGTTCAGATATTTTTGTTCATGAAAATAACAATTACAATCCTATTTTTCACAGCCTTCACATACGCATTATTTCTTAAAACATTCCACCAAGGGAGTAATGGCAAGTACCATAATCCCTATGTTAAAAAATGAAGACCAGTGCCTGACAGAGGGAAGCTAAATGCCCACTGTTGAGAGAAACAAAGTGCAGCTCTTCTGATTTGTAACTCACCCACACCATATTATTTCCTTGTAAGGAAGCCATGTGGGTTCCTGCTTCCTCTGCCCAGGGTAAAGATGCACACAGCCGAAGTTCTCACATTCCATATTCCCTTACCCCAACATTTATTCCCAATAAGTACCTTGTACTTCCCACAGGACCAAATCCACTTACATCAAGGCTTATAAGCTGCAAATAAAATATTGACTATTTGATATTTCACTTCCGTTTTCAATGGACTAGAAGAAGAGATGAGAGACAGAAGGGAGAGAGAAACTGAATGCAGTTGAATGTTTGCTTTGCTTCCGAGAGTGGAGAAAGGAAAGAGATGGAGAAAGGGAGAGGCTAAGTAGAAAGTGCCAGCAGAAATGGGAAGGAAAGGAAATGTGAGATTGGAAAGCCTGCACGGGGCTGCTGGGGTGTCCTGCCCACCTGCTCAGCAGCCTCTCAGCTGGGTCAGGCTTCAGGAACACCCTGGACCCCCCTGCAGGCTGCATCCCAGCCTTCCCTCGGGGAGTGGGGTGCAGGGCTGGGGACACTGTCATTTGCATGAAGATGCAGCTGTGACCTCAGATGTCCCATTGGCCCCATTTGCAATGAAAACCATGCCCCTTTCAGCAAAACCTTCCACCTGGACATCCTTAGCAGAGAGAAAGGCAACAAATCCCAAGAGCCTAAACCAGCGAGTGTGGGCAGGAGGGGAGCTGGGGGCAGGCAGTGCGGTAACTTTTGGAAGGAAACTGATAAAGAAAAAAAAAGGAGACCAGAGAAAAGGAAGATAAATGTGCCCCAAATATGTATGGAGAAAAGCAAGGCCCAATGTTCCACTTCATCCTAAAACAGAATTTGCATTTAAAATCTCATTTCTAATACTAACAATAATTGTTATTGGGGGAGGCCCAAGATGCCTCTTTCAAAAGAGGCTCTTCCCGTTTTTGCCCCACCCATTCCTTATCCTTACTCTCTAAACTCGTTTGCTACCATAAACTCTGGAGAAAGGAAGGTACCTTCCTTTACTTTGGTTAGAGATGCCAGGCCGTGGGGCTGGTGGCAGGCAGATCCATGAGTGCACAACCCCTGGGGAAGCGTGGAGAGCAGGTGCCAACACACGTCTTTCTGGGGTGAGCCTCCTTGCTCTAGGGCCAACTCAAGCCCGTAACCACATATTCCAAGGTTTAAACTGTCTTCTAGGATTATGTTACTAGAACAACGAGGACCTCTACCCTCTAGTCCCAACTATAATAGTTTGCTCAAAAAATAACTAGAGAAGTTGGGAGTGGTGGCATGAGCTGTAATCCCAGCTACTTGGGAGACTGAGGCAGGAGGATCATTTGAGACCACGAGTTTGAGACCAGCCCGGGCAACATGATGAGATCCTGTCTCAAAAAGAACTAGAAAAAGGATGACAATCAAGTACATGCCTATCTCAGACACAATGGCCCCCCAGCCGTTGTGTAATTTCCTCACAAATTCCAGACCCTGGAATGGAAAGGAGATTCCTTCATCCTTCCCCAAACCCAGAATCCCTGCTAACTGGCTTCAAGCAAGAGGTTGGCAACACACTCTAACCAGAGGAGAACTGACTCCAACTATCCAAAACCACACGAATCTCACATGAAATGATCAAAGCATGAGAACTCCTCACCGCCCAGCAGTCCCACTTTAGCCCACTCTACACACACCATGCAAAGATCTACACACCTAAAATGCTGCCTTCAACACATCAGCCAATAAACAACTTATACCATCTCTCTGTGCTCTTAAGGCTGTTGATCATCTGTGCTGTTCTTGGAAACTTCTCCCTGATGACAAGCACCTCTCTTCTACTCCTCTGCCGGTCTCAACTACTGTCTCAACTCTTGCTACCCAGCCTGCAATTAATCCTTCCCTAAAGGTGAGTCTGTCACCTCCCTGGCCGTCTCCAGCTTTCTCTAACTTCAACCAGGCAGAGACTCCTCTACCTGCTTCCGGCCCTGGTCACAGTCGCTAGCCTGACCCAACAACCTGCTGCCAGGTGGATGCTTCCTCCAGACAATGTCTCATGAGTGCCCCACACTGAACACAGAGCTGGACATCTTTCCTCCCAGACCTCCTCCCACGACTGCCCATTCTCAATGGCAGTTTCATTACCAGGTTTCTCAGGCTGCAGACCCCTCTCTTCCATCTCACTCCACTAAAAAATGAGTCACTGAATTCCACCAATTCTATTTCTACAAAGCTTTTTACCTCATCCTTCCCTTCCTTCCCCAGGGCCCCAGTTCAGGTTCAAGGAATTCTGCTCACCCTCTTCCAATAAATAGCCAGTTGAGTGGTCTTCTCTGCCTCCTTTTCCTCTTCCTACTCACTCACAGCTGTGTCATTAATCTTTCTAAATACAAGCCCAACATCTTACTGTGTTCTAGTAGCTCCCACATTAAAGTCCCAAATCCTCAAAATGGAATCTAAAGTTCTCTGCTAAAAGTAAATGACACCTCTATGCTTTTTCTCTCCTTATATGCTCTTAAAGGGCTTGCATATTCCACACCTATACACTTTCCCCCAATTCCCTTAATATACATGCTCTTTCTCCTGCCTCCAAACTCCCATACGACGCACTACTTGAGCCTAAAGAGCCCTTGCCCTCTGCATCTCCCTGCTGGAGTCCTGCTCTTTCTTCTTTTTTTTTTTTTTTTTAATTCTGTTCATTCTTCAAGACCCATTTCAAATCCCACTTGCTCCAAAAAGCTTTTCTAAATCTCCACCTTGGAGCTGACTAAAGCACTGAAAGCACATAGCCTGGTATGAAGGACCTACAAACTCCTGGAGGCTCAGCCCTCTGCACGCCCCACACGACCCAGCAGGGCTCTGTAAGTGGCATGTTTTCCGCTGAACTGAATCCCATCCTAGTGACAGTCTTCATACCCTTGGCTTTACCAATTCCGAATATCAAGATGGCTCCCAAATCTGTACCTACAACCTGCTAATATTCATAAAAATAACTAAACATTATTGAGTGTTCATGAGCTCCTGGTGCAGCACCGAGTACTTATTAAATATTATTTCGTTTAATCCCCCCAACAAACCCATGAAGTTGCAAAGAACAGTATTATTAGTCCCATTTTTCAGGTGATATATTTGGATTCTTGACAGATTAAATAATTCACCCAAAGTCACACAGATGGATGGGAGGCAGGGCAAGATTTCAAACTTTCAAACACAGGCCTATCTGATTGTCAAGCTCATTTTCGGAAGCAGGCATTCAATTGTGTTTGTTTGCCCGGTGGACAGAAAGAGGCACAGATGGAAAGACAGTGGGTAGCTGGGTGAGTACAAAGAAAGAAGGAATCAACTTCCTGCCTCCAGGCTTCAATCCATTCTCTCTTTTCCTGTCAAAGTGAACTTTCTAAAAAGAGGATTTGGCATTTTTTTCATCCTTTTTGATGATTAAAGACCCCTATAATTTCCCACCCTCTGTGGAATAAAACCTGAACTCTAGACTATATGTTCCTCAATTATCTCACTCAGCCTACCTCTGAAAACCCCAACACTGGCTACATTTCCAGTGCACCTCTGCCTCAGCCATCGGGGTCTAACTGAGCTCCTGCCCCAGCCATCAGGGCCTACCTGCGCCCCTGCCCCAGCCATCGGGCCCTACCTGCGCCCCTGCCCCAGCCATCGGGGCCTACCTGCGCCCCTGCCCCAGCCATCGGGGCCTACCTGCGCCTCTGCCCCAGCCATCGGGGCCTACCTGGGCCTCTGCCCCAGCCATCGGGGCCTATCTGCGCCTCTGCCTCAGCTATCGGGGTCTACCTGCGCCCCTGCCCCAGCCATCGGGGCCTCTTTGTGCCTCTGCCTCAGCCATCGGGGTCTACCTGCGCCCCTGTCCCAGCCATCGGGGCCTACCTGTGCCCCTGCCCCAGCCATCGGGGCCTACCTGCGCCCCTGCCCCAGCCATCGGGGCCTACCTGCGCCTCTGCCCCAGCCATCGGGGCCTACCTGCGCCTCTGCCTCAGCCATTGGGGTCTGTCTGCAGATCCTTTTGCCATACACACTCACTCTTCCATGTCTCAGCAATCTCTCTCTCTCTCTCTCTCTCCCTCCAATTACCTGATGGACATCTACACTTCCAGACTAAGCCCACATATACCCCTTACATGTCCCCACCCGGTGCTCTACCTCCACTCTGATCCTTCTCTACAAAAGAAGAAATGTTTGCAGTTCTAGTTCTAACTCAGCAAAGTCAGCACTAAACTTGCTAGAGTCCTGAAACTCTTACCAGTTAACCCATTATCCCATGGATTTGGATGTCCTGCTGAGCAAACAAAACCAATTCCTGAGTATCTTCTAACACCTAACATGCATAACATAACATAAAGTTTCAAACCAACTTTATAATGTGCCATTCATCTGACCCTGCCACTATTATTAATAACAGGATTGCATTATATTTCAAAATCTTGGGATTTAAGAGCTAAAAATAAAAAAGACCTTACATATGCTGTAGGGATGGAAGGAAGACTGGTGTTAGATGGGCTATGGGACTAAGACTCCCTCCCAGAGTTTAGAGTTAGTATATTCAGCTCTCAACTTCACATGTAAGAAACCTGAGTCTAGGGGGGTTAAGTACCTAGACAAGGTGATATGACTTTGGATCTGGCTCTTCAGTTCCACAAATATTTCCTGACCACCTGGCATATGTGAGGCATTCAAGTTCATTTTGGTGAATGAGAAAGGATCTGTGTGCTTGGGACATTTCCAGTCAGGAAGAGCTAGAGGCCTATTCTTCCCGTGTTAATATAATCAGTAGGTGGGATGATAGAAGAGAATAAAGGAAAACAAGAAATGCTGCCTTGAGGATGTGGCACTTGAGCTAGATTCAGAAAATGTGTTGGAGTTAGCCAGGTGAAGGGTACGGGGTTCAAGGAGGGCACGGTAGGAGAGAAGAGAATGTTCGGGGTGGCGGACAGCATGAACAAGGGTGAAAAGGCATAAAATAGCATGGGATATATGGAACATTGACAGAAACCATGAGTCACCAGGTATAACATGCTCAAGCTGATGTTTTAGAGATTCCTGAAATCATCAGCTCTCATTCATAATAGGTCTTCTAAGACCCCCACCAGCCACCTTTAAGCCATGGCAGGGGACCCGGAGGTCATTCATTCATTTCCCCATTTCCCCTCTTTTTAAGACCTGCAACACAGACTATTATTGCTCTCCTCCCCTGGTTACCTTGCTAGCAAACAGTGCTCCCTGAAGTCTGATCACAGTATCTCATGCTACCTATGGTTTGATCCTACCTCCTATAGTTAGGTCTAGCTGATGTCCTTGAGAAAAGGGAAGTAGAAAAAGAGGATGAGGACTCTCTTCAGGCTTTCTTCAGTGACTCTCTGCGGCATCCCTGCCCCCACCCTCACCCCCCACGCCCACTGCAGACACGGTGGCCGCTACACCACTTTGCTTGGCTTTCTTCCTCATCCTTATCCCCACTGTGGTCCTGCAGGCACAAGGCAGACCTTGTCAGCAAGCCAGCTCCCTGATCAGCTACCCGTGCATTTTTCAGAATCCTGAGTAGAGCAGAATAGTTAGTTGGTGTTCCGGTGTTCATCACTTGAGTTAACTTGTTTGCCTTCAGAGAAAATCATTTCTGCCCCAGATATTGCAAAATATGTACCTGTCTCTCTGGCCCCCGGTGCCTCCACCTGCTTGGACTGCAGCTGCTCCTTCCTGCTTCCCTCTGCAGTGCGCCTGGCTGCCCCAGCCCTGGCGCATTCCCAGTCAGACTGTCAGCCCCCCTCCCCACACCTGGACACTGCAATGAAGTGTTGACTTCGTTGTTTCTTCTAAGCCCAGCCCTACAGTGACCTAGATGATCAAATGTATGGCTGTAATCATCTCAGTGCCAGGAGCACTGGTAATGAGAGATACAAACACCTATCTCATAGGACTACTGTGTTAAATGAAATAACCTAAGTAAAATATTTAGCACAGTGCTTGGTACGCTCCATAAATATTTTTGAGCTGCTGGTATTATTAAGAAGGCTCTTGGCTGGGTGCCGTGGCTCACACCTGTAATCCCAGAATTTTGGGAGGCTGAGGCAGGCAGATCACTTGAGATCAGGAGTTTGAGACCAGCCTGACCAACATGGTGAAACACCATCTCTACTGAAAATACAAAAATAAGCTGGGCGTGGTGGTGCACACCTGTAATCCCAGCTACTCAGGAGGCTTAGGCAAGACAATCAGTTGAACCCAGGAGGTGGAGGTTTCAGGGAGTTGAGATTGTGCTACTGCACTCTAGCCTGGGTGACACAGCAAGACTCCATCTCAAAAAAAAAAAAAAAAAAAAGAAAAGAAAAAAAATAAAGACTCTTGTTCCTCTCTGTAAAATGTGGAGTAAATATCTTTGTCCACTTTCCTCAGAGGTGTTGATGCTCCCAAGTCTCACTTCCCACAGTAGGAACCAGGAACACAAAGGATGCTTCCTTAACGTGCAGAATCCCAGCCTTAACCTGATACCACCCCCACCAATAAATGAAAATTTCCAGTGGATGGCCTCAGGAATCTGCATTTCAAAATAAGTATCACGGCTGATTCTGAAGCACTCTGAAGTTTGAGAACCACTACGCTCCCAAGAAACTATCTCTTAAGTATCAAGGAGTGAGTGACATATCTGCCAAAAGTGACAGAGACCTGTTTACAACTCCGGGTATAACAGCTGTGCAGTGTCCACCAGGTAGGTGGACCTGCTGGAATAGTAAAATCATTTGAGCTTGTCATAGGAATTGCTAATGTGGAAGAATCTGACATGGAGACGATCAGGTGTAGGCAGAACCCGATGGGACATCATCTTTTGATGTAGGAGCCTAACAATTACCATTGGCGCGAAGGCCCACAGCCATATCACAAGCACCTCCTCTGTCCTTGCCATTTGTAGCATGGGGTAAACGCTGATGACTAGTCCCTAATTCCTAAGAGAAGACTACCCTGTTATCCAGTTACACACGTCCTATCCTCATGCTGATTCCAAAGTTTCATTAATAATCTTTCTCAGTTCTTTATAATGCCACTGCAAATATCCATACAAATTAGCCAACTCCCCTTCGAATTTTCCCATAGCACACGCTCAAGTGGCTGAGAGAGGAGAGCCACAGGTGTATTTGTATAACATTTGCATGAAATTTACATGCTGCCTGCAAATGCCTCCATTTGCAGGTCTGCCCCACTAAACCAGTTCCAAATTCAGAGTCTACGAGGACTCCATGAAGATGGTTATTCTTTCTGTACTATCACTAGTCACTTGCTAGAGTCTACATTCTGTGCCCATGTCACGGCAGGTGGGAAGGGCAGACCCAACCAGAACCTTGTAGAGGGGAGTGAAAAGCCCAAATCACAAATACCAGCAGGGCCCCCAATTCCCCTTGGATCCTCCTCCTTAGATAGCAAACTACCAAGTCACTAGTAGTGACCTGGTAAGGCTTGCTTCACTCCTTGTCATAACCCCCTGAAGTTCCTGGTCTCAGCTCCTTTTACTCATGAAAATAAACCCACAGTCCCAAGTTCCCAGAAGATTTGACTGGTTCAGAGAAAGAGCTGAAAGGGCCTTTCAGGTCCAACCCTCTCACTGCTATGAATATAAAAAGGTCCAGAGAGATGACACGACTGTCCACCAAGGAGTTAACAGACAGCAGGATGGTTCTTCCCCTTCACAGCTCAGACTCAGATGCCCAACAGTGCCAATCTCAGTGCCTCCCCTTCCCCACACACACACTTTTCAGGATGCTGGATGGGACTGGGGTTCAAAAGGATAAGACCTGCACTGTTCTAAGAGAAGCTCCCTGTGACCACGCATGGAACCTGCTCTCTGTGTGCCTATCGCTGGCATCTAAGCCTGGTGATAACTGCCACCGGGTCCAGTTCCCTTTCTAGGGGAGAAAATCAAGCTGTGATTACCTGTTTGAAAGAAGGGACCAGAACAGCTTTGAGAAGAGTTGCTTTTTTTTCCCTACAGCATAGAAGTTCTCTTCCCAAACTTACACTAAAGCAGAGTCTCAGCCTGGTCCAGGCGTGCCACACTTCGGCCTAGATTTAGCAGGAGGTTGCATTTCAGCAAGGGACAGAAAGGGAAAGGGCTCCCAAGCTAACGCCTTTCTTCCCTGTCACAGTTCCTACAAATGCCATCTGCAGATCTGACACAGAATGGGCCTTCCCTACCCGCTGCAAGGGCAACATCTTGACAGAAATGAACCTCTTGTCCCCTCTCCTCCGTTTGGGAAAATTGTGGAGATTCCTGGAGGCCTTTCCAAATGGGGATCTTGGGTGAAGTGTACAAGGTGTTCAGGGACAGGATCTGCCCAAAATTTGGACCAAAGGTGGAACTGGACTGTTGCCGGGTTCAGACCACTGGTAGAGACACCTTACAAATGGAAGCCTGACAATTCTCCAGGCTCATGAACCAGCTACTGTGGGCCATCCGAACATTCACTCAGCGTCCACACGGCCCATGCCCCTACCTCCTTCTGCACTCCGCCCCTCACATGCCCTATCTCTGTAAATACTGTGTAGATAATTCAGGGCACTTCCTATGGGCAACAAGCCCCACTTACTGATTCCTCCTTCCCTGTCTTGTATAAATATTTCAGTTAAAAAAAAAACCCAAAACTTTAAAAAATTTTTACAAAGAAATTTAAAGATGGGACAGCCCATCCAAAACATTTGCAGCCAGCTGACTAATTTAATACCTAGAAATAGTCTCATTAGGGATCTCCTCAAGCCTGGAAGGAATTACTTGGTACAAGGGAAAGTCTGAGCACTGACTTTGGTTGTTGATGAATTTATTAATTGACTAATTAACATAAGGGCAAAGTTCACGGAAAGTTTTTGGCGAAGTAGAGAAAAGTAGCACTTCAGTTACCCTTCCAGTGGTGTTCTCAGTCCAGAGAGGTGATAGGAAGAGCTGGACCTGGGCAAAGGTTGTTTGCCTTTCCTGCTCAGGCAAGGAGAAGAGGTCCTTCATCACCATGGCTGGAGTCTCCATCCATCCCACTCCCCCCTGCTGCCTGGCTTTCCTGCAGCTTCTGTTCAGTCCAGAGTTTGGAATTCAATCCAGGAACAGGCATGACAAACACTATTTTTCATTTCCATGGAGACAAGGCCCTGCAATAGAACCAGGACTCCATGCCCGAAATGACAAAACAGCCTGACCCACTTTTCCCCCTTCCTACAAAAACAAAATAAGTTTGTTTGGGTCCTGCCAGAGCCAAGGAGAAAAAAGCAAGAGTTCCTGTTATCTCAAAGGATATTTCAAAGAGGAACAAATTATAACCATCTTTGAAAACACTGATAATGCTACAGAACCAGTGTCAGAAATCAGACATAAATCACTTTACCCAAAGGGCTCATCTGCAGTAAATCCATCTGCTTCCTCCTCCGAAGCTGCTGGGGAAAAGGTTCATATCCCCTAAGAGAAGGATTTAATGACCAGCTATCCAACTTCTTATAGAATCCAACTATTTCCTCAACTTCTCTTGCACCATTTCCTCCCTCATTTTATTCTAGCCTCCCTGGACCTTTCTCTTTCTTGAACAAACCCAGTTCACCTAGGATATTGGCACTTGTTGGTCCCACCGCCTGGAACTCTTACTCTAACATTTTGAATGCTGGTTCCTTTTCAGCCTTCAGATCAAAGCTCAAATGTCACCTCCTCAGAGCAGACTTTCTTGAAGGGCCACTCCATATAAAGTGGCCTTCCTAACCCCAGGCAATCATTACCACGTGGCCCTGTTTCTTTTCACTGCCCTTATAGGAGCGGAAATTGTCTTGTTTTCTTGTTGTTGTTTTTTCCTTGCTTACCACCAGGCTGAGCACTCCATGGGGGCTGGGGCCACGTCTATGTGTGCTTCCCCAGTACCTCCAGCAAAATGACTGGCACATACTGGGGTTGCAGATATATAGTCCATGAATTTTAAAAAGTGGGATCTTCTTTCCTTTTTTTTTTTTGCTTTTGAGATGGAGTCTCGCTCTGTCTCCCAGGCTAGAGTGCAGTGGCACGATCTCGGCTCACTGCAAGCTCCGCTTCCTGAGTTCACACCATTCTCCTGCCTCAGCCTCCCGAATAGCTGGGACTACAGGCGCCCGCCACCACGCGTGGCTAATTTTTTGTATTTTTAGTAGAGACGGGGTTTCACCATGTTAGCCAGGATGGTCTCGATCTCCTGACCTCGTGATCTGCCCGCCTCGGCCTCCCAAAGTGCTGGGATTACAGGCGTGAGCCACCGCGCTCGGCCAAAAAGTGGGATCTTCTTAAAGCCATTCATTCCATCGTCCAGCCACTCTGATAGACATGTCTTTCTAAAGCTGGCCCCAAATCTGCCTTTTTAAAAAGGCCAGCCTTTAAGTCCTTTTTCTAGCTCTTGGGTCCATGAAAACTAAAATATGACATCACTTCCAGACTCTCTGCTAGCCTTATCACTCTGTCTAGACATCAGGGTACCTGATTTTAAAATCCTGAGCTGATTGGTGCCCTTGAGAAAATCACTTTTTCTTTCTGTGCACCTGTGTTTTTAGTCTGTTGCACGATCACAACCTATTTTCCTGGAGTGAGAATCCTTTAAAGAATAAACCTAATTAGACCATGCATCCCAAAAGTAAAGAGCTTCCTATAATTGCTCATGGAGTGAAACAGGATTAGCAGTGGAATGTGAATTCCCAGTTAAGAAACTGAATCCTGTTCCTAAATTCAGTCCTTTCCACATGGCAAAGACACGGGATGAGAGTACAGATTGTGGCTAGGCATATATTCAGCTAGTTCCTACATCCACAGGGCTGGGACAATAAAGACTTAAGATAAAGCAGAAGATACTAAAATCAAACATAAGAACTTACTGGTGTTGTATAATTTCCTTTTCCTGAGATTGTTCACAACAGAACAAACGCCTAACATTTAGGGGACAGTCCTGCTGGGTTCACAGGCTGGGTGTTGGCTGAGCTGATCTACAATAGTCTGTAGTTTGGAAGGAGCGCATAGTGGTCATGTAATCCATCCTCCCACTGGGTGCAGGGCTCCCTCTGCAATGGCCCTGACAACAGCCATCAGGCCTCTGCTTCAGATCTCCACTGACAGAGCTCCCACTGGCCAGCTGCTTACATGTTAATGGCACTCTTACGTGCCACAGTCCTCATTCCTCCATGAGTCTCAGCGATCATTATCTGTCCAAACCTCTTTGATTTTAATAGTCTTTAGAAATTAACCTAACCTTGCTGATTCAATGTCATTAAGCAAGAATCTTTGGAGCACCTCTAACTTTGTATTACATACTCATCCTGAGGGCCCAATAGGACAGCAACAGTGTCATGGTTGTTTGTATCCACATGATATTAAATGTGATATTGGGCACACAGTAAGAACTTAATACTTTTAAAATTGCCTCTATGGCCAGTTGCAGTGGCTCATGCCTGTAATCCCAGCACTTCGGGAGGCCGAGGTGGGAAGATTGCTTGAGGCCAGGACTTTGAGGCCAGGCTGGGCAACATAGCAAGACCTCATCCCTAAAAAAAAAAAAAAAAAAAGAATTAGCCAGGCGTGCTGGCAGATGCCTGTAGTCCCAGCTGTTCAGGGGTTGGGGCAGGAAGATCACCTGAGACCAGGAATTCGAGGTTGCAGTAAGCTATGGTCACACCACTACACTTCAGCCTAGTCAACAGAGTGAGATCCTTTCTCAAAATAAAATAAAATATGAAATTACATTAATAAAAGTATATAATAAACTTGCCTCTAACAATCTCAGTCAACTCTTAAGTACAATCCCACCCAAAGTATTTCAGAAGCCTAAATGTTCAAGGGAATAGAACCTTGTGAAAGCAGAAAGGCGCTAAACTCTCCCAGGAAGCCCCTTCCTCAAAAGAGATTTCCAATCCACTGGGAGGCAAAGACCACTGGAACAAGGCAAGGAGTTCAACTGAATAGAACTTCCAGCTTCTCCTGTGTTTGCTCATCAAGGACCCCTCCCCCATCCTCAGCAAGAGAAATGCTGCTACTAAAACCAAAAGGAATTCCTGCAGGATCCATCCATCCACCCATCAAACAGTTGGTGAGGACCATGTTCTATGCCCATGCCAGGTAAAGGTTTAGGCATTGGGGATACTGTCCCTGACTCTAAGAAACTCACAGTCTGATGGGAGAGACAGACATGTAATGAACTAACACCTTACAGTATCTCCCATCACCGCTCGTCAAGGGAGACAGGTCAGGAAACTGAGGAATAGCCCCCAGGAGTTAGGTGGCCTTCCTGACTCAGGCCTTCCTCATGTCTGATCTGGGGACAAACTACTCCTCTCTGAGCTTCCGCTTTTATTATGCAAGAACTAGAGTGGATGCTGTCTAACCCCCATGAGGACATGGAGGAGGATGACAAAGAACATATAAAGAATACACTATGAAGTACTGAGAGCAGTAGCATCTCTGAGACAGAAGGATTCAGATCTAAATTAGGCAAAGCATCCAGAAACAAAATCCAGGCAGTCTGGGCCCACAGTTAACTCAGCATCACCAGCCTTTTCTCTGGCCAGGGACACATCACCTCAGTGCCAGAGGTTGCTATGGTACTGTCAGGTCAATGTTCCTCAAGAGGCAGTCAGACTAAGGCTGTGCAGGTGGGGGAGAAGTTGTGACACGCCACATGTCCTGCCCCTCATATCGCTCCTCCCCTGACCTCACTGGCCTACCAGGATGGCTGCCTGACCGCTGGGATTCAAACCTGGTTCTGATTTATTTTCCTGCTATAACTCAAATCGAAGCATACCGAAGAATGACCACATGTTAAAGTCAGAAATTTTAGAATAGAGAAAACTGTAAGAGGTCGGTCCCGCTGCTGGCTTCAATCAGATGCCCGTCAACCAAGAGAGGCTTTAGTCTAATTTAAAATACATTCAGGGTACGAAATCCCAGGGCTTTCCCTTGCCACCCTTCTCATTGTCTCCTGCTATCATCAGGAAGTTATTTATGATTTTAAAAAGAAAAAGCCCAGCCTGGGCAATATAGTAAGAGTTGGTCTCTACTATACTTTTAAGAAAATTAAAAAATGTTCTTAAAATTAGCCAGGTGTGGTGGTTCACACTGTGTAATCCCAGCTACTTGGGAGGCTGAGGTGGGAGGATTGCTTGAGCCCTGGAGACAGAGGTTGCAGTGAGCCGACATCATGCCACTGCACTCCAGCATGGGTGACAGAGTGAGGCCTTGCCTCAAAAAAAAGAAAAAAAAAAAAAAGAAAAAACCCTCTGTTATATTGCACTTAATCCCATTTTCTTTTATTCCAGCTATCCTGGACTGCAGGTCAGTTCATCAGTTATAATCCCTCCCTCTGTTCCTATCCTCCTTTCTTTGAGTGAAACAATTCTACTTCCTTAAACCTATTCTCTGAAGTTAAAAATCACTTCTCCTACAACATCCCCACCCAATCTTTACCTCTCAAGGGCCAGTCACTAATTGATGTGTAACTCATTGCACCTTGGGACAGCTCTGATAGTTTTTATTTTAAGCTCAAACTGTTTCCTGTGGCTTCCTACCAGAGGTCCTATCCTACTCCCTTGTGAGCCATAGAACAAATCTAATTTCTCCTCCACGTGACATTTTCACGTGGCTCTCATGCCTTCTCGGCACCTGCTGGACTCTCACATTAACATGGCGATGGCTCCCTCAGCCAGCGACTGGGCTCCTTCTCCTCTGAACGGAGTCCGGGTGATCTCAACTTTCTTAACTGTGAAGCCCAGACAGAGTTGTAATACTGCAGAGAAGTGGCCTGAGCCGCTCAGAATAGAGCAGAATCATCACTTCACCTGCTTTGGGAATCACAATGCAAACATATATTTTCAGTCATTTTCTGAATCAAAAGAATCAAGAAATTGCTCACTGTTCCTTTAGGAGTCTCTGGGTATAGTGCTTCAACCTTCTCCTGTAGGCTAAGTGGGGGTGCATATCCCTCCAAGAAGCAAACACCCCCACCACTTCCCCCAATGAGACAAATCCAAGTTTCGGCAGAAGGATGAACAATTTTACCCCAACTCAGGTTACACTAAAATTCTGAGTGTTTATATGAGGATCTCTAGGCCAGATGCAAAACTACAGACCTTAAGAGTCTGTTATCTGGACGCAAGAATAGTGTTTGCATTTTTAAGTGGCTGAAAAACATCTGGAGAATATTTTGTGACATGTGAAAATCATAGGAAATCCACATTTCAGAGTCCATAAATAAAGTTTTATTGGGAACACAGCCATGCTCGTTCGTTCATAAATTGTCCACGACTGCTTCTACTGTGCAAAGCAGAATTGAGTAGCTGAGACAGCCCGGCCCACAAGGCCTCCAGTATTGACTGTCTGGCCCTGTACCAAAACAGTCTGCTGGCCTCTGGTCTAAACAGAAAAGACCTTGAAAAGGTCAAGGGGAGGGTGCCTGCGTCCCAACCATTGGGAGAAAGGGCTGCAGGCTTGCTCCTGTCAGCAGAAGAAATTTGTAGGGCCAGAAAAGAGAGAAGCAGGGAGGGGGTGTGGGAGGTGTTTAGTCTTAGGCTTTTAAAAAAATTATTATTAAATAGAGGCAGGGTCTCGCGATGTTGCCCAGGCTGGTCTTGAACTCCTAGGCTCAAGCGATCCTCCCACCTCAGATCCCGAAGTGCTGGGATTACAGGCATGAGCCAGCACACCCAGCCAGGAGTTTTTCTTCTAGGTGATGACAGCTTTTATTCCTTCATTCTTTCCACAAGTGATTGTTTTGCAGTTGCTTAAATGCCTACAGAGGTAACCGGACTAGCTGATTCTCCACTCCCTACCCACCCCCAATCCTCACGGGGCACTACTTTTTAATCATGGCCTTGACATTATCAATCTCCTGCTCCGGGTGGCTCCCAAAATCATCCCTTTCCCTTACCCTTCTTCCAAGGCCAGCTTTTTTCATCTTGGTTCCAAACTTCTCTAACCTGCCGAGTGCTATCCAAGGCAAAGGCTAGAAATATGACCACCATTCAAGGTCAGCTGCAGAGGGAGGAGAGGCAGGAGGTAGAGGAGCGAGGGGGTCTCCCCGGAGCACAGTGTGCTAGCAAGTACCAGAGAAGAGGCAAAGATGGCTTTCTCTAGCCCTGCCTGAGCTCTTGGCTGAGGCCCCGGGGACAGAGCAAGCTCCAAGTCCTCCCCCAGCCCTCTACTTCCTAAATCAAGCAAATAACTAACAATGCAAGGAGGTGTGGGGGAGTAAGGCCCAGCCACTGGGTAGCTATTTTCTCAAAATACATGGCAAATCTCTGCGCCAAATGCTGGCTAAGCCAAAGAATAAACAAATCCTTTTATTTCTCTGAGATGAGAGCTATCAACTTCCCCTTTCATCCTCTCCTTCTGCTGGCCAGATCCATCTGTCCCATGGCCCTCTCCCTGTGGGATAAGCAGTGTCTGTCCATATCTTCCTGACCACAGCTCTGGCCAGCTCCTACCCCCGCCGGAGGCACTGCGGAGGGAAGCCAGCAGGTGGAGAACAGGAGCACATGGCCTGTCCACACCTCCCCCAGAAGCTCTCAGCCAGTTCTCCATGATGCATTGTGCCACTAATTCATTCCTCTGCCCTCCTTTCTCCAAGTTAGAGGGCACTGAATTAAGTCTTGCTGGACAAGGAGACCATCATCACCCTCAACCCAGCCTGTCTCTCCAGCCCACCCCAGGGCCACCCCTCCGTGATCCAGAGCTCAGCTCAAGCAGTGCTACTATAGAGGAGAAAAGAAAAGGCTAGGGAGGGAAAAGAAGGTGGCATCTCTGCAGCATGATGTCACACTGGCTGCTTTCGGATCCCCAGAACAGAAAACAGAAGCAAACAACATGGACTCCGGATTTACTCTGCCTTGAAAGGTTTGTGTTCTTGGCAGCTCTGAGCAGCCTGCGTCAGATGAGAAAAGCACACAACCAGAAAGACAGGTCTTCACCACAGCCCCCAGGGCCCCATTCTGACCCCAGGACAGAGCCACCGCTTCCAAAAAATCCCACGAGGAAACAAAGATACACACACACACACACACACACACACACACACACACACACACACACACACACGCACCAGGCGTCAGCACGAGTTAGCACTAACCTGGAAGCCATTAGGTAGGAACAGTAGCAGAGTGCAGTGCAGAGAGGAACTCATTCATTCATGCATTGGGCAGTGGGGGGCGGGGGCGGGGAGCGGGGGCCCTGAGGAGGCTGGAGGGCACTCACCTCCATGACCATCCCAAAGCCCTGTTTCTAACGGGGGAGGGGACTCGGGCCAGGGCTCTCAGAAGCTGGGGGCGCTTCTTTGCTCTGCTGTTTCACACCGCTGTAGCATTTTAAGCATGACTCCCCTTTATTTCCCTCTCCCCCACCTCCCTCTGCTGCTGTTATTTGGTGTGGTCGTGCCGCCTTACAGAAGTCCCTCTCTCTCTCTGCCTGGCTCCCTTTCTCTCTCTCCCTCTGACTCCCTCACAGACAGCTGTTCTGAGCTCAGGCACGCACGCGCACAGGCGCACAGACACACTCAGACACGCACCCCTCTTGCGCGCAGACACGCACACGCGCACACACGCACACACGTCGCCTGCCGGTTTACATAATGCAACTCTTTGGTGCAGTCAGCTTGCCGGCGCTCAATTATTCATGCCAGCGTGGAGGACAGAGCCGCTGGGGCTGCGGGGGGGGGGGTTATTTCCTCTTCACCCTCAATCCGACAAAATACAAGACCATGTTCCCCGGAGACTCTGCTCCCTTCGCTGCCACCAATTATTTCCCAGGTGCTGCCCACTAGGTCGACCTGTATCAAGGAGGTGACACTAAATAAAAACACAGGTGCCTGGCTCTAAAGAGAGTCGTGCATCCTTCAAAGGATGGCGGCTCTCTCACGGCCCGAGGCCTGGGAGTAGAGGAAGAGAGGAGGCCAGCACTGAGACCATAATCCGCAAGAAAAGATGGCCGAGGGCCTCTTCAGTGTAGCTGCTCCCAGACTTCCAGGATGCTCGCTTCTCCCGCAGGTCAGGCTCTCACAGACAGCAAGAGTAACACTCAGGGAAAGCACTTACATTCGTGGCAAAGCAGAGTCGTCTGGGTCTTCTAATTCTAAGCTGCACCTCTTAGAAGTGTTTTTTTTTTCTCTGTCCATTCACCGAAATGCAGTATTAGTACTCAGACAGCCCCCAGAGGAAAGTTCTGGCAGTGCGAGGTATTCTATTCAGCAACGATATTAATAATATTTTGAAAGTCATTCATGACTTACAAAGCATTTTGCCTACATTCAATCATTTCATTCCCACCACAATCACCTAAATACTGACCTGTTTAGTGGATCTGGAAACTGAGTCCTGGAAAAGTGAAGGTCCCATGCAAGAAAGAGGCAGAGCTGGGAATCCAGATCACCTGCCTCTAGACCCATGGCGATTAACTAATTGCCTCACACCCCAACTATTTGAGAACCATTGTCATCTCTTGAGGGATGTAGCACAAAACCGACAACACTAACAATGATGATGGTTAGCTCAATGCCTGGGAAACTTTAATCCCCTAAGAATCTTCTTCACCCACAGATTCTGATAGAGCAGGTCTAGGGGACCACCCAAAAGTCAGCCTTTCTAACAAACCCCAGGCGATGCCCACGTTGCTATTCCGGGACCACCCTGAACAGCAAATGTTTGGCTTATGCATTCTCATGCTTTGAATCTTCCAAAAAGACAGTTTTGTCTGTCCACTGCAGCTGCATAGGAAAACATGCTGAAGGTGAATAATAATTACAATCCATTGATGTCACCTGCATCCTGCTCGAACTCATGCTGAGAGCTAATATTTCTTGGGCATCTGTTGGCAAAATGTCTCATTCTGGGAGGGCCAGCCCCTGCAGGCTCATCATGAAAAGTCTTTCCAAGATTGCTTCTGTCTGCAGCCCGTTGATAGAACAGCAGCCGCACAGTATCCGGGAAGCAGATAGTTCTGGGCTGTCTGGCCCTGCCTCCGTTACCTAGAGGAATCCCAGCTCCAAAGAAAGGTATATTGGCAATGCCCCAATTTCAGCCTCCCTCCTTGTCTGGCTCAAGTCCGACTTCTTCTGAAATGCCTTTCTGGCTCTTCTCTGTTAATCCACGGAAAGATCTTGGACTAGAGTCAGATCTGAAACCAAAACTGAGTTGCATTGCTTGTTGGTCACCCACGTACTCTTATCTCAAACTCAGTTTCTTCATCTGAAAATGCTAATACTACATATTTCCTCCTTTGTACTGTTGAAAAGATGATGAAGTCAAAAAAGCATGTGAAAGCACCCGAGAACGGTTGGGTACCTCTCCTGCCCCTGCCCTTACAGTATACATTTAGAACTTAATTGCAGGTTCTGTTGTCCTCTGTTGGTTTTACATCCCTGAGAAGATCGTAGGCTATTTTTTCTTTCATGTCCCTCCAGCATGTAGGAGTACTGGGTACACACATATTCAGTAAATATCTTTGGGCTGGGCATGGTGGCTCATGCCTGTAATCTCAGCAGTTTGGGAGGGAGAGGCGGGTGAATCACTTGAGCTCAGGAGTTTTAGACCAGCCTGGCCAACGTGGTGAAACCCCATCTCTACTAAAAATACAAAAATTAGCCAGGCATAGTGGCACACAATTGTAATCCCAGCTACTCGGGAGGCTGAGGCAGGAGAATCTCTTGAACCTAGGAGGCAGAGGTTGCTGTGAGCCATGATCGCACCACTGCACTCCAGCCTGGGCGACAGAGCAAGACTCTGCATTAAAAAAAAAAAAAAAAAAAAAAAAGTTGCACTGAATGTCCTTTCCTCCATTAAGGCATAGACACAGGGGTTGGTGGAATCAAGTGGCCAGAGTCCTAGTCCTAACTTCCCCACTCACTTACTATGTAACTTTGAACAAGTTGTGCTAATTTTGAGGGGACTTTACTTCTTCCACTACAAAATGTACAGCTGTATATGGGCTTACATTGTTAGTATTTTCATGGTTTGTATTAAATACAATGGGTTAAAACCGTATGTCAGGGACCAGACAAATACAACTTCAAATGTTAGTCCTATCAATTACTTCTTCTGTGCTCTTTGAAAAGTTAGCTTCACTAAGTTTCCGATCTTTCAATCTTAATGGAACATGTGAGGATTAAATGATGTAAATACATGCAACCTGCTTCTCACTGCATCTGACACATAGTATGTATCTGTCCAGTAAACTACAGCTACTATAATCAATATTGGTCAAAAGCAATAGCTACTGTTGAAAAACACAGTGAAAAATATTTTCTAGTGGTGAGACAGATATTCAGAAGCCTTGAGTTTGGATACAAGAAAGATCTCAGTTCCTTAAGATGCACGAAGTATGTGCGTGGTATTTCTTCAGTCACCAAAATGTTATTTGCCTGCTACCCTCAAAATGGACACATTAAATAATAGAAAAGTAACAAAACAAGCGAATCAGGGAATCTGGACTGTGTCTACTGTTACAGAATACAAGGCTTTCATGATGAGAAGCGCTTCACTTGAGCTACAATAAAACCAAAACTATCCTGATGATAGCAAAAGAGTACTATTTATGTGCAGTGCAATTTGCTAAACCCCTGACAAGAATTATTTCACTGAATTATATCAACAGTATATGAAATGGATACTACTTACTATTCCCATTTCTCAGATGACAAAACGAAGAGGTAGAAAGTTTAATAACTTGCCTATAGTACATGGTTATTAAGTAGTAGAGCCTGTATCTGAAACCCCATCTGCCTTACCCGAGTCCTACTCTGAACGATTACATTGCGTGTGAAAAGAAGGGGCTACTGACATGCCATTAGGAAGGCATGGGCCTTTTTGTCCTAACGGTGTTTATAATTTCCCATAGAGGCACTCATACTTTCTGCCCTTGTCCTTCTTGAAAGGACAGCACAAACTCTGGGGTGACCAGCTGATCCAAGAGCAGGTACATGCTGCAATCCTAACAAAGCCAACAGGACTTCCACAAACGGAACTTACGCCTCCGGACTCAATCTCCACACTTTCACAGCTATTTGGTGCCTAAATTCCCAAGCTGCTTTTCTGTAAATGAATTTAGGAAATTGAGGTAAAAGTGGGTACCTTTCTCTGAATTAAACCTTTCCTTCAGAGATACAGAAAACTGACACTATCTTCTACTTTTTAAAGGAAAAGAGGTTTCTGAGAGTCCTGTGCAGTGTCAAAAGCACTTTCCAGAGACCACCCTAGATGAATCAGGGCTAAGAAAGAGAAGTTAAGATACACCTGCAAATCCAACTGAACCAATCCATTCAACCCAGACCTGATCAATCACATTTTATATAAAGAGGGTCAGTGTCTACATAGTATTTTATTCACTTCCTGTGTTTGATAATCTTTGTTGACATGCATGGGAGATGTTGAAAATAAAGGCTAAGATCTTACGTCTCTGAATCCCACCTGCATACTAATAAAATAAAATTTAAAAACTTTTACAGAGTAGCACTCCAAACAGTTTACATAAATCTGAATTTGTTGAATCATGGAGAATGATAGGCAAAAGCGAATCTCATTGTTTTAAAACTATCATCCAAATCACGAGTGCTTTTCTGAAGCATAGTCATTTAGGAGATTTCTGAGTGTGTGGGATACAAAGAAGAAGAGAAACAGGGATCGACAAGTTACTGAGAATTCACCATTGCAGGCACAGGGGTGCTTTTATGCCTTTTATCCTTTTATAAAATTTATTTAAGGCCAGGCGCAGTGGCTCATGCCTGTAATCCCAGCACTTTGGGAGGCCGAGGCAGGTGGATCACCTGAGGTCAGGAGTTCAAGACCAGGCTCGGCAACATGGTGAAACCCTGTCTCTACTAAAAATACAAAAATTAGCCAGGCGTGGTGGTGGGCGCCTATAATCCCAGCTACTCAGGGGGCTGAGGCAGGAAAGTCACTGGAACCCAGGAGATGGAGATTGTGGTGAGCCGAGATCGTGCCATTGTGCTCCAGCTGAGTAAGAAGAGCAAAACTCCGTTTTAAAAAAAAAAGTATTTTATCAAACTGATGAGAAAACTGAGTATCAGGAGCCTGTACTTTAAGTACCCATGATCCTACAGTTATTTCTAAAAATCCATCTTTTCCACTGGGCACAGTGGCTCACATCTGTAATCCCAGCACTTTGGAAGGCTGAGGCAGGTGCATCACCTGAGATCAGGAGTTCAGACCAGCCTGGCCAACATGGTGAAACCCCATCTCTACTGAAGATACAAAAAATTAGCCAGGTGTGGTGGCAGGCATCTGTAATCCCAGCTACTTGGGAGGCTGAGGCAGGAGAGTTGCTTGAACCCAGGAGGCAGAGGTTGCAGTGAGCCAAGATCGCACCATTGCACCCCAGCCTCGGTGACAGAGTGAGACTCTGTCTCAAAAAATTATAATAAAATAAAATCCATCTTTTCACCATACCATGCTACTTCCATAAATAAACATCTACAAGGCAAAAGGTGCTTGTATAATATTGCATTTAACCCTCAAAACAACCCTTCAAGGTAAGTTCCGTTGTTCCTACTCAGGCTACGTATCCATGTATTGCCCCTCAGCTGCAAATCCACCCTTCTTTTCCCTGCCTTGTGATGCTGGAGCTGTGCCCTGTCAACGTTTCTTCTTTGCCGGCTGGCACAATGTTATATCTTGTCAGTAGAGGGCGCTAGAGAGACACTAGAAGGGGCTGCCCTTTTTTGTTCTGGTGCTTTTCTGCAGAAGTCACCAGCCTCCCAATGAGTTTCACTGATACCCTAATGGGCAGTTTCCAGCTTATGTGCCCCAGTCCCCAGAACCTCTAGAGCCTCTGTGCCATACACTGGGCAATGGCCACACCCTCTCCAATAAGTTCTGAATTTTAGCCTTGGGTTTGGAGGAAGTGCAGGGAGCCTTCTTAGAAGTTTGTCCTTCAGTGAGTGAGTGGCTCAATCCTAGGAGCTGCTCCCTACATCTGTTATAACAAGAGGCATCTGTTATACCTCCATTCTTCAGAGACCTTTCCATGTTTTTACTTGTTAATGATTCTTTTATCTTTCCTTCTTGAGACAGGGTCTCCCTCTGTTGCCCTGGCTGGAGTGCAGTGGCACAATCTCGGCTCACTGCAACCTCAACCTTCTGGGCTCAAGCAATCCTCCCACCTCAGCCTCCGGAATAGCTGGGGCTACAGGCACACACCACCATGTCCGGCATTTTGTTTCTTTCTTTCTTTTTTTTTTTTTTTTTTTTGTAAAGATGGGGTCTCCCTATGTTGCCCAGGCTGCTCTGAAACTCCTGGGCTCAAGCGATCCTCCCACCTTGGCGGCCCAAAGTGCTGGAATTATATGCATGAGCCACTGCACCCAGCCAATGATTCTTAATATTAAATTTTCCCTGTTCAAATTATTGGTGTGGTTTCTGTCTTATGGGACCCTCACTGATACACTACTATATGGATGAGCAAAAAGAAACTCAGATGAGTAGGACATCATCCCTTCCTCAAGTTATTCCTCCAATAAAATGGTTAAAAGCATTCAAAGTATACTATGAGCCAGGCAGGGATTTTATACATTTAATATGTATTCCTTCCTTTTATCCACTGACCCTACTTTATGGAAGAGGAAACTGAGGCATCTCAGTGACTGAAGAATTTTCCCAGATCACATACAGAGTAAACAGAGAAACCAGGATTTGTCTCCAAGATTCTGCAGTGCTGCCCCAAACAACTGGCTGCCCTGAGAGTGAAAGAGGGTCAAGGAAACAGAGGGTATATAGACAGTCTGTCAGGAAGTTTGGAAGAGGAAGAAAGCTAGATTGTTAGCCAAAGAGGTCAACATCTGACCAAAGTTTTTTTAATGGGAGGGGTCATTAAAGATCTTCTAACTCAGTCCTTGAATTATAAACGAGTTGGTATACACTGGCCATCAGGGACTCTAGAGACCCTATTAAATAACTCTTTCCTGAATTAATGCTTAGGATATAGTCTGTGCATTATGAGCCATTAATGCAAGAGAACTGATGTTCCACAGATGTCCACTCTGTCCTCTCCGAGTTCCCCAACTCAGACTCTAATCCACGGAGGCTGGTTCAGGGGTGTCCAAATGGATATACTGATTGCCTCTGACCCAGCTGTAACCCAAGACCTCTCATTAATCCTGCATCTCTCTCATGAGGTGAGTGATGTCTACGTAATTAAAACTTAAAGCAAGAAATGGCCAGGAGATTGAAGGGTGAGGAAGCTGAGGATTCAGATGGCTCCAACACAACATTCACCCTTTAGCAACCAACATTGCCATTCAATCAGGTAGCCACCCTTTAAGTAAAATTTTATCATGTACACATGGATACATATGAAAGCCTTCCCTGGGACAAAATGCAGCCCAGCAGAATAAACACACTTAGCCCTTAGCTCACTGGGAACAGAGCTTACTAGGGGTAAACCCCATTTCACCATGCACACCAATTCTCTTTTCCAATTTTCTTTTAATCTTATCCAAATAGAATAACTGGCTCCTGGGTATTATCTTTTTCTTTTCTAAGTGTTCACTACAACCAAATCTACATTTTCAGCCAGCTTCAACTACAAATTCACCAAATGATCTATACTAGTGCTCCCTAAACTTTGCTGCACTTCAGAATCATCTGAGAGTTTTTACATAACCAACTAAACAAGAATGTCTGGGGGTGGGAGCCAGGTATCAGAGCTTTTGAAGGATCTCCAAGTGATTGAAATATGCGGCAATGTTTAGGAATCATTGGTCTATACTATTTTAACCTAATTCTCTAGTAATTTAGTATCTAAATAACTTTAGAAAACATAGACTAGTGATCTATATTTTCTAGATATTAAAATTTTCTTTAATCCAAGATATCCTTCCTCTTGTTTAATAATTTCCCACATAAAAAGAGCTAACACTCATTGAGAAGGTATTGCCAGGCCTTGCTGTAGGTACTTTATGAAGGGCACAGTGGGTCATATCTCCTTTAATCTTATTATTCCAATTTCACGGAAGAGAAAATTGAGTCAAAGAGATAATGAGCACACCTGCAACTTTATTCAGTATAACGAGATGTCATTCATCAGGGACTAGAGAAATAGACAAATTTAGAATGGTCAAATTCTCCCATGTTACCTTTCCTTTGATCTTTGGGTTTTAACTCAACCCGATTACATTTACTGTAATCTTTTTGGTTTTGAAAATTGCTGCCTTTGAAAGAGAAGACAGGCTGAGCGCAGTGGCTCACACCTGTAATCCCAGCATTTTGAGAGGTCAGGAGTTCGAGAACAGCCTGGCCAGCATGGTGAAACCCCGTCTCTACTAAAAATACAAAAATTAGCTGGGCGTGGTGATGCACCCCTGTAATCCCAGCTACTGGGGAGGCTGAGGCAGGAGCATTGGAGGCTGCAGTGAGCCGAGATTCTGCCACTACACTCCAGCCTGGGTGACAGAGTGAGATTCCATCTCAAAAAATTAAAAAAATCAAAAAAAAAAAAAAAAAAAGAAAGAAAGAGAAGACAACTGTGTGTAGGTAAATTTGGTGATATTCTGGGATATACTAAGGGAAGAAAAATCCCTCCTTTTTCTAGATTTTCAGCATCAGAGTGTTGAATGACCACAAGCAAGAATCTACACAGGATGGCTGACTCTAAAAGTGTTCTTCTCCAGAGGAGAACGCACAGGGCCCCATGTGTGATCAGGACATTAAGCCTCCTATGTGGAAAGGACTGGGCAAGGAAATGGAGTTGATTCCTGGGGAGGAAAAAAATGGGATTGGGGAAAACGAGGATAAATTAAATAATCTGTAGTCATGATTCTATGGAAGTCAGTGTAGTAGGAGCATACATATATGGAGCCCAGGGGCTGCAGAGAAGCATAGGGAAATGAAAGCGAAAAATTGAGAAGGATGATGGGTGGAACTGCTCACAGGCAGAACTCAGAGTCTCACCTACTGGGGAATATCCTAAGGCAAGTTGTCCTCTTTATAGGCAACCATAACTGCCCAAAAAGGAAGGCCATGAATGAAGAAACTACCAACAGGTGGCTACAAATGGGGCTGGGGACCTTTAAAACATGGGCATGCATCTAATTTGCCTTAATTATGCAAATTAGAGTAATTTCATTTGCCCACAATCCCAGGTTTACCATGGAAAGAGACTAAATAATCACATATACAACAAAGTCCTATGTTCTTTCCACCACCGCAAGCCACCAAGTTTTGGACATGGTCTGCCCCTAGCTACCCTCTGACCTTCCGCATGTGGCTCTGCCTCAGTAGAAGTCCCATCTGTGAAGGGGAGATGACACCTGCTCTATAAAAGGATGACTGTGAGAATGAACAGATGTAAGGCAAAGTACAACATCGTAGAGTCCCTGTCCCATGTAGTGTAGAGGTTTCGCCTGGGCATGATACTCCTTTCCAGAATGAAGTACTCATCTCCCCAGCTGCCTGGAGTAATAGCTGCTGATGGGTTACAGCTGAGTCCCTTTCTGGGCCCTGCCCTGGATTAAAGGAAGCAGCCTCGCCCAAAAAAACGCCCCTCCCTGAGGACAGACCGCATCCAATGACTAGTCCAGGAGAGGATACAAAAACCTGCCCTTTGCCTCAATTTGGGATAACCCTGCAGGGCAATCTCAGCTCTAGAATTTTTTATGGAATTGGCTAAAGCAGGTGCGTGAGAGTTGAACTTCTCCCTCAGCCCAATCCTGATTCCCTCACTTGCTTATAGCTTTGCTCCCAACAGCACTTCCCAATAAAACTCCTGCAGGCAAATCTGTCTCCAAGTCTTTTGTAGAGTCCCTTTCCAACTGAAGACATGTACTAATTACCACCAAAGAATGTGTGTGAACAGGAGACAAGACACATTGCTAAAGTTTAAGAGAAAGGCCAAACTGAGGCTCAGGGAATTCGGTACCACCCTGGAATTTCTAGAGAGTCCCGGCCCCTAGGACAGGCCAGTGACCACACTCTGGCTTACACTCCTCTACCCACTCTAGGATATTAGGAGACACTAAGCCCCTCTCCAAATCACCTCTTTGCAGAGGTAACTGACCTTTTCTTAATCCTGGATTAAGGTCTTAATGAGGGATGTCTGCTTGCTGGATGCCCCAGTTAAGATGCTGACATGTCGTCCTTAAAAACAGATCTTGAGTCCCTCCTGCCACTGGCCCTGGGCTTGAGCCACATGAACATCCCCTCCACCTTCCTCCACCCCACTCTTCCTTTAAACCAGAGACAACGAGCCGGCTTTGCCAGTTAGCAGGGCTCACGGCGTGAAAACACTATTGTTAGGTTCCTGTGCTGCACTGGGAGCTAGTGAGAAAGACAATGGCAGAGTGAGTGTGCATGAGAGAGTATGTGTCAGTGTGTGTGGGTGTGTCTGAGTGTGAGTATGCATGTGTGAGTCTGGGGGGAAGGAGATCATGATGAGTCATGAGAAACCAAAGAAGTCAAGGCAAGGGCCCTGGGCTGCTGTTACCTCCTGGCCCCCATCCTCACGCCCACATGTCTCGAGAGGTTGATCAATGGGAGCAGTCAGGACACAAGACCCAGGAGGAAAGTAAAGCACGGAATTCATTTTCAAGCATCGAATCCAGCTCCTCTTTAATTCAGCCTGGACTCTCCAGAGGGCAATCAGGAGCGCTCACGGATGTGAGTTACTTAGAGAACTTCCCCTATTTCTCTTTCCATAGGATGGCACGGAGGTACGGACTCCAGGAAGTGCTGTCTGGTGCCTGGCTTTCTGCAGTTGGCCCACACTGCTTTGAGAGGCTGCCAGGTCCTGTCTGGGTGTACCTACGATGTGGATTATTCACATCTATGGACATCTTTTCTTGGTGCCCATTTTTCCCATACATGTCCGACCATGACAGTCAGCCTGCTCAGTCACCCTCCCCCAGGGCAGCACCTGGGCTGCTCATGCATTTGTTTCCAGACAGGCCTTTTCCTGGTTAGGGATGCAATATACACTTGACTCTTAAAGAGGAGGGTTCAGACTAAGGGAGGAGTTACTGACATGCTGCAATCCAAAACCCACTCTTTAAGACAGCATCTGCATTCATAGAGTATGAGCACTCAGATGGCATGACACTGCTGCGTGACCATGGATGTAGCTCACCCTTTCTCTGGGCCTCAGTTTCCCCATCTGTTATAAGGAGGAGTTGGTCTAAGATGACTTAGATGACTCTGTAGGTCATTTCCTGTCCTAAAGGTCCACAATCATTCTTTTTTTTTTGAGACTGAGTCTCACTCTGTCGCCTAGACTGGAGGGCAGTGGCACGATCTCGGCTCACTGCAAGCTCTGCCTCCCAGGTTCACGCCGTTCTCCTGCCTCAGCTTCCCGAGTAGCTGGGACTACAGGCACCCGCCACCATGGCCAGCTAATTTTTTGTATTTTTAGTAGAGATGGTTTCACCGTCTTAGCCAGGATGGTTTCGATCTCCTGACCTCGTGATCCACCCACCTCGGCCTCCCAAAGTGCTGGGATTACAGGCATGAGCTGCTGCGCCCGGCCCCCACAATCATTCTTCATCTCACAGCTCTGCAAGTGTTAAGAAGATGCAGAAAAATTGGGCTCTGTGGCCATAGGAAGTGAAGCAGGAGAAGGCAGCCATGCTGACCACAGCCAATGGGACCAGCAACCCGGCTGTGCACTGCCGAACCCTGCCCTGTTTCTCCTTTCTCTCTTCTGACCATTTCATCACCTCCAACTAACTACCTCTCCTCTCCCTTCCCCAGCATCTTCCTGCCTCTTCAGAGAAGAACAGCTACACTGCCATGAGGGGGTGGGAGGCTGTGCTGGGCAGATGGGAGGCTTGCTCGCTCTCTCTCTAAATGCTAAACCAATCCTCATTAAAGAGTTTTGGCTGGCTGGGCACAGTGGCTCTTGCCTATAATCCCAGTGCTCTGGAAGGTCGTGGCAGGAGGATCTCTTGAACTCAGCAGTTTGAGACCAGCCTAGGCAACATGACAAGACCCAGATTCTATTTAAAAAATTAAAAATCAGCCAGATGTGGTGACACATGTTTGAGGTTCCAGCTACTCCAAAGGCAGAGTCGGGAGGATCACCTGAGCTCAGGAGTTCACAGCTGCAGTAAGCCATGATTGCACCACTGCACTCCAACCTGGGTGACAAAGTGACTCATATATATATATATTCATTTCAAGCATTCAATTAATTTTCAAGCATCGAATCCAGCTCCTCTTTAATTCAGCCTGGACTCTCCAGAGGGCAATCAGGAGTGCTTGCATGCAGGTACTCAGAGAACTTCCCCTATTTCTCTTTCCATAGGATGGCATGGAGGTATGGACTCCAGGAAGTGCTGTCTGTTGCCTGGCTTTCTGCAGTTGTGCCCACACTGCTTTGAGAGGTTGCCAGGTCCTGTCTGGGTGTGTGTGTGTGTGTGTGTGTACATATATATATATATGTGTGTGTGTGTGTGTGTGTGTGTATATATATATATATATATATATATATATATATATTTTGGCACAGCCTGACTCTTCCAATTTAAACCTAGTGGGGACTGGAAGGGAACAAGTCAGGAGAGAAGAGATCTAAGGATAAAAGTAGCCAAATGACAAGCTGCAGACACCGACTCACCCACGGGCACAAGCTATGACATCCTAGCAGTGCCTCACCCCCCATTGCAATCTCTTCTCACGTCATTGATAACATGGCCCTAACCAAAATCTGATTCCCATCCTACAGTCCATACACTATGGATCATGCAGCTGTGCACCCACCCCAGATGCCGGAGCCTGCCTGAGGTAGGCAGTACTGCAGAATAAGCCCCTGACCCTTGGCAAGGACCTGTCCTCTACAAATGCAGGAGTGTGAAAGTCTAACTTCCAGCAGGTGAAGGCCATAAAGCTCAGCATGGACCAAAATTACAACATGACTGTAAGAATAATTAACACATGTGGGCCTTGTCAACTGAAGCAAGTGAAGGAATGTACTAATCCCACCACAGATGATGTCAGTAAGGGGCATAACTAGAAAGCATCATACTCGGCAAGGCCTATTGTTCAAAGATAAATAAAGACAGTGTGGGTCTAAAAACCCTGCCCTGTGCAAAACTGTAAAGTAACTAGGCATGTTTAGACTAAAGGAGAGATGCCTTAAGGTAAACAGGATTTTGAGTATCTCAGAGGAGGAAGAGAGAGGGGAAGCAAAAGGGGAGAAAGGTCTTTTTTTTGTTCCTCCAGAGGGAGGTTATCAGATGGCATAATTGGGTTTGAAATAACAAGGAATATTCTAAGAGTTTAGGCCACTCTCACAAACATTGCAAGAGGCTAGTGCATAGGAGGTGAGTTCCTAGTCAAGAGATTGGTTTCACATCCTCATCTCAGTCCAGACTCCCTCTAAAAACCTCCCAACTCTGAGACATCAACTGTCTGCACAGTGCCCAGTAGCAGGTGACATCCAGCAAAGCCCCAGAGGAGGAGTGAGCACAGGGCCATGTGATTTTTGTACTGGAAACCACCAGGGACATCCATCTGCTTCTATTTTATAGATCCTTCTTCTCCAGATTGAGAGTTGGGGTCCTCCCTCTATTGTTGGGGGCCAGAAATATATCCATAGACTCACAGATCTCCAAAGTGGAAAGGCCTTTCAATCTCGCTCAGCCCAATTTCCACCCAAAGCAGGTATTGCCTCTGTAGCTTCCTCCAAAGAGGAGGTGATAAAAGTAGGAAAGGAAAAGAAACCATGGGGTCTCTTCCATTCACCTCCAAAAGAGTGGGTTGATATTCTTAACTAGGTAACCAAATCCTTCTCTCAAGACAGGTTGACAGGTTGTGTCTCTCAATCCACTGAGGCCCTGCTCCTACTGGTCATTCTGGGTTCAGAGCAACCAAAGGTGTCCAAACCCCCACCAAGAACAGAAATGGCCCTGTGCAGCTTCCTGGAAGTCTTGTGAAATATGCACAAGTGGGAGGGAGTGGATGCTAGGAAAGCTCTGCCCACTGCTGGGTCCCTGTATGCTGACATTTGTAGTCAAGATGGAAAACATCCACAGACACGCCCTGGAGGACTGGATGGTTTTCTTCTAAATAATCTAACATTTGACTCACCAAAACCCCTGATATCAGGATCTGTAAAATACCATTGTCTGCTATGTGGCATTAGAATTCTCTCCTCGACCAATGGCCCTTTTCCAGCCTTGATTACTCCCAGACCTCACTGGGGAACAGGGGCAGATTGAAGCTGGGCAGCTCAGTCCTCCCAGGTTGGCCATCTCTCCCAACCTCCACATACCTCATGCCATATTCATAAGCAGCTGGACAAATAAGTCTCCTAAGTAGTGAATAGAAAGAGAGATTAAAGAGTACAAGAAGAAAAAGAAACCTTGAGCTGAATACTAGACATGTAGTCTAACAGCATCATTTTCAGAAAAGTAGTAGTTGAGCAAAACCAGGAAGTTATAATAAAAGCTTGGATGCGTGCTGAACCGTGGTGCCCATTTTGGCTTGACAGAGCTCCCAAGGGTAATGCCTCCCACATACTCCTGGCTACACCCACCCCGATCCCCCACAGACACTTCTGTCCATCCTCCTTCCCTGAGGTCAGAAGACTGTGCAGAGGGTTAAATTTAACTCAGGGGACCAATTTGGGCGTGGGTAGTAATTATAATACCTTGTACTTATGTCTAGCTATTCCTGGCCTGCAGCTTGTTTTCCTTCAATTCCATCCAAAGAGGTCAGTGAGCCTTGTAGATGTGGCTTCTGGGCCCTCCTGGGACAGACTTGCCGATGCTGTCCACATTGCCTGGTGGTGGAAACCAGGAAGGGATTTTTCTCCTCACTCTGTAAGCCACAAGGCAGGGAGGACAAATGACAGGGCTGCCTTTGCAGAACAAGTCACGCAGACTGAACTGAGGACTAGCCTGGGCTCAGCTCAGAGAATTGCTGGTCATTTAGTAAAGCACACAGAAAAGCCAGCTTAGCCAGGCAACCTTGCTGATAAGAGATTATTCAAATTGTGATCTCCAACTTAGATGACCAGTTAGTTTACCAAAAAAAAAAGAGAAAGATTTCATGAAAACTTACATAATACTCTTATCAATGAGGCAGTTCTGTTGTAAGAACTTTATAAATATTAATTCCTTTAATTCTCATAACAATTCTATTTAATGAGCACTATCATAAGCCTATTTTAGAGGTGAGAAAAGAGGCAGAGATTGGCTGAGAAACTTACCCAAGAGCGTACAGATAGTAGCTGGTGGGGCTAGGATTCAAACCCAGGGGCCTGGCTCCAGGATACCTGCTCTTGACCACTAACGAGAAGCTACCCTGCTCAAATTCATGGGCCCCAGGCAGATATTCTGATGGACTAGGTCCCCACATGATTCTGATGACTAGCCAGGTTTGGGAATCACTAAGTCAGTGGTTCTCAAACTGTGGTGTGCTTATTGATAATCGGATTCCCGGGGCCCAGAAATTCTGGAATTGGAACCCAGAATCTGTAGTTTTAACAAGCACCTAAGGCGATTCTAGGGTGGGTGGGGCAGGAAAGGAAGGCACTGGAGAAAGGGTGCCTGCAGTCCTCCCACTTCACCCCACCCACTTGGGGCACAGAAACTGATGCGGGCACCTCACTGAAGTCTGCAGAGACCATTCTTTCTCGCACCGGGGCGGCTGCCCTGGAGGAGGGGAGCTGGTGGCTGTGAGGCAATTCTGTCCCTTAGCCTCGGTGACAAGGCTGCCTTCAGAGGAGGGGAGGGTATGTGACCAAAGACAGCCCACTGTCCTTCCACACTTGACACGCTGCACATCAGAGGGAGACAGGCAGTTGGTAACAGGGAAAGAAAAAGAGACTAGGCGGTCTGGCCCCTATCTCCCATCGCCAGAACAATGGCCTCTTCAAACCCCTGGCATCTGAACTGGCAGTCAGCCACCAGGAAAGAAAAGAGCTCGCTGTCCCTTTAAGGACGTCCTCTCTACACAAAGGTCAGAAATGCCAGCTCAGCCTATCCAGAGGCTGCCTTTTTGGCACTTTGGGGCCCGGGGGCCCTGGTGGCAATGCCCTTTCCAGCTGGTTCTCTGTGCACCTGCTGGCTTCTGAAGAAGGCAGGGCACCTGGATGACAACCGCCGCTGTGGGCAATGCTCAGTGACAGGGCAGGAATGGCTGATGTGGAGGGAACCCAGGACCTCCTGTGCATCTCAAGTTTTCCTCCCAGGGAGAGTTAGCAAGAAATGGGTGTTGGAGCAAGGTTGGAAAGCCACCTACAGGAGGAGGGGTGGGGTCAAAAAGAAAACTGGCCAAGGAGTGAATGCTCCAAGAGAGACATATATGAACTAAAAGAGCAAAGGCTAACCGACAATTGGCCCAGAAATCACAAAGAGAACAGAGTAGAGAGTAGAAAGAGTTAGGAAGGAAAGGTGGTCAGGGGTTTGGTTGGAAGCAGTGGGGTGGTTAGGGCAAGGGCTTTTATTCTGCAGACTGGGTTCAAATCCTGGTACTTGACCTTGGGTACCTTTCCTAACTTCTTAGCCTTGATTTCTCTACAATATTGGCATACATTGAGCAGTAAATAAATATCAGAAACAAATACTGTCTGTTATTAGGGCACTAGCCACTCCATGTGTGTCTTGTAGGCAGCTCAGATGTTCAATCTCTCCTCAAAAGGCCTAATTCCCAGACCACACCCCTGGTTCTAGTAAATCATCTTGCAAATAATGCCATGAGCAAAGGAGGCCCTCATTAAGAAAATTGCACGGGCTGGTGCAAACCATGAGTCACCATGAGTCTTGTGGAAAAACAACTCAGAATTATTCAACTGCTAACAATATAAAGCAAGGTCGGCAAACTTTTTCTGCAAAGGGCCGGACAGTAAATACTTTAAGCTTTGCAGACCACACAGTCTGTCCTAACTACTGAACTCTGTTGTGATAGGGCAAGAGCAGTCACAGACAACAAGTAAATGAAAGCCTGTGACTACATCCTAGAACAAATTACAAAAACAGGCAGCGGGCTGAAGTTTGCTGACCCCTGAGATAAAGGATGGCATCAGTGGAGGAAATGGCGAATTCTTCTGCGAAATGGGATCAAAGATATGGAGGCAGAAGCCTATTTCTTGACCTTCTACCTTAGGAATGCAAGTATTTTACCCAGTTACTTGACTTCCAAGAAAAGTTTCTGGCTAACACCAGCCAACTGCACTGACTTCTCTATTCTGGTTTCCTCAGCATTCATATCCAGAGTTTATAGGTATCTCTCTCCACTTCAAAGGTTTCTTTTTCTTGCTGTTATGTGACAGTGGGAGCTGCCCATAAGCAGGGTTTCCTCCTTTGGCCAACTTAGTGAGGGTTGAATGGCCACCCCCAAGGTGTCCACACCAATGTCCTTCATAGCAAATGTCCATCCCCTATCCAACTTCCCTGGCCACAGAGGTTTCAGGTCTGTTCTTTACCAGCTTCCTGAACAGCTACACATCTCAGAAAGTCCATGTATATTTTTATTCTTTCACTGATCCAGTTAAATAGGGGAGTGCCTACCATGCTCCAGGTAAATCTTAGAAAGCAAGCATTTCACCTCTACCTTGGTTGGCAGTGAAGGCTGGCAGAGAGGCTATGGTTGGCGTTCTCTCAGAAGGCTCTCTGAGATGTGTTTATTTCCTGCTCCCTGGTGTCTTCCCACCCAGAAGCTCGAGCACTGCAAAATGACAATTTCTTAACGGCAGTAAAATCGAGAGGTATAAAAAGTAAGCTGAGAATGAGGAAACAGTGAAATCAAGTGCAAAGGAGGTAGACAGGGAAGAAACAAATTCACTTCACTGTTTCAATTTAAAAAAAAAAAGAAAAAGAAAAACTACTCGCCAGGCTGGGCGCAGTGGCTCATGCCTGTAATCCCAGCACTTTGGGAGGCTGAGGCGAGTGGATCACCTGAGGTCAGGAGTTCAAGACCAGCCTGGGCAACATGGTGAAACCCCGTCTTTACTGGAAATACAAAAAATTAGCCGGGCATGGTGGCACGCACCTGTAATCCCAGCTACTCGGGAGGCTGAAGCAGAAGAATTGCTTGAACCCAGGAGGCGGAGGTTGCAATGAGCCAAGATCATGCCATTGCACTCCACCCTGGGCAACAAGAGCAAAATTCCGTCTAAAAAACAAAACAAAACAAAACAAAAACCTACTTGCTGGCATCATTCTCTCCGCATAGAATGACCTCATTCCACAAACCCACCCTATGTGGTCCCAGCTTTTCTTCAAAGCTCTGCTCCCAATGCTTCTTCCCCAGGGAGACTTCCCTGATAAATTCTCCCAGAGCACAAACTCTCCAGCATCCCGTGGAATTCTCCAGTACAGTTCATGCCTGCTGATGTACATTATGCATGGCCTGTGAGTGCCTATGAGGTCTCTCAAAACCCTCAGACTATTCGCTTCTCAAAGGCATCCCATGACGTTTCCTTCCTTCCACGTTCCCTATGGGACCTTGTAACTGGCGAGTGCTCTCAGTTGCCTGGCCAAGGCCCTGCTTCAATGAAAGAGCTGCTATCTTACATTATCCTCAGGGATCTGGCATCACTGTTCATGCCACCATCCATGCATTCACATACACCAAGACATATGTGGAATGTTGGTGTGCCACTCGGTGCACTATAGATTGCTCTATATCTCATTTACAAACTGATTTAGTCCTCAAACCAACCTACTAAGGACAGGTACTAGGAAATACATAGCTGGCATAAAATAAAGTGGCTGATTTTAGAAAAGCTAATGAAAAATATGGGGGAGTGATGGGAAGTGGTCGACAGTCACACTCTGGAAGGGGTACTCATCTACCTGGCACCTGATGCTAGGAAAATGGACATGACTGTCAAAGTCCCCTCTAATTCCATGATTGAGATTTATTTAGTCATCTAGGTTTTATAAAAGTAGATATAATATTATATCAAGGTGTACTAATGTATTAATTTTTAAAATCACAGAAGGACTCAAAAAAAAGGCATAGGATAAGAATACATATACTCTTAAACTTCAGGAGGAACTTCCTGTGAATAATTCCAGATGTAGAAACCATACAGGAAAAGAGTGATTGATGTGATTATATTCAAACAAACCAACAAACTTATATAGGCTAAAAATCAGCTTAAAGTTAATAGACAAAAGAAACTCTGGGAAAGTACTTGCAACATGTATTACCAAAGGTTAATATCTTTATTAAAGAGTTCCAACGAATAAAAAAGACAAACAAGTCAACAAGAAAGGGAGCAAAGGCCAAAAAAAAAAAAAATCAATTCACAGAAGAAATATAAATAGATCATATGAAAATTAATAACATGTTACCAATGATCAAAGAAATGCAAACCAATGTAACTCTGAGATACCATTTTTGAAATATCAGATTGGCAAAGGCTAAAAAGAATGGAAATACCGAGGCAAGGAAGGACACGGGGAGGAAGCCAGTACTCATGACTTGCTGCTTGGTGTGTAAGCTGGAACAGCCTCTCTGAAAGGCAGTTTGGACTAGGGACCCAGAAATCTGGCTTCTAGGTTTCTATCTAAAGAATGCTAGTCCCTGTAATCCCAGTACTTTGGGACACCGAGGCAGGTGGATCACCTGAGGTCAGGAGTTTGAGACCAGCCTGACCAACATGGAGAAACTCCGTCTGTACTAAAAAATACAAAAAACTAGCAGGGCGTGGTGGCACATGCCTGTAATACCAGCTACTCGGGAGGCTGAGGCAGGAGAACTCCTTGAACCCGGGAGGCGGAGGTTGCGATGAGCCGAGATCACGCCATTGCAATCTAGCCTGGGCAACAAGAGCGAACTCCGTCTCAAAAAGAAAAAAAAGAAAAGAAAAGAAAAGAAAAATGCTAGTCATGACATTTATTTTTAAATTAAAAAAAACTACAGATAAGCTCAATGTCAAATACAAGTAGATTGGACAGATAGGGATGCATGTTTGTGATGCTATCCTTAAAATTAACTATGAAAACCAACACTTATTGTTATAGAGAGATCAGATATTGTTAATTATCAGAATATATAGGATGACTTAAATGTATGTGTGTATCTATCTATAATATATATAGAAAAAATAGCTTGAAGGATATAAACCAAAATGCTAATATGGGGTGGTATTATGACCAATTTCGTTTTCTTTTGGCTCTTTATATTTTCTAATTTTTATACAATGCCCATGGATAATTTGTGTTAAAAAAAAAACAACAGTCAAACAAATTATGATTACTGATAACTTTCTCTTCACATTATTAGTTAATTCTAATTTACTAAAGAGAAGACATATGTAAGAGAACTCTAAAAAGCAAAAATACTATACAAATGCAAAGTGTCATCAATTATCCAGCAAATACTTTTTGAGCACCAACTATGTGTAAAGCCTTGTAGAAAGTACACTGAGAAAATAAAAGAGAAATTAGGATAACTCAGCTGGGTGCTGTGGCTCATGCTTGTAATCCCAACTGTTTGGGAGCCCAAGGTGAGTGGATCACTTAAGCCCGGTTGTTTGAGACCAGTTTGGGCAACACAGTGAAATTCCGTCTATACAAAAAATACAAAAAAAAAAACAACCAAAAAACCTGAGTATGGTGGTGCACACCTATAGTCTCAGCCACTTGGGAGGCTGAGGTGGGAGGATCACTTGAGCCCAGGAGGTCAAGGGTACAGTGAGCTGTGGTCATGCCACTGCACTCCAGCCCACATGACAGAAACCTTATCTCAAAAAAAAAAAAGGAAGATAGAAAAATTGAGATAACTCTTTACTCTTAGAGAAGATTTAATATGTTATAAAAGACAGAATGATATCTAACCCAAGACACTGAAATTATAGGAATCCATAGTGCTCAGAGAATAGAAAACAACTAATTCCTACTCGCGGATCAATTAAATCTGCAAAGATTTCTTCAAGGAGGAGGTACTGAAACTAAATTCTGGAGGATAACTGGGATTTCCGTAGGCAGAAACACTAAGCATAAGCAAAGGAACAGCAGAATTAAATACTGCAGAGATAGAAACGGTATGTGACATGCCCTGCAATGGATGAGGGTGTCGGTAGCTGCAATAAGAGAATGGACTGAGTGATGAGGCTGGACAGTCAGGATGGGGACAGCCAAGAGAACACCCTGCATGCCGTTCAGGGTGTCAACTGTATTTTGTAAGTAATGGGAATCAAATTCAGGGTTTGGGTTTTGTTTGTTTGTTTGTTTGAGACAGGGTCTCTCTCTGTCACCCAGGCTGGAGTGCAGTGGTGTGATTATGGCTCACTGAAACCTCAACCTCCTGGCTCAAGTGATCCTTCCACCTCAGCCTCCTGAGGAGCTAGGACAACAGGTGCATACCACCATGTCTGGCTAATTTTTATTTTTATTTTTGGACATGGGGTCTCACTATGTTGCTTAAGCTGGTTTTGAACTCATGGGTTCAAGCAATTCTCTACCCTTAGCCTCCCAAAGTGCTGAGATTACAGGCGTGAGCCACCACATTTAACCCAAATTCAGGTGTTGAAGAAGCGTTGGTAATGTTACTTGTATGACAGCTGAATGAAAATTGGACCCAATTGTTTGGAGTTTTTTGTTTTTAAGAGACAGGGTCTTACCCTGTCACCCTGGCTAGAGTATAGTAGCATGATTATGGTTCATTGTAACATCCTTGAACTCCTGGGATCAAGTGATCCTCCTGCCTTGGCCTGCCGAGTAGCTGGGATTACAGGTGTGAGCCACCAAGCCTAGCTCTGAACTTAAAAATTAAGAGATTATACAGCCAGAGAAAGTAACGAAGTACTGATACATGCTACAACTTGGATGAAACTTGAAAATGTTATGCTAAGTGAAAGAAACCAGAAACAAAAGTCCATATAATTCCATTCATATTAAAGTCCAGAACTGGGCGCGGTGGCTCACACCTGTAATCCCGGCACTTTAGGAGGCTGAGGTGGGTGGATCACCTGAGGAAAGATCAGGAGTTCAAGACCAGCCTGACCAACATGGTGAAACCCTGTCTCTACTAAAAATAAAAAAAACAATTAGTCAGGTGTGGTGATGCGTGCCTGTAGTCCCAGCTACTCAGGAGGTTAAGGTGGGAGGATCGCTTGAACCCGGGAAGCAGAGGTTGCAGTGAGCCCAGATTGAGCCACTGCACTCTAACCTGGCGACAGAGTGAGACTCTGTCTCAAAAAAAAATAAAATAAAATAAAATAAAGTCCAGAATAGGGAAATCTACAGAAATAGAAAGTGGTTGCCTAGAGCTGGGCCGAGGGGTGAGGGTGAGTAAGGGACTGCTAGCTAAATGGTGTGGGGATTCTTTTTGAGGTGTTGAGATGTAAAGTTGACTGTGGTAATAGCTGCAAATTAAAGGCCTTTGAATTGTACATCTTAAATGAGTGAATTGTACAGTACATGATTATATCAAAATGAAGCTGTTTTCAAAAGGGGAAATCAGTCAGGTGGCTGTTCCACCATGCCAAGCAAGACACTAGAAGGTGATAAATTAGGAAGGTGGCAAGAGTCTAAGGAAACAGAGTAGTATAAGTCAGGGAGACACTGCAAAGACAGAACCACATGGAGAGTGAGGAAGAACAATGAAAAAATGCTGCAAAAGCTCCCAGTATAAATGACTGGGAGAGGAGGATGTGAAGAGGAGGTTGGATGGGAGATAGTTATAAATATGTTTTTCATGCAGCAAATGCATGAAGCTTAGCCCGTCCCAAGAAGAATAGAAAGAGGGAGACAGGTGCTCATTCGTAGTTCATATTCCTTTTCCTGGCAAGGATGTGGCTAAGGGTACCTTGTGACTAATGATGACAACTATGAATTATATTATAGCACTAGTGATCAGCATAAAAACTGTCCTAACTTATGCCTAGAAACACACTTAGGAGAATTTAGCCACAGAAAGCAGTTAAGACTGCAACAAGCGAGAAAAACCAGTTCTATAGCTGCACACACAATACTCTTCAGTATTTAACAGCACTAAGTACTTACTGCACCAAGTACAGATTTTTGTAAAAAGGAGAACTATCATTGCTGCTATGAACATACTGGCTTATACAAGGAAAGCTCAATCGCTAAATGGTAATGGTTGGCTCCTATTACTCATAGGCCCCACAAGGTACAAATGTGTTTTGCTTGTTTATATCAAAGAAAGCAAGAACGTGAAGTAGAAACTCTTGGCTAATGAAATCAGGGGGTTAACAGAAACCATTTGAACATGCCAGAGTTAACAGATGCAAGATAAACGCATAAAAAGGTACATTTCAGATCGAGAAGAAGCCTGAGGAAAATAATGTGCAACCAGCACAGCAGATCACCTTCAAAAGCTCAATGGTCAGTTCCCAAAATTTGCATCCTCAGGTTTGTGAAGTTAAGCCTCTAGAAAACAAAGGAGCTTTGCATGTCATTGTCATAATGTCCCTGGATGTAAACTATGACCTTTCAATAAGAAAAGACAGTTGAGGTCACTTCAGGGAAGCAATTATGAAACAAAGAATCTCCCAGTCTCAGGAGAAAGGGCCCAAAAAGAGGTCTGAACTGAAAGATAAATCTATTTGCACTACAGTAGAAGAGGCATCTCAGTTTTCCAGTGGAATTTTCCTATAAGACCCTACCTGAAAGGGAGGTCCAGCTCTGGCTACCCCCATGACAGCAGGCACTCTGCTAGAGCAACAACCAGTACTGACTCATCCTTTTATGCTTGCCACCTAGCCCAGTAGATACTCAAGAAATGTCAGTTTAGTAAACAAACAATTAATTCAAGACGGGGCAGAAAGAATCCAGTGGAAACTCAGGAAGAATATTAAAGGTCTTGTACACTAAAGATCCTTAGCATGAAGCCCCCGAAGGTCTGAGAGACCAATCTACTGCTCTAATCCTGCCCATCATCTTAGAGATGAGGTCATTGGTGACTTGCCCAAAGTCACACTTCCAGTAAATGTAGAACAAGTTCCAGCCTCCAGTGCAGTGGTCAAGTGACCATAACCTTGTGGGACAGGAGTTGGAAGAGCTCCAGCAATGAGACCAAAACACATGACTGGGGAGGCTGTTCACTTGAAAGGAAGGGTCAAACTGACTGATAGTGACCTTGTGTCCTGAGAAAGGCACTACTAGAAAAATAATAATGATCAGAACTCGCTGGCCCCACCTAAGGCATGAAAAACAGTAGTAAATTTTAAGTGCAGGAAAGGCAAGGACTGTAGCCATGTTTTCTGTATATAGTGCTAAATATAAAACAAAAAAAATATAGGGGCAGCTAACTTTTATAACGTGCCAGGCCCCATCCCAAGAGCATCAACACGAATTATTTCATTGAATCCTGACAGTCTTCACAACAGCCCTCTGGGGTAGATGTCATTAACCCGATTTTATTTTATTTTATTTTTCATTTATTTACATATTTTTTGAGATAAGGTCTTGCTCTGTCACCCAGGCTGGAGTCCAGTGGTTAGATCTCGGCTCACTGCAACCTCTACCTCTGGGGTTGAAGCTATTCTCATGCCTCAACCTCCCAAGTAGCTTGGATTACAGGCATGCACCACCACACCCAGCTAATTTTCACGTTTTTGGTAGAGATGGGGTTTCACCATGTTGGCCAGGCTGGTCTTAAACTCCTGGCCTCAAGTGATCCACCTGCCCCAGCCTCCCAAAGTGCTGAGATTACAGGTGTGAGTCACCACGCCTGGACAACCACATTTTACAGATGAGAGAATCAAGGCTTGGGGACAGTAAGTGACTTCTCCATAGTCACACCAGTAGT